>NC_000002.12:53826715-54129746 GCF_000001405.40 Homo sapiens
GTTGCTTCTCCAAACTAACAATGTGAGTACAGTGTCTGTGTCTCCCTCCTCTGTGGCATATCCACCCCGCTCCATGAACTGAAAGCATTCCAATTCTGAGGCACTCTGAACTCTTCCATAAAAAGTGGCTATTTTCATGGCCTCTTCGCAAAGTGTAATTCTGTCTTCTCTTTCAAGTAATATTAATAAAACTAGTTTTTAAAATTTCTTTGACAAACATTGTTGCTAAAGCCAAACAAATGATCAACAAGCTTTCACAAGCCCTTGCTAATGTGACATAACTCTGAGGCATTTACACAGGTTATGAAACTTGTCCTAGTACATTGGCCTCAGAAGACAGGCATAAAGCACTCTTTGTGAACTGCTTAGCTTTGTAAGGTCTATCTGGCACCTGAACAAGCAACATTTTGCAAAACATCAGGCTCTGCATGAAAATTCAGATTCCCACACTGAGAGTCCATTGAGAGATCTCCCACTCATTAGCATGCTACAAGGCCGCTGAAAGATCAGGAAGATGTCAAAAGGGCAAACCTTCACATAAACAGAACTCAGAGAAACAAACTGAACTTAACTTGGCATCAGCCAACTGTAAGTATGAAAAAAAAATGTGTTTATTGGGATGAGAAGAAGGAAAATTCACTAATTTGTCTACATGCAACTAAGTGATATTTTTCCTTGGTAAAATTAATTGCAAAGGCAGCCAGATGCAGTGGCTCCTGCCTGCAATCCCAGCACTTTGGGAGGCCAAGGTGGACAGATGACTTGAGCTCAGGAGTTCGAGACCAGTCTGAGCAACATGGCAGAACTCCATCTCTACAAAAAAATACAAAAATCAGCCAGAGGTGGTGGTACACATCTGTGGTCCCAGCTACTTGGGAGTCTGAGCCAGAAGGTTTGCTTGAGCCCCAGAGGTCGAGGCTGCAGTGAACTGGGATCATGCCACTGAATTCCAGCCTAGGCAACAGACTGAGATTCTGTCTCAAAAAATAAAAATAAAAATAATCTCAAAGGCATTAGACCTAAAGCGATTGTCTATTAAATTATCTCTTGTGGAAAGTAACATTTCCCTCAATATCCACCTTTATTCAAATTGTCCTATGCCTTAAAATAATTGGTACCCCCTCTCCTCTCTTTGCAAGAACTAGTTGTCCCTTTTTTCCCTTAATTCTTTTGTGGTTGCTGAAGAGTTTTATTTAGCCTTCAATGACTTCAGGCAGTATAATGAGCCAAGGAATTCCAATGATAATGAATGCAGGTTGTCTGGCAGCTCCTGGGCAGCCAGGGTTGTCCCTGGGAAAAGATGCCTTCTGAGCTGGATGATGGTTCCCTTAACTGAGTAAACAGTCAGGAAGAGGGCCTTGCAGTCCTAAGTCAGGACCCAGATCCCCTTTCATTAAAGTCCTGCTAAAAATCATCCTGGGAAAATAGAGAGTCATACAAAAAATAAACATGAGGAAATTATAAGCCAGCCAGATACTGATTTCGGTTGACATCACTTCCATGGATCACTTCATCCATCCATTCATTTATTGATCCATTTATTCAACAACTATTCACAGAAAGCCAACAAGGGACGAGGACTGGTAGGTACTGGGGTATGGTGCTAAACAAAACAGTCTTTGCTCCATTCGAGCTGTATTCTAGTGGGGAGACAGCCAGTAAACAGTAAAATGTAACTTGTAGACTGAACTGTGTCCCCCTCCAAATTCATACAGCGAAGCCCTAAATGCAACCGTGACTATATTTGAAGATAGAGTCCTTCCAGGAAGTAATCAAGGTTAAATGAGGTCATAAGAGTGAGGCCCTTATGATGGGATTTGTGCCCTTTATAAGAAAAGACACCAAAGAGCTGGCTTCCTCTCTTCCTCTCTGCCATGTAAGGACACAGAAAGAAGGTGGCCATCTAAAAGCCAGAGAGTCCCTCACCAGAAACCAAACCTGACAGCACCTTGGAATTCCAACTTACAGAACCATGAGAAAATTGATTTCCGTTGTTTAAGCCATACAGTGTGTGGTATTACTGTGTTACGCCCACCTGAGCAGACTAATCAATAACATAATATTAGGAAGTGATCAGAACTATGAAGGAAATCATGTAAGGTAGAGGGATAGATAGATAGGCAGTGGCGGAATGGAAAGTGGCACTGAGTATGGGGACCAGGAAAGGCCACCGGGGAAGACCATTCCAGATGGAAATATTTCTGGGGGAATTCTCTGACATGGGGACAAAAATGGGGCATGTGAGAAACAGCCAGGAAGTCTCTGCAGCCTGGGCACATTGGGCAGGGTATGAATGAAAGTAAACAGAGACAGAGAAGAAACCAGGGACCAGTTCTTTCCGGCTACACAGGCCATGGCAAGGACTTCAGATTTTGTTCTAAGTGGGATAGAAAGCTACTGGAAGTCTATAAGCAGGACAGTGACATATAGGATTTACCTTAAAAGGATCACTATTACAGGGGAAAGAGACTGTAGGAGAGGACTGGAAGTGGGAAAACGATGAGGTTGGTTTAATTTTCCAGGTAAAAGATGATGGGGACATGGGCTAGTGGGGTGGGGACGGAAGAGGTGAGAAATCGTTGGATTTAGAGTCTATTTTTAAAATAATTCAGGATTTGTCAATAGGTTGGATATGGTGTGCAAGAGAAAGAAAAGAGTCAAGGACGCCAAATTGAGCTGTGCAGCTGGGTTACTGCAGTGCTGTTTACTGAGATGATAAAACGGTAGGAGGAGTTCGTGTGGTAGAGAACAGAGTTGAGTCAAGGGTTGTTTTGCACATGTTACATTTCGGGATGCCTATTAGACACACAAGTGGAAATGTTAAATAGGGAACTTGATAGACCAGCATGGAGTGAAGGGAAAGATCAGGACTGGAAATAGAAAAGTGAGTGTCATTAGCATTTAAACAAAGTTGAAAGCAGAAGGCTGAATATTATCGTAATTACTGCCAGCACCTGCTTCTCAATTTACAGCTCTTTCTCTAGGGATGCAGGAGTGAATGAAAAGCTATTTTTCAATCTTTCTGTTCCACCTTTCCCTTCTCTACCCCCTCGAGATTACCCCATCCAGCTTCAAGTGGTCACTGTCTGCTATTCCTGGAAGTGACTTTGCCTCTCCTGCCCTTCACCGCATTTGGGCCGGTGCAGCTGGACTGGTGCACGTGGGAGCACATGCTCTGGTCATCTGCTAAGGCAGAGTCTTCCCAGTGCTGGAGCTTGGCTGCTTTGCCCATGGTTCCAAACTAAGTCTAGGCCTGACCTCTCTAAAGCCTGGACCCCTGACAAAGGCAAGTCTTTTCCCAGGAGCTTGCCTGCCACTCCTCTCACCATTCCACAGGGCCTTAATGTCTTTTTTGTTTGTTTTTTGTTGTTGTTTTCGAGACAGAGTCTTGCCCTGTTGCCCAGGCTGGAGGGCAGTGGTGCGATCTTGGCTCACTGCAACCCGCACCTCCCAGGTTCAAGTGATTCTCCTGCCTCAGCCTCCTGAGTAGCTGGGATTACAGGCACACCACCACACCGGCTGATTTTTGTATTTTTAGTACAGATGGGGTTTCACCATGTTGGCCAGGCTGGTCTCTTAACTCCTGACCTCAGGTGATCCACCTGCCTGGGCCTCCCAAAGTGCTGGGATTACAGGTGTGAGCCACCGCACCCGGCCAAGGCCTTAATGTCTTCATTGACTTGGATTTTGTCCTCAACTGTGGTAGGAGAACAATGAGACAAGTCTCTTTTAAGAGAACCATGGTCATCTTGCATTAATGGAAAAAAAAAACTGCTTTTAGTGAATATAGGAGAAAAAGTGTGTGTCTGTCTGAGAGCTTGAAAGATCCTATTACAGCTTTCATCCATATTACTTTCTATGTTGCCACTGATCTGTGAATGACAATGGTGGCCTTGAAAGCAGGGGCTTTTAGTAGAGACGGGGTTTTGCCATGTTGACCAGGCTGGTCTCCAACTCCTGACCTCAGGTGATCCGCCCTCCTCAGCCTCCTAAAGTGCTGGTATTACAGGTGTGAGCCATGGCACCTGGCCCTGTTTCTTTTTATTTTATAATTTTTTTTTTTTAGAGATGGGGTCTCACTATGTTGCCCAGGCTCAAGTGATTCTCCAGCCTTGGCCTGTCAAAGAGCTGGAATTATAAGTGTGAGCCACTGCGCTCAGCCGCAGCTCCGTTTCTAATTTGCTAGGTTGCCTTGATGGAGTCTCCAACCACATTACTTTCCTTGAACAGACAGAGGTTGGGGAGTAATTAGAATTGTATTCATAAAATGAATCTGCTCTTCAAAAGTTAGATGATGTGATTTCAACAGAAGAGACAGTAATATATGTACGTTCTGATTACAACAGTGTACACATGCACGTTTATACGGTAATAAAGTTCAGGAATAAATTTTAAGTAACAACAATCTTGTTTTTTTTTTTCTTTTTGCTGCAGGGTCTAGCTCTATCACCCACATTGGAGTGCACTGGTACAATCACAGCTCACTGCAGCCTCAACTCTCTGGGCTCAAGCCATCTTCCCACCTCAGCCTCCCAAGTAGCTGGGACCACAGGTGTGCACCACCATGCTTGGCTTCTTTTTTTTTTTTTCCTCTGGAGAGACAGGGTCTTACCATATTGCCCAGACTAGTCTCGAACTCCTGGGCTCAAGCCATCCTCCCACGTTGGCCTCCCAAAGTGTTGGGATCACAGGTGTGAGTAACTGCGTCTGACCAACAATCTTCCTTGTTTAAAAATTTTAAACAATGCTGCCTTAGATACTCCCTAACAGATCTCTGCTTTAACAATCCAGCAGTTCACTGAGGTTCTCTCCTCTCTCTGTAGACTCTTCTACATAAGGCTTTGCACACTGCATGCAAGTAGACTACTTTCTACACATAAGCACTTTTGCTGCTCTCTCTCTCTCTCTCTCAGGAATTGACAGCTTATCAATGAGACAAAAAATATATCAGTAATAATATATATTTGAATTATACAATCAGTGGGTGGGGCACAAAACCAATAGGTTCTTTGCTACCATCCCTCAACCCTCCAAAAAAGAATTACACAATCAATAGGATTGAACTACATGACATACAGAGAACATTTTAGCCAATAATTAGAAAATAGCATGTTTTTCTCAAGCACATTCAGATCACTTGCACAAACTGTCCATATACTGAAGCATAAAGCAAATCTCAAGTAATTTTCAAGGATTGGAATCATACAGATCTCACTGTCTGGCCATAATCTCATTACCTTGGAAATCAATAAGTGAAAGATACTCTTTCAGAAATTAAGAGAATCACTTCTAAATAATTTATGGATCCAATGGAAAAAAATATGATGCAAATTAGAGAATACTTAGAACTGAATGATGAGATCATACTGCAGTAAATTGTATTATTGTTCCAAATAGTTTCTGCTCTACCCTGTGAAAGAATTATAGATTCCAGGCCGGGTGCAGTGGCTCAAGCCTGTAATCCCAGCACTTTTGGAGGCCAAGGCCGGTGGATCACCTGAGGTCAGGAGTTTTGAGACCAGCCTGGCCAACATAGTGAAACCCCATCTCTACTAAAAATACAAAAATTAGCCAGGTGTGGTGGCACATGCCTGTAATCCCAGCTACTCGGGAGGCTGAGATAGGAGAATCACTTGAACCCAGGAGGTGGAGGTTGCAGTGAGCCGAGATCGCGCCACTGCACTCTAGCCTGGGTGACAGAGCAAGACTGTCTCAAAAAAAAAAAAAAGAATTATACATTCCAACCCATTGCTGTATTCTTTCAGTGTCCACACTATGAGAAGATTTCTATTTCCCACACACTGAAATCATGCTTGGCCATTTGACTTGCTTTGTTCAGTGAAATGTGAGTGGATTGATATGTGCCACTTTTGACCATAAGTCTGTAAGAGCCACTACTTTTTCTTTCTGCCCTAGATGGGCATGGCACAGAAAACTATGTCTTCAGTGTGGATCCCAGAATGGGGCAGAGTCACAGTCAATTCATAGTCAATATGTAAGAAAGAAATTTTTGTTGTGGCAAGCCACTGAAATTGGTTTGAAATTGCTTATTACCACAGCACAACTTAGCCACAGCTAACTGATACAAATATCTATAAAAACGTCTGGTTGCAATAGTACTGAAAGTCCTAGCCAGAGAAATTAGGCAACGGAAAGAAATAAAAGGGATGCAAATAGGAAAATAAGAAGTTAAATTGTCTGTTTGCAGACAACATGATCTTATATGGAAAATGCTAAAGACTCCATCAAAAATTTTCAAAACTAATAAATGAATTCAGTAAAGTTATAGGACACAAAACCCAACATAGAAAAACCAATGGCATTTCTATACACTAACAAATTATTCCAAAAAGAAATTAAGAAAACAATCTAGGCCAGGAGCAAGGGCTCACGCCTGTAATCCCAACACTTTGGGAGGCTGAGGTGGGAGAATTACTTGAGCCTGAAAGTTCAAGTCCAGCCTGGGCAACACAGTGAGACTCCATCTCTACAAAATAAAAAATAAAAATTAGCTGGGCATGGTGGTGTGTACCTGTAGTCCCAGCCACTTTGGAGGCCGAGGTGGGAAGATTGCTTAAGCCCAGGAGGTCAAGGCTGCATGACTGTGCCACGGCACTCCAGCCTAAGCAATAGAGCAAGACCCTGTCTCAAAAAAGAAAATAAAAGAAAAAGAAAACAATCCAATTTACAGTAGCCACAAAAATAATATTTAGGAATAAATTTAACAAAGAAGGTGAAAAATCTATAAACCAAAAACTATAAAGCATTTATAAGAAATTAAAGAAGTCATAAATAAAAAGAAAGATATCCTGTCTTCATGGATTGGAAGAATAAGATTGTTAAAATGTCCATACTACCCAAATCAATCTACTACTCAAAGGATTCAATGCAATCTATTAAAATTCCAATGACCTGTTTCACAAAAATAGGAAACACTATCCTAAAATTCATATGAAACCATAAAAGACCCCCAAATAGCCAAAGTACCCCCAAAGACCCCCAAATAGCAAAAAGAACAATGCAAGAGGCATCACACTACCTGATATCAAAATCTACTACAAGCCATAATCAAAGCAGCATGCTATTGACATAAAAACAGATCTGTAGACCAACAAAACAGAATAGAAAGCCCAGAAATAAATCTACATATTTCTGGTCAATTGATTTTCAACAAAGATGCCAATAACACACAATGGGGAAGCAACAGTCTCTTCAATACTGTTGATAAACAGTATATCCACATGCAGAAGAATGTCACTGGGCCTTTATCTCACTCCATATAAAACAATCCACTGAAAATGGAGTAAGATTTAAATGTAAGACCTGAAACTGTGAAACTACTAGAAAAAAACAAAGGGGAAAAGTTCCATGACATTGGTTTGGGCAATAATTGTTTTGAATATGACCCCAAAAGCATAGGCAACAAAAGCAAAAGTAGATAAATGAGATTACATTAAACTAAAAAGCTTCTGCACAAAAGAGGGAACAATCAACAGTGTGAAAAAGACAACCTATGGAATGGAAGAAAATATTTGTAAACTATGTATCTGATAAGGAGTTAATATCCAAAATATATAAGGAATTCACACACCTCAATAGCAAGAAAAAATTAACCAGATTTTACAATGGGCAAAGGAACTAAATAGACATGTCTCAAAAGAAAACATACAAATGGCCAACAGGTATATAAAAAAAGGTCAGCATCGGCCGGGCGGTGGCCCACGCCTGTAATCCCAGGACTTTGGGAGGCCAAGATGGGTGGATCACGAGGTCAGGAGATCAAGACCATCCTGGCTAACACGGTGAAACCCCGTCTCTACTAAAAATACAAAAAAAAAAAAAAAAAAAAAAAGCCAAGCGTAGTGGCGGGCGCTTGTAGTCCCAGCTACTCGGGAGGCTGAGGCAGGAGAATGGCGTGAACCCGGGAGGCGGAGCTTGCAGTGAGCCGAGATCCCGAGATCGCGCCTCTGCACTCCAGCCTGGGCGACTGAGCAAGACTCTGTCTCAAAAGAAAAAAAAAATCAGCATCACTAATCATTAGGAAAAGGCAAATTAAAACCACAATGAGATATTACCTTATCCTTGTGAGAATGGCTATTACCAAAAAGACCAAAGACAACAAAGTGTTGGCAAGGATGTAGAGAAGAGGGAACCCTGGAACACTGTTGGTGTGAAGGTAAACTAGTACAGCCATTATGGGGAACAGTATGGAAGTTTCTCAAAAAATTAAAAATAGAACTACTATATAACGCAATGATCCCACTATTGGGTATATATCCAAAGGAAATGAAATCAGTATGTTGAAGAGATATCTGCATCCTATGTCTACTGCAGCATTATTCACAATACCCAAGATATGGAATCAACCTAAGTATTCATGAATGGATGAATGGATAAAGAAAATGTGTATATACACAATGGAATACTACTCAGCCTTAAAAAAGGAGAAAATCCTATTATTTGCAACACCACAGATGAGCCTGGAGGACATTATGTTAAATGAAATAAGCCAGGCACAGAAAGACAAATACCTCCTGATACCACTTACATGTGGAGTCTGAAAAAGATTAACTCATAGAAGCAGACTAGAATGGCAGTTACCAGGGTTAATGAGTGGTGTGGCATTGGGGGATGCTGATCAAAGAATACAAAATTTCAGTTAGGAAGAATAAGTTCAAGAGATCCATTGCACAACATGGTGATTCTAGTGAATAACAAGGTATTCATACTCAAAAATTGCTAAGAAAGTAGATGTTAAGTTTTCTCACCACAAAAAAATGGTATGTGAGGTAATGCATATGTTCATTGGCTTGATTTAGCCATTCCATGATGAATACATATATCGAAACATCATGTGGTTGTTTTTTTTTTTTTTGAGACGGTGTCTCACTCTGTCGCCCAGACTGGAGTGCAGTGGCGCTATCTTGGCTCACTGCAAGCTCTGCCTCCTGGGTTCACGCCATTCTCTTGCCTCAGCCTCCTGAGTAGCTGGGACTACAGGCACCCACCACCACGCCCGGCTAATTTTTTGTATTTTTAGTAGAGATGGGGTTTCACCGTGTTAGCCAGGATGGTCTCGATCTCCTGACCTCGTGATCCGCCCACCTTGGCCTCCCAAAGTGCTGGGATTACAGGCGTGAGCCACCACGCCCGGCCTCAAAACATCATGTTGTACACTAACATGGTTTGGATGTATGTCCCCTCCAAATTTCATGTTGCATGTGATTCCCAGTGTTGGAGGTGGGGCCTGGTGGGACATGTTTGGGTAAGAGAGGTGGATCCCTCATGAATGCTTAGTGCCATCCTGGCAGTAATGAGTGAGTTCCTGCTTTATGAGGTCATGTGAGATCTGGTTGTTTCTGGGACCTCCCCCATCTCTCTCTTGCTCTCACTGTCTCCATGTGATACACCGGCTCCCCACTTGCCTTCTGCCATGATTGAAACTTCCTTGGGCCTCACCAGAAGCAGAGCAGATGCCAGTGCCATTCTTCCTGTACAGCCTGCAGAACCGTGAGCCAATTAAACCTATTTTCCTTATAAATTACCCAGCCTCAGGTATTTTGTATAGCAATGCAAGAATGGACTAATACATATACCATAAATATATTTGGTAAGGTGGGCCAAGAAAAGAAAAAAGAGGGCTGGGCACGGTGGCTTACACCTGTAATCCCAGCATATTGGGAGGCTGAGGTGGGTGGGTCGCCTGAGGTCAGGAGTTCAAGACCAGCTTGGCCAACATGGTGAAACTCCATCTCTACTAAAAATACAAAAAATAGCCGGGTGTGGTGGCATGCACCTGTAATCTTAGCTACTCGGGAGGCCAAGGCAGGAGAATTGCTTGAACCTAGGAGGTGGAGGTTGCAGTGAGCCAAGATCGTGCCACTGCACTCCAGCTTGGGCAACTGAGCGAGACTCCGTCTCAAAAAATAAATAAATAAATAAATAATAAATAAAAAAGAGAAGGCATACAAAGATAATAAAAAGAATGAAAAAGGTGACAAAACTCAGATTCTGCACAGAATTAACAGATATTATAGATTATTGTGAATAACTTTATGCCAAGAAGTTTGAAATATATACAAAATGGGGAAAAATTCTTAGAAAATATTACTGTATTACATTGCATATAATAATACTAATACTATTATAATAATTTAAAAACTAGATAAATTGTACAACCATTATAGTAATTGAATCAAGAGATAAAAACTTTCCTCCAAGTAAACAGCAGCACAGATTGTTTCACAGGAGCGTTCTATCAAACATTAAAGGGAAAAATAAATTCCAATTTTAAGCAAACTACTCCATAACATAGAAAAGGAAGTTACATTGCTCACCCATTATATGAAACCAGGATAAACAGACAAGAGAATTATGAGAAGTGAAAATTGCAGGGTTATTTCTTTATGAACAGATGCAAAAATCTTAGAATATTAGCAAATTGACCTAGTATTTTTTTTTTTGACAGGGTCTCACTTTGTCACTCAAGCTAAGAGTGCAGTGGTGCAGTCACAGCTCACTACAGCCTTGACTTCTGGGGCTCAGCAATCCTCCCACCTCAGCCTCCTGAGCAACTAGGACTACATATGTGTGCCACCATGCCTGTTTTTTTTTTTTAAGAGACGGGGTGCCACAAACTCAGGCTTAAACCATGTTCCCACTTCAGGCTCCCAAAATGCTGGGATTACAGGAGTGAGCCACCGTGCCCAGTCCTGATTTAGTAGTGTTTAAAAAAAACCATCATGGCCAAAATGAGACAAATCATATGATTATCTCAACAGATTCAGAAAAGTCACTCAAGGCTGGGCGCTGTGGCTCACGCCTGTAATCCCAGCACTTTGGGAAGCTGAGGCGGGTGGATCACGAGGTCAGGAGATCGAGATCATCCTTCCTAACACGGTGAAACCCCGGCTCTACTAAAAAATAGAAAAAATTAGCCGGGCGTGGTGGCGTGCGCCTGTAGTCCCAGCTACTCGGGAAGCTGAGGCAGGACAATGGCGTGAACCCGGGAGATAGAGCTTGCAGTGAGCCGAGATCGCGCCACTGCACTCCAGTCTGAGCAAAAGAGCAAGACTCCGTCTCAAAAAAAGAAAAAGAAAAGTCACTCAATAAAATTGAACCCTCTTCTATAATAAAAACTCTTAATAAACGAGGAACAGAAGAGAAACTTTTTAAACTGATAAAGGGTATCTAACAAAAACCTACAACACTCTCAGAGTTGATGAAAATTTCAAATGGACAACCAGAATGGATGCCTACTATTAACACTTCTGTTCAACCTTGTACTGAATTTCTAGCTAACCATGTAAGACAAGAAAAGGTGAAGGTGTAAGGCTTAGAATGGAAGAAACAAAACCATTATTGCCAAATGCAGTGCCTCACACCTGTAATCCCAACACTGGGATGCCAAGGTGGGCGGATCCTTTGAGTTTAGGAGTTAGAGACCAGCCTGGACAATGTGGTGAAACCCCGTCTCTACAAAAAATACAAAAATTAGGAGGGTGTGGAGGTGCCCACCTGTAGTCCCAGCTACTCAGGAGGCTGAGATGGAAGGATCACTTGAGGCTTAGGTTGTAGGGAGCCGAGATTGCATCACTGCACTCCAGCCTGGGCAACGAAGCAAGACTCTGTCTCAAAAAACAAAAACAAAAACAAAAACAAAAAACAACCAAAACCAAAACATTATTATTTGTAGATGACATTTTTAGAAAATTTTACAAAACAGTTTCCTCTGTCAAGTAGATAACATTTTTATCTACATAATAACCCCAAAATATGTGTTAGATAAATTATTAAAAATAAGAGAGTTTAGTCAAGTGGCTAGATATAAAATTGATTTACATAAATTATTGCACTTCTATGCCTCATCAAAAAACAAACAATAACTTAAGAAAAGAAATAATTGGCAGGGCACAGTGGCTCACCTGTAATCCCAGCACTTTGGAAAGCTGAGGTGGGCAGATCACTTGCGGTCAGGTGTTCGAGACCAGCCTGGCCAACATGGCGAAACCCCGTCCCTAGTAAAAATACAAAATTAGCCAGGTGTGGTGGTACACACCTGTAATCCTAGCTACTTGGGAGGCTGAGGCAAGAGAATCGCTTGAACCTGGGAGGCAGAGGTTGCAGTGAGCAATGATGGTGCCACTGGAGTCCAGCCTGGATGACAAAGCAAAACTCCGTCTCAAAAAAAAAAAAAAAGGGGGGACATTTTAGTGAGCTCGAGAGAGAAGCATTTCTGTTTAAATTATTTTTGAAGGGCAAATCATAATTGTATACACTTATTGGGTACAGTGGGATGTTTTGATATACATACAAAATATGGAATGATTAATCAGGCTAATTAATATATCCATCACTTCACTTACTTAGGTTTTGTGGTGAGAAGTATTTCTTCAGTAAATTGCAAAGAGATTATATAAGATACAATTATTATTTCAATTTTATGTATAAGAATCTGAAACTTATAGCAGTTAAATTTGTCCAGAGTCACCCAAGCTAACATTCAAACTCCGGAAATGCAGTCTGTGGGCTGTCATTCTTAACCTCAATGCTGTGCAGGCATTTTGTGTGTGTTCCATCCATCAATTCCCTTTTCCCCCTCTTAATTTTTATTACTTATTTATTCATGTCAGATGGGTAATGTGCCCACGTTGTAACAAGGTTTGATGCGGTTTGGCTCTGTGTCCCCACCGAAATCTCATGTTGAATCATAATTCCCAGTGTTGGCGGAGGAACCCGGTGGGAGGTGATTGGATTATGGGGGCAATTTCCCCATTCTGTTCTCGTGATAATGAGTGAGTTCTTGTGAGATCTGATGGTTTAAAAGTGTGTGGCACTTCCCTCCTTGCTTCCTGTCTCTCTCTCTCCTGCCACCACGTGAAGAAGGTGCTTCTTCCCCTTCCCCTTCTGCCATGATGGTAAGCTTCCTGAGGCCTCCCAGTCATTCTCCTGTTAAGCCTGCAGAACTGTGAGTCAATTAAACCACTTGTCTTCATAAATTATCCAGGTAGTTCTTTATAGCTGTGTGAAAATGGACTAATACAGGTTTGAGGGAGGCACATCTCAAACATGCGTGTGCAAACCCAATCATCACACTTACGAACTACAAAAGGATCTCCCCATCTCCCTTATCTTCTTAATCAAGCCTTACCTTTTTCTCACTCTGAATAAACTGTTCCCTGCTTTGCACTCCAGTAGCAGCCTATAGCATTTACTTTATACCTTGCATTATTTTGTTGGGTTTCTCTACATATACATGGGCACATACATAGAGTAGGTTTGGAAACATAAGCAAGAAGTGTTCACAATGTAGATGATATTATTATTATTAAATTGAGCCGTTTGGGTGAGATGTTGATGATAATAACAATGCTCTCATTTGGTTAACAATAAATATTTCAACTTCACAATATACTCCAATACATAAAACGTCTTAAAAACATCAAAGAGCTGATAAAAGAGTGAAAAATTACAAGACAAAAATATAAGCCTGGGCAACATGGTGAAACCCCGTCTCTACAAAACATATGAAAAATTAGCTGGCCATGGTGGCGCACATCTGTGGTAACAACTACTTGAGAGGCCGAGGTGGGAGGATCACTTGAGCCAGGATCACACCACTGCACTCCAGCCTGGGTGACAGAGTGAGACTCTGTCTCAAACAAAAGGGAAAGGGGAAAGGAAGGAAAGGGAAGGGGAGGGGAGGGGAGGGGAGGGAAGGGGAGGGGAGGGGGAAGAAAGGAAAGGAAAGGAAAAGAAAGGGGAAGAAAGGAAAGGAGAAGAAAGGAAAAAGGAAAGAAAAGGAGAAGGAGAAAGGAAAGGAGAGAGAAGAGGGGAGGGGAGGGGAGGGAGGAGGGGAGGGGAGGGGAGAGGGGAGGGGGGAGGGGAGGGGAGGGGGAGGGGAGGGAGTGGAGGGGGGAGGGGAGGGGAGGGGAGTGGAGGGGGGAGGGGAGGGGAGGGGGAGGGGAGGGGGAGGGGAGGGGAGGAGAGGAGAGGAGAGGAGAGGAGAGGAGAGGAGAGGAGAGGAGAGGAGAGGAGAGGAGAGGACTCTAAGAGGTAAGTGAAGGACGATAGACACCTTTGCCCTGAAGGCATTTGCCAACCTTAGAGAAATTGTGCTTCAGTTTAGATGACTGAAGCTTCTTAAAAGGAAACCCACTTTCCTTAAAACTAAGACTCTAAAGTGCTACATCCTCAAGGTAATGGTAAAGAAGAAATAAATCCATCCCACTCCACTCTACCTCATGTCCAGGGAACCTCAAGAAAAGTTGTCCTTGATATAAACAGAGAAACGGAAAAAATTATCTCTTCGAGGTTATAATTGCAAACTTAGTGCCTTATAGATTGTAACCTATATACCCACATCACCTAAGTAGTTCAAAAAAACTTCAAGTTCAGCTTAAAGTGGTCCTGAACTGGTAATACATTTAGGCACCTAGAAGAAGCAAATGCAAGTTCTTTCTGGAGGAATGTACCTTCACCTAAGGCAGTGCTATCAACCAGGGTGAAAATTTTCACCAAAAAATTTCAAGGAAAATTAGCAACTCACAGTAAAAGTAAATACAGAGTGAAGGAAACAAGGCACAATGAAGGAGTATCAGCAAAAATAATTGACAAAAGACCTATTTTTTGAAAATCAAATATTATAATAGGATTATCAGTCATTTTAGAAAACTATCCTTACACTGAGAAATAAATGATCCATTTTTTTCTTTTCTTTTCTTTTTTTTTTTTTTTTTGAGATGGAGCTTTGCTCCTTTTACCCAGGCTGGAGTGCAATGGCGCAATCTCGGCTCACTGCAACCTCCGCCTCTGGGGTTCAAGTGATTTCTCCTGCCTCAGCCTCCCGAGTAGCTGGGATTACAGGCATTCGGCACCATGCCCGGCTAATTTTGTATTTTTAGTAGAGATGGGGTTTCTCTCCATGTTGGTCAGGCTGGTGTCAAACTCCTGACATCAGGTGACCCACCCGCCTCAGCCTCCCAAAGTGCTGGGATTATAGGCATGAGCCACTGCGCCCAGCGATGCACTTTTAATTATATGTAGAAACTGGAAACTCTAAAAATGTAAGCTAACAGGTGTTTCTTCTTTTTCTTTTTTTTTTGAGACAGAGTCTCACTCTGTTGCCCAGTCTGGAGTGCAGTGGCGCAATCCTGGCTTACTGCAACCTCCGCCTCCCAAGATCAAGTGATTCTTCTGCCTCAGCGTTCCAAGTAGCTGGGATTACAGGCATGCGCCACCATGCTTGGCTAATGTAGCATTTTTAGTAAAGATGGGGTTTCACCATGTTAGTCAGCCTTGGCTTCCCAAAGTGTTGGAATTATAGGTGTGAGCCACTGCACCTGGCCAACAGGTTTTTTTTTAACATTAGAAAATTTCTCAAAATGAAAAATACAGTAATCATAATTAAAGTTGATAATTTGATAATCAATTTTAACAGAATAGATTCAGAAGAAGAGAGAATTAATGAACTAGAAGATAGGGTGGACGAAGTTATTCAAACTACAACAAAGAAAGCAAGAGACGTGCTGGGCACGGTGGCTCACGCCTGTAATCCCAGCACTTTGGGAGGCCAAGGCAGGTGGATCACAAAGTCAGGAGATCAAGACCATCCTGGCTAACACGGTGAATCCCCGTCTCTACTAAAAATACAAAAAATTAGCCGGGCGTGGTGGCAGGCGCCTGTAGACACAGCTACTCGGGAGGCTGAGGCAGGAGAATGGCGTGAACCCCGGAGGCGGAGCTTGCAGTGAGTTGAAATAGCGCCACTGCACTCCAGCCTGGGCAACAGAGTGAGACTCCATCAAAAAAAAAAAAAAAAAAAAAAAAGCAAGAGATGAAAAAAATGAAAGCCACGTTAAGGAGAGGGTAGAGAGAATGGGACAGATGCAATATTTGAAGAGATTAATGGCTGAGAATTGTCCACAGCTGATGAAAGACACCAAGCCATAAATTTGAGAAGTCCAACAAATCCCAAGATAAATTTAAAAATACACATCTATTAAAACTGCAGAACACCAAAGACATAAATATAATAAAAGCAGCCAGGAGGTGGGATATGGAATGGAGTAGGGAGAATATATTCAAATAAGCAGCGTGCAAACAGCTAATTTTTTTTTTTTTTTTTGAGACGGAGTCTTACTCTATCACCCAGGCTGGGGTGCAGTGGCGCGATCTTGGCTCACTGCAACCTCTGCCTCCTGGGTTCAAGCAATTCTCCTGCCTCAGCCTCCTAAGTAGCTGGGATTACAGGCACTCGTCACCATGCCTGGCTAATTTTTTTTATTTTTAGAAGAGACGGGGTTTCTCCATGTTGGCAAGGCTAGTCTCAAACACCTGACCTCAGATGATTCACCTGCCTTGGCTTCCCAAAGTGCTGGGATTACAGGCATGAGCCACCGTGCCCAGCCAAACAGCTGAGTTTTTAATAGCAACAGTGGAAGTCAGAAGACAAAGGAATAATACTTTCCTTTTTTGTTTTGTTTTGTTTTGTTTTTTACAAAGCACTAACCAAGAAGCAGGGAATACACTACTACACTAAAAGATAAAATACAAAGTCTTTACTCAGAAAAAAATTCTTGTAAGAATGAAGGCAATGGGAGGTTGAGGCTGCAGTGAGCTGTGATTGCACCCCTGCACTCCAGGATGCCAGAGCAAGACCCTGTCTCAAAAAAAATAAAAAATAAAGAATGATGGCAAAATAAAAATGTTTCCAGAAAACAAACAGAGATCATTCACTAACAGAAAAGAAACATTAAAGGAAATTCTAAATGATACATTAAGGCAGAAGGAAATAGAATCAAATGAAAGGTCTGAGACGCAAGAAGGAATAGTGAGGAAGAAATATGATAAGTCAGGCACTTTGGCTAATGCCTATAATGCCAGCATTTTGGGAGGCTGAGGTGGGAGGACTGCTTGAGCCTAGGAGTTCGAGATCAGCCTGGGCAACATAGAGAAACTATGTCTCTACAAAGATTAGCCAAGCATGGTGGTATACTCCTGTAGTCCCTGCTACTCAGGAGGGAGGATCACTTGAGCCCAGGAGGTGGAGGCTGCAGTGAGCCAAGATTGTGCCACAGCACCCCAGTCTGGTGACAGAGCAAGACCTTATCTCTTTGAAAAGAAGAAAGAGAGAAAGAGAGGAAGGAAGGAAGGAAGGAAGGAAGGAAGGAAGAGAGGGAGATAAATAAGCTAGATGGGGGTCGTGGAAGTCAGAAGTCAGAATCCACTAAGGAGTATGTAAAACTTATCTGCTGAATCAAAACAATTAATTAAAAATTTATTTAAAAATTTTAAGGGCCGAGCATGATGGCTCATGGCTGTAATCTCTGCATTTGTGAGGCCAAGATGGGATTGCTTGAGACCAGGAGTTTGAGACAAACCTGGGCAACACAGGGAGACCCCATCTCTACAAAAAAAAAAAAAAAAAAAAAAAAAAAAAAAAAATTAGCCAAGGCATGGTGGGGCATGCCTATAGTCCCAGCTACTTGGGAGGCTGAGGCAGGAAAATCGCTTCAGCCCAGGAGGATGAGGCTGCAGTGAGCCATCATCGTGCCACAGCACTCCAACCTGGGCGACAGAGTGACCTGTCTAAAAAAAAAAAAATTTTAAGTAATGTGATAATATATGGTAAATATCAATGAATAGGCCAAGTGTGATGGCTCACACATATAATCTCAGCACTTTGGGAGGCTGAGGTGGGAGGACCACTTGAGCCCAGGAATTGAGCCCTGGGCAACATGGTGAAACCTTGCCTCTACAAAAACAAAAACAAAAACAACAAAAATTTGCTGGACATGGTGGCCTGTGCTGCTAGTTCCAGCTACTCAGGAGCCTGAGGTGGGAGGATTGCTTAATTCGGGGAGGTGGAGGTGGACGTTGCAGTGAGCAGAGATCATGCCACTGCACTCCAGAGTGAGAGACTCTGTCTCAAAAAAAAAAAAATTGACCACATTATAACTGTAATGTCGTCAGGTTCAAAATAAAAACAGATGAGAATTAAAAATGGCAAAAATAACAAAAGTTGAATGGAGCTAAATAGAACTTAAATTGTGTGTAGCACTGTTAGTTTATGACACTGGGACTCAGCATTTCTATTTCATTGAGCGTTTTCTTTTGGTCTATTAATCAGTTGTTTATTTCTGCTAACATGTAAAAGAAAGCTTATTTGCTGTGAGGTATATAAAATTATGTGTGTACACCTCAATATTAATTCTATTTTCTAATTATATATTTGTAAACTGTTCTATGTTCTTACCATTCTTGTCTTCTTGGTCCATCCTAGACTTAGTGAAGTATTAAAATCTCCTACTTTGTTCATGTTTCTGTCCATTTCTTCTTGTATTCTAACAGATTTTGCTTTGTGCACTTTGTTGTTTTTGACAAATCTGGTTTTATTAAGCCTCTGCTCTCAATCTTGCAATGATTTTCCATTATATGTGGAATAAAAATCTAAAACACTTGTCAAGTCCTACAAAAAGCCTATATGATCTGGTTCCTGGCTACCTCATTTCCTGCCATTCTTTCTGCCAATTTATTTATTTATTTTTGTTGAGACAGTCTCACCCTGTCGCCCAGGCTGGAGTGCAGTGGCATGATCTTGGCTCACTGCCATCTTCACCTCCTGGGTTCAAGCGACTCTCCTGCCTCAGCCTCCCAAGGAGCTGGGACTACAAGCGTACGCCACAATGCCTGGCTAATTTGTGTATTTTCAGTAGAGATGGGGTTTCGCCATGTTGGCCAGGCTGGTCTTAAACTCCTGACCTCAAGTGATCTGCCCGCCTTGGCCTCCCAAAGTCCTGGGATTACAGGTATGAGCCACTGCGCCCCACCTCCAATTTTCTTAAACATGCCAAACACATGCCTATTTTGGGCCTTTAGTGGCTACTCCTGGAGCCTGGAAAGCTCTTGTCCCAACTATTTTCCTGGCTCAATCCCTAAGACTTCATTCAAGATGCTGCTCAAATATCTCCTAAGAAAGACTATCTCTAGTCTCCCTGTGTCAAAATCACATCCCCACCACCCCCCATACTTTCTCTGCTTTTACTATTTTATCATCTTCATTCAATGTATCACTGCCATAGTCCCCCCTTATCCTTGGTTTCAGCTTCCTGTGGCATATTTTGAGAGAGACCACATTCACATAACTTTTATTACAATATTCATTATTGTTAATCTCTTACCGTGCCTTATAAATTAGGCTTTATCACAGGTATGTGTGTAAAGGAAAAAGCATGGAATATATCGGGTTTGGCACTATCCCGGGTTTCAGATATCCACTGGGGGTCTTGGAACATATTCCCCATGGATTACTGTGGGATCCTGTGCTTGAAAATTACGTATTTATTATCTTCAGTATAATGTGTTATGGGGGTAGAAACTTCATTGTTGTGTTCACCAATGTATCTCAAGCTGGTACACAGTATTCAACAAATATCTGCTGAATGAATGAAACGTATTGCTTTATTATTTGGTTGTTCCTCTTATCAATATTAGTTATCTTCTAGAATGTGGTTTTGCTTTCAGTTCTACTTTGATATTAATACTGTCACCATCATTTTTTGTTCATGAAGGCTTGTCTACTTTTGCCTGTATCTTAATTTTTACTCTCAGTTTGTGTTTCTCTATTCCAAGCAGCAAATGTTGCATATATTTTCATGTTGTTTTTATTTATTTTTTATTTTTTTTGAGACGGAGTCTCGCTCTGTCACCCAGGCTGGAGGGCAGTGGCGTGATCTCAGCTCACTGCAACCTCCGCCTCCCTGGTTCAAGCAATTCTTCTGCTTCAGCTTCCTGAGTAGCTGGGATTACAGGCACCTGCCACCATGCCCAGATAATTTTTTTATTTGTGGTAGAGATGGGGTTTCACCATGTTGGCCAGACTTGCCTTGAACTCCTGACCTCAAATGATCCGCTCACCTCGGCCTCCCAAAGTGCTGGGATTACAGGCGCAAGCCACCGCGCCTGGCCTTCATGTTGTTTTTTAATTCGAATTGTCTTTTATATATGATATTATATATGATATTAAGCATATATATAAATTCTTTTATATATGATATTAAGCATTTCCATTTATCCAGTTATTTCTGTAATCCTACATTATGTTTTATAAATTTTGTTTTCTTAGTATTTCATTCCCTCTGCTATTTGATAAAACTTACTTTCTCAGACTACATGACATGCTAGCTAATGGCAAAGGGATAGGAAATGGGAAGTGGAGGACATTATAAAATACCAATCACAGCTTCTTGACCAACGGAAGCAAGCAAAGTCTGTACTAATCCCCATTTATTCTTTATCCTGGTGTGTGTGTGTGTGTGTCTATGAAACATTTTCAACCAATTTCTTCTTTTTACTCTTGATGATTAAATTTGTTTGTTGGTGGTAAATTTTATAATTTGGTCCTTAGGTTACAGAATATCACGTTGAGATTTTTGACTGAACTAGAAGAATAATGAACATCACTGAGAAACCCAGAGATTGATCAGACTTAGCATCTTCCCTCTGGAGGAGAGTATGCATTTTTTATTTTGTTTTGTTTTGTGACAGGATCTCACTGCAGGCTGGATTGCACTGGTGTGATCTTGGCTCACTGCAGCCTAGGCCTCCTGGACTCACTCAGGCGATCTTCCCACCTCAGCCTCCCCAGTAGCTGGGACTACAGGTACCTGCCACCATGCCCAAGTAACTTTTCTGTAGAAACGGGGTTTTGTCACGTTGCCCAGGTGGGTCTCAAACTCCTGGGCTCAAGCGATCCTCCCACTTCAGCCTCCCAAAGTGCTGAGATTGCTATGCAGCGCCTAGCAAAGTACATATTTTTGTTTAAATGAGAGAAGCTGCATTATTTCAAGAGGGAGAATGGTGGTATAGCTACTGCTGTTGTTTGGGAGTATGGCTAGAGGTATGTATAAAAAATGTTGACTACTGGCCGGATGCAGTGGCTCACGCCTATAATCACAGCACTTTGGGAGGGTGAGGTGGGTGGATCACCTGAGGTCAGGAGTTCAAGACCAGCCTGGCCAACATGGTGAAACCCCGTCTCTGCTACAAAAATTAGCTGGGCGTGTTGGCGCATGCCTGTAATCCCAGCTACTCAGGAGGCTGAGGCAGGAAAATCGCTTGAACCCAGGAGGTGGAGGTTGCAGTGAGCCGAGATTGCACCACTACACTCCAGCTTGGGCAACAGAGTGAGAACCCATCTCAAAAAAAAAAACAAATGTTGACTACCAAGGTGAACCTCTGTGGACAGAACAGATTAGAACTCTGCATCTCCTTTGAGTATACTTTTGTGTTAGTACACTTTCCAGATTTCCCTGAAGCTAGGGTTCTAGATGCAAACTTAGTTTCTCCATCTAACTGCATGGTGCCAGATTTTTTCTATAGCAGTGTCTTGTTGTTCAGCCACTTGCTTTGTAGGTGTCAAGAGAGTTTTTTGTGGAAATAGTAGTGGCAGCAACTTCCTCACTGGTGGACAACAACTTTAACAGTGTGTTCTTGAAGTCAAAAGTCCAAGGTAGGCTTCCTGACTTCCTCTCTTCTTGGTTGGAGCAGAAGTAGTAGCATTTATGGCTGGTCCGGCTGGTCATGTTTATGGTGCAATCTTTCCTGGAGACTCATCATAGAGCCCTATCTAACCATTCTGTAGACATCTAGTTTCCTATATTAAATGCTTTCCTGCTTATGTTAATGTTTTTTGATTCTTAAATCCAGACCCTGATCGATAAACCAAAAATTCAAAATTTTTCTTTTTCCAGCTAAATTTCATTTAAATGAGTTGCTCAAATGTTCATTTAGCCTCTTTTCACTGAGTAAGAAACTTAGTTTTGTAAATAGTCTTTGGCATTAACTATCCTTGATTAGTCTGAGCATATATGATACAAAATGTAACGCCTCTATTCCCAGCACTTTGGAAGGCTGAGGCGGGAGGATCGCTTGAGCCCATGAGTTGGAGACCAACCTGGGCAACATAGGGAGACCCCGTCTCTACAAAAAAAAAAAAAAATTTATATATAGTCAAACAAGTTATTTCATCTCTTAAGGCAAAGAGCTCTCTGTCTGTGGTTCAACACATTGTTATCCATTGGGCAAAAATGATCATTGCCATGCTCTGATAGTTTTAAAATGATCAGACAGGAAATTCATTATATTGCAAACTGGTGTTCAGAAATGTTAGGATTTTCAGTATTTTTATTTTCCAAACATTATTTTAAAAGAACATTAAAAGCATTAGAAATACAAATCTTGCCTAATGGTTAACATACGAACAATTATTATAAAATGTTTAAAATACGTCACATACTTTGCATCACAGTAAGCATCAAGAGAACTAATTAACATATCCTGATAATTAATCATATTCAACTGAATTCTCATTACTTTTAGTTCTCATTTTAGCCCTTATGAAGAGATAAGTTATATATTTCTACCTCCACCTGTATCATCATGACACCTTTATTATGATAACACAGGTAGAAGTAGACATATATAACTTACGAAGAAAGAAGTTATGTCTCTATAGATATAGAGATATAGATACGGACGGGGGCTATGAATCGAGCCCACTATGTATTTCATGCAATTTATAACAATAATTTTTTTAACTTTTCTTTTGGAGATTATTTTTTGATGAGCATAAAGAGACAATACCTCATATGCACCTGCTTAGTTTTCTTTGTGCTGTAATTTTTACCTCCCAATGATGGGCCTCATGCCAGTCAAATCATCTCAAACTCAAACGTCACACAGAAAACCTGCCATTTTAAATTTTATAAATAGAAATTACTTTTGTGTTAATATTTTATTGTATCACATTTGAAATGCCTAGCCAATTTTTGTATTTTTAATAGAGACAAGGTTTTTTGCATAGCCAAAAAAATAGATATATGCCTTTAAAAATGTGATGCTTGATTAATGTTGTCTTCATTATAAAGCTGTTTGGCACACTGGGGTAAATACCAGGTTTTGAATTAAGACAAAAATCTAATTCCTAATTTGCCACAATTCTTTGTACGATCTTGGGAAAGAATATTAGATTTCTTAATTCTTTGTTAAAAAGAGATAATAGGCCAGTGCACTGGCTCACGCCTGTAATCCCAGTACTTAGGTAGGCCGAGGTGGGTGGATCACAAGGTCAGAAGTTTGAGACCAGCCTGGCTAACTTGGTGAAACCTTGTCTCTATTAAAAATACAAAAATTAGCTGGGAGTGGTGGTGCGTGCCTGTAGTCCCAGCTACTCGGGAGGCTGACACAGGAGAATCGCTTGAACCTGGGAGGCGGAGGTTGCAGTGAGCCGAGATTGTGCCACCGCACTCCATCCTGGGCAACAAGCATGAGACTCCATCTTAAAAAAAAGAAAAGGGAAAAAGGGAAGGAGGGAGGGAGAAAGGGAAAGAAGGAGGGAGTAGGTAGGCAAATCAGTCTAAAAGGTGAACTTAAAAACAAAATAATTCGAGGCTGCCCCTGGGTGTGGCAAGAAAAAAATTTAGAAGAAAAAGAAAACAAAAGAAAATCTATGCCTATTTAAATCTCAAAAATAGAAATAACTGATCAATACTGAAAGGTAACAGTTATAAGATAAGGTTGAGCAGAGTTCTAATTGAATATCTATTCTGTCTTCTCTATACCTCTCATGACCCCTGTATTTGGGGAGAGCTGAGGGAGGAAACTATAAATTAAATGCCTTTCAGCTGGATGTGGTTTCTCATGCCTGTAATCCTAGCACTTTGGGAGGCCGAGGTGGGTGGATTACTTGAGGCCAGGAATTCAAGACCAGCCTGGCTATCATGGTGAAACCCTGTCTCTACCAAAAATACAAAAATTAGCCAGGAGTGGTGGCGGGCACCTGTAATCCCAGCTACTCTGGAGGCTGAGGCAAGACAATCGCTTGAACCCGGGAAGCGGAGGTTGCAGCGATCTGAGATCATGCCACTGCACTTTAGCCTGGGTGACAGAGTAAGACTCTGTTTCTACAAAAAAAAAAAAAGACTTTTACGCAAAGGAACAAAGTACCTTCCAATCTGCAATAATAACTCTTGAATATAACAATTTATAAAGATAGGTGTTGTATATTGATGCTCATCTTGTGTGTCTAACATTTAAAAACCTAGTGAGTTCAAATACTAACTGTATACTGAAAATATTTTTACAATAAAATATGAGTTCACAGTTGTTATGCTAGGAATCTCAGAGCATATAGTAAAATTAGTTTCAGGTATAGAAATACTTAAATCTATTTTTTCTTTCTGCCCATTTCCACTTTAAGATTAATGGGAGAGAAATAAAATGATTAGTTTGAAAATAGATTATCTTGAGAATTTTTCTACCATAATAATAAATAAAGACAAAAAAGAAGTCATTTCTAAATAGTTACTTGAATACTGTCAGGTGGTTAGTAAACTCTTCTCACACAGAAGGAAAACATAAATCAAAACATTCCCAGTCTTATCTGTAAACCTTGTTAAGCAATAATAAATATTGCCCAATGCATGACAGGAGTCCACACTGTTTTCCACAGAACACCGAGATGATTACCGCAGTGCCTTCTCTCCTGGGAACAGTGCACCTCTACCATAGATGCAGTCCTCTTCACTAGGCTTCTTGAATAAGATCATTCAGAAACAATTCACTTTTGGGCCAGTTGGGGTGGCTCATGCCTGTAATCCCAGCACTTCGGGAGGCCGAGGCAGGCAGATCACCTGAGGTCAGGAGTTCAAGACAAGTTCAAGACCTGTCTCTACTAAAAAATACAAAAATGAGCTGGGCATGGTGGCACACGCCTGTAATCCCAGCTACTCAGGAGGCTGAGGCAGGAGAATCACTTGAGCCCGGGAGGCGCAGGTTGCAGTGAGCAGAGATCATGCCACTGCACTCCAGCCTGGGCAACAGAGCAAGACTCCCTCTCAGGAAAAAAATAAATAAATAAATAATTCACTTTTAACAAGCAAAAATATATTTCTTTTCTTTCTTTCTTTCTCTTTTTTTCATTTTTTTGAGATGACATCTCGCTCTTGTCACCCAGGCTGGAGTGCAATGGCACGATCTCAGCTCACTGCAACCTGTCTCCCAGGTTCAAGCGATTCTCTTGCCTCAACCTCCCGAGTAGCTGGGATTACAGGTGCTTGCCACCATGCCTTGCTAATTTTTGTGTTTTTAGTAGAGACGGGGTTTCATCATGTTGGCCAGGCTGGTCTCGAACTCCTGACCCTCAGGTGATCCACCCGCCTCAGCCTCCCAAAGTGCTGGGATTACAGGTGTGAGCCACCATGCCCGGCCCAAATATATTTCTTTTCAAAAGAATTGTAAACCTACTCAACTGACATAAAACATGTCTATAATAAGAAATGGCAATAATCATAATACTATATTCTTAGTTGACTGTCCTATGAAAGAAAAGTACCTAATACCTGTGTGAGTGTTTTTGGTAAAGACAGAGTTATCACCTTTTCTGCCTTAAGAATATATATATTTCTGGCTAAGCACAGTGGCTCATGCCTGTAATCCCAGCACTTTGGGAGGCCGAGGCAGGCGGATCACCTAAGGTCAGGAGTTGAAGACCAGCCTGACCAACACAGAGAAACCCTGTCTCTAATAAAAATACAAAAATTAGCCGGGCATGGTGGCATGCGCCTGTAATCCCAGCTACTTGGGAGGCTGAGACAGGAGAATCACTTGAACCCGGGAGGTGGAGGTTGCGGTGAGCCGAGGTCATGCCATTGCACTCCAGCCTGGGCAACAAGAGTGAAACTCCGTCTCAAAAAAAAAAAAAAAAAAAAAAAAAAAAAAAGAATATATACATTTCCTTTAGAGACAGGGTCTTGCTGTGTTGCCCAGGCTGGACTCATAATCCCGGGCTCAAGTGATCCTCCTGCCTCAGCCTCCCAAGTAGCTAGGACTACAGGTGCATGCCACTGCACCCAGCTAACAATATATTATTTATTCAAATCAACCTGCTACCAACAAGGTGTAGTGTTCCCGATTTCAACACTTCAAAAAATCAAAATTTACAATTCAATTAATAAAAATAACACCTCAGCAAAAATCATATTTTCACATTCTTTAAAAAAAATCCAGTCAATACCTTATTTTGAAGTCACATAACACTGACTCAAATCATGATAATCGGTTGACTTTCTACTTTAACACAGTAGCTTCATTCCTGGCATCTATTTAAAGGCTCGGTACAAAAGACTGAGGCAAAGAGCAGGGTAAAAAATCTAAAACTTTCACATCAAATCTTAAGATGTCAACAAACTACAAAGCAAATCAACAGATACTGACACATCAGATGAAAGAAAACCATAACTGCCAACTTTTCAGTTGAATCTTGTAGGTTTTGATCCGCCACTGATCTCAAGTTAGAATAAAGTCCATTACTATCAGAAACAAAAACTGTTTACATAAGATCCTATAGCCTCCATGACTTTAAACGGAGGGGACTGGAATCTGCTTGGCTGAAGTGCTGTCATATTCCTGCACTAAGTCATTAGTGGTGTGATAATGCATGGCAATATATGAATTGGCAAATCCAAAAGAGTTTACTGGCTGTAAGTTACATGGGCTGCTCTCCTCCTGGGAAGGGCTGCTGTTATAGATGCTGTAGTAAGGTTCAATCCGAGTGTTGATGGGGGTCGAGCTGCTCTGACCACAGTGTTGATGTCCAGCAGAGATCTTGGGACTCACCATACTTTCTTTTGAATGACTTGGGCCACAAGCCTGGTCCACAAATTTCTTCTGTGGCTTTGGAGATAACATGTAGGCAGAGTTTGTTTCATGATGGGAGGATTTGTTTCTGTTGACTTCGAGGTTCCCTTTTCCCATGGCTCGAAGTCGAGTCTTTTGTTTGCAGCAGAAAAAACCCAGGCCTATGTATTGGAGGCACCAGAGCACTTTCCTTCTCAGCCCTGCACTGTTCCGAGAATATATAAAAGGGTTTAATCCTGACTTGAAAAATATAAGAGTAAATCCAAACAATTCAAACTGGTAAAGAATGAAGCTCCCATTGCTGGAGAGAACCACCTGTACCAAGGAAATCCCCAGTGGAAGACAGCACACCAGGACTGACAGCACAATGATCACACAGGTGACCACGGCTTTGGAATCCTTGGCAGTGGAGAGGTTGATGGCTGATACGAGCTGGAGTCGGCTTGCTGCAGGGGTGACCAGTTGGTTGGGACTCTTGGTATATCCACGGGTCTGAACGTGCTGCAGTTTGTTGTAATTCTGGTTCCTATACAGAGCCGGCATGGCACACTGGATGGGATCTCCACCTCCCTGCACAGGGACCCCCATGAAAGGCTGTGGTCTGGAAGCATCGACTGTGATTACAGGGGGGCACTTTCTGACTTGAGCGTTCTTCCGCAGGGTCTGAGCAATCATGATGTAAGAGACAGAGACCACAGCAACACAGAAGGTGAAGTCGACCACATAGAGAGACAAAATGGCTTTCCCTTTTCCAGCAATCAGACTGGACATGGGAAGACAGAGGTGGGACTTGCTGGTTTTCAAGGTAGCCAAGGTGGCAAGGGTGAAACTGGTGGCCCAGAGAAGCAGGGTGAGGAGTACGGTGCAGGGAAAGGAGGCCGTGCGATTAGGCTGTTTCCCCAACACCATCCGGAGCCGGTGCAGGGCGATCACTGCCACTGTCTTCAGAGACATGATGATGAAGCCTGAACTGGTGAGATGGAAAGTGAAGCAGAAAGCATCCGGGATACTACTGGCTGAGCTGAAGAATAACACAAAGGTGAACATGGGGGCTGTCACTCCACAAATGAAGAGGTCACAGAAGGACAGGTTCAGGATCATGAAATCAAAGTTGGTTCTGAATTTCCTGAAGGCTGGATCGAAGAAGGACAAGAAGACAATGAAGTTGCCATAGGAACCCAGGCAGAAGATGACCGCCAGTAGAAAAGTACAGGTCACCAAGGTGGCTGTGTGGATGAGATCCTGAAGACCCTCCTGGAGAGAGGTGCTGTTTCCTTCCTGTGAGTGAGGCACATGGAGCGAGGTGGCATTGGGGGCATCCTGAAGGTGGCCTGTTGAGTTCATTTTCGGAGAGAAATGTCTCCTTCTTCTGCTCCCCAAAAATACTCAGTGAGTCAGGGCCTCAGCTCACAGATGAGCAATATGTGACAAAAGAGGCCCAAGACAGATAAGCCTACACACAAAAATGCACACCCAGAAACAGAAAGGGATTAATGTAGAAACAGAAAGGAATTCATACAGTGATCTCATTATTAGTAGTAGTATTAGTACTAGTATCTCTCACCTTGAGAGAAAAATTTATTCATTTATTAGCAATGGGGTCTTACCATGTTGCCCAGGCTGGACTTGAACTCCTGTGCTCAAGCAGTCCTCCTGGCTTAGCTTCCCAAGTAGCTGGGACTACAGGCATGCACCACCAAACCCAGCTCTCTCTCTCTCTTTTTTTTTTTTAACAAAACACTAGAATTTTTCAGCTCTGATTTGGTGCATAGACAGCATTTCTCCTCACAAAGGCCAACACAGAAAAAGATACAAATACATTCATCCAGCTAATATTTAGTTTTATGACACAGAGGTTTTCAAACAAGTTTAAGTGTCACCTGAAGAGCATGTTAAAAAGTTTAAGTTATCACTTGGAGAGCAGATTTCTTGGCCTCGCCCCTTGTGATTCTGTTTGAGGGGTGTGCAGATGTTACTTTTAGAAACACTTCTGTGTCAGGCACTGAAGATACACAAGAACGTAATCTCTCCACCAAAGAGATGACAATCTAGTTGGAGATCAATCTAACTATGTAATAATTACAGCCTAATAAGGTTGCAGGGTGCTATGAGAGCATGGAAGGGGGGAACCTACTCCAACATGGAAAGGGAGCTGGGAAAGGATAAAGGGAGCTTTAGCAAGCACAGGCCAGCTGGATGAAAGGTCGGGGGTATGGAGTGGGGACAGACAGGCTAAGAGAAGTGGGGGTAGGTCTTTGCAGCAGAAGCACTGCGGCAAAAAACTGCATGTGCTTGAAATATAGGCTGGAGGGTATTGTTGATGCATAATGTGGCCCTTCACATAATTCCCATAAATCATTAACAAACCCTGTTTCGTTCCCTATGAAGAATCCTTTATTTCCCAGTATTTATAATTTTTCCCCCAGCTTGCAATTTCTTGGCCAATTAACTACATATTCTCCTTTGGAAAAAAACCTTGTGTAGGACTACATGTGAGACGGAAAACTGGAAGTAACCAAGGATGTTGGAATTATATTAGAAATTTACAAGGTGCAAAGCACCACATTGTAAAGTCTAAACTGCTATATAAATGTGAGTTACCATTATCCCAACAAGAATATCCTGATGGTGAAGCAGGAGGCATGCACCCATTCCTGCATTCGTTCGCTCAATTTATATTAATTATGTGCATACCATATGCCAGCATTACGCCAGGTGCTAGGTGCTACGATGAGTAAGGCAGTCTCTACTTTAAAAGAATAACTTCTTGCTCCTTTTTCCTAACTTTTTTTTTTCTATTTTGCAATGAGACTTAATGTGCACTCACACAAATCTACATTGTCCCAAATCCCAAAGTCCTGCAAGGGTTGGTGCCCAACCTGCTCCCAACAGATGCTTCTGGTGGGACCGACTAAGCTGTTCCTTGGAGACAGCACTATGTTCTTGACAACCAAAAAGGGTTTGCCTTAATCTAGAATTTTAGGAACAATAAGTGGCACTGCAGAGGTCCAGGGCTGATGTTCAGTGTACTTAACCACCAGCTCAAGCTGGATCCCAGAAGCCTCCAGCTGTTAACCCTTTAGTTGCCAGATCAAGGGGGTACAGCGGAATGAACCAGGTCAGTCAGGGATTACCTGGGGCTCCAATTAGCAGCTATGGACTACCCAATACAGAAGTCTCTCCACATTTAACAACAGATACAGCCATGCCAGTGACTATCAGACATATACCAGTCCTGGGAAATCCATATAATTGACTGGTGTCCTTAATCAAGGAAAAAGATAACTTAATCTATATTCTTAACATTCATATGGTACAGATCAGGACGATATGGTGAATTTGTCCACTGGAAAGTGAGACCAACTTTTCTATACTTTCCTTTCAAATAAAAGTTCCATAAGAGAAGAAAATCCTGAACTTTTGTTTCTTGATGGTTAGAATTTTTTAAAAATAGTACCAGATAGCTCTATTTCCACTTAAAGGCTGTATATTTGTTTCTGAACACTTTTGATACCTATATAATGAGAAAGACAATTTTTTTTTTTTTTTTTTTTTTTTTTTTGAGACGGAGTCTCGCTCTGTCGCCCAGGCGGGACTGCGGACTGCAGTGGCGCAATCTCGGCTCACTGCAAGCTCCGCTTCCCGGGTTCACGCCATTCTCCTGCCTCAGCCTCCCGAGTAGCTGGGACTACAGGCGCCCGCCACCGTGCCCGGCTAATTTTTTTTTTGTATTTTTAGTAGAGACGGGGTTTCACCTTGTTAGCCAGGATGGTCTCGATCTCCTGACCTCATGATCCACCCGCCTCGGCCTCCCAAAGTGCTGGGATTACAGGCGTGAGCCACCGCGCCCGGCCGAGAAAGACAATTTTTTACTGTTTTTAAAAGTTGCTAACAGGAGTATTACAGCTAATTTATGAAAAGGGAAGTAGAAGAGAAAACAATTTGAGGAGGCAGGAAGAGCAGGGAGGTGATACTGGTGTCTCTAACCCCCTTATCTCCAAGGGTTTCCTCTTTGGAGGTAGAGAGATGAAGAGGGGTGAAGAGGGATGCAGGAATTTGGCCTGGGGAAATTAGAAGAATGAGGAGTCTGGAATTAGGATGCTAAGACAAATGAAAAGTAACTAGGTAATAATGAAGCGGGATGATGGAAGTTATGAAGACCTCAGGCTAAGAGATATTTGGAAAAAGGGATTAGGAGAAAAATGAGATGATGAAGCACTAACATTAGTCAAGAATAGGAGGCAGGAGGAAAAAAGGTGATTTGGGGTAGAGGAGAGGCAACTTTCACGTTTTGTACAGTTACATTTTTTCAACAAATTTTAAATTTTTCAATATATATATTTTTAATAGAGATGGAGTCTCACTATGTTGCCCTCACTGGTCTCCAACTTCTGGGCTCAAGCAATCTGCCTGCTTTGGCCTCCCAAAGTGCTGAGATTACAGGTGTGAGCCACTGTACCCAGCCTTCAGTAAATTAAAAAAAATAAGAATTCCAGGTCAGGAAATAACAATGGCAGTATAATTATCAGCATCATTATTAGTATATTAATTTTATCAAGTGCTTATGATGTGCCAGGTACTTTTCTCAATGTTCCACACTATTAGCTTATTGAGTCCTCATAACAACCCTGAAATACTTGATATAACATCTCCATTTTGCAGATGAGGAAACCAAGTCAAAGAGAGGTTATCTAAAGTGGTGGAACATGGATTTGAATCTAAGCAGTTGCTCTTCCACACTCTTCACCACCATGCTAACCCGAACAACAAAAAAACCTTTTTGGGAGGCATCCCCAGGTCAGAAGTATTAAGTGGTTATTACACACCAGGCACCTATTCTAGAGGCTTTACATAAATTATCAAGCTTTATTTCATTCTCACAATAATCCTATGAATAGGTATTGCAATCCCTTCCCCACTGAAACTTTCTGGAATCCGAAATTCTGATACACCTATATAGCTATATCTACATCTATGTAGATACAGATAGACACACACACACACACACACACACACACACACACACACACATTCTTCTATGTATCTAACTGTAGTTCACATATAAAGTAATCATAAATCACTCCTATTGAGATAATTAGAAAAAAAGGAATCATGGGCTGGGAAGAGAAAAGGGAGAAAAAGCAGAGGACAGAAAAGACGAAAAGGTTTGCAGAAAAACTTTAGTATAACAGAAATCAAGAAAATGGAGGGAAAGTAAACTCAGGTCTTAGTAGTAACTCCTGAGACTTTAAGAAAAAGGAGGCTGTGACCATAATTTGGAATGACATGATGACGGCAGAAAATAAAAGTGGTTTTGGAAGGGGAATAAATTAATACTGCTTTGCTACTCATAAATATTCAATAAAGATTACCCATGTTATTTGCAATGCAAACATACAAGCTACTCTTCATCTCTGGGACGGAGAATAGGTTATAGAAGATGTGATTAAAGTCACAAAATCAGAAAGATTTTAAGCTGGAACACCAGTCTTAAGCATGCATATTAGCTGCAGTAAGAATGAATTCACATGCATATTCTTACAAATGAGACATCCTGAAGTAACTAGCAAGCAAAGAATATGGATGAAAATTTATTGTATAATTTGAGTGGCAATGATTTTTCATTAAGATATGTGAACAGCCTCTGATATATCTAGTGTGCTGTTTTAAATTTTTAGTGAACATTAAAACATGCTATAGGGGCTTTCATAAATCAACTCACGACCTGAATTCTTCCAACCCCATTCCCCGCGCGCCCCAAAATGTCTTAGGTTAGCATTTTCAAAGCCTAATCCTCACAGAGAGCAAGGTTCTGTATTATTGTGATTCCCATTGTATTTCTATCGATCAGGAAAACCTCAGGGAGGTTAGATAACTTCCCCAAGGTCATTATCTGATTTCAAAGCCCTTGCTCTTTCTATCCAGTAGAACTACATTGAACCCGGAGCAGCTAATGGGATGGGAAGACCTGAGTCATTTGATGGGAGGGATGAAGAGGCCAGGGAGCCCCCAGCCTGAGGACAGAGTGGGAAACTGCGGGCAGGGAAGGTCGACCCCCCCGTGAGGGGCTGGCGGTGGGTAGGGGCTTCCCGGAGAAGGGTGAGGTGACGGTAAGGAGGGCCTAGGCCGGGCCAGGTAAGCTTGCAAAAGAATGCCGCAGAGGGGTGGTGGGTTAGGAGGGCTCAGCCAGGGTAGGGGCGGTGGGTGGGTGGGTGGGGGGGGTTCCACGGCCGAGCAGAGCCTGGGAACCGGCAGGGACGGGCGAGAAGGCTACCCTGCAGGCCGCACCAGGAAGACAGGTACGCGGAGCCGGGCCTGGCCCAGCGCAGCCGCGCTCCTCGCTATCCCGCCAGCCTCCGGGAGCCGTCTCCGGCATCGTGGGGTTGTCCTCCTCCAGGGGCCCGCGGCCTCTCACCTGCCGGGTGGCCGCAGCGCCGCCCCTCCTCCATCTCGCAGTCCGGACCCCAGCTCCGCCTGCCGCTCTGGATGATGCAGGACTAGAGGCATCATCGCCATCGCCACCGCCTCCGCGCATCCCGGGAGCCGCGGCAAGACGCGGGCGCAGAGGCGCAGTCACGGAGACGCCGAGGGCACCGCCCCCTCCGCCGGACACCCGGGCCTGGCGTCCCGCCTGCGCCCCGCACCCTCCGCGCCTCCGTCGCCTGCCTCCTGGGGCCCAGAGCCCGGCCACTCCCGCTGCCCGCCTCACGAGGGGCGCTTGAGCCAGGTTTTTCAGGCTCGCAGTTTTGCTGTTTGGGGAACTCAAGCTCCCTGAAATAGCCAAAACCTGAAACGCAGAGCAAGGTGGAGTGGTAAGGAAGGAAGGGAAAGATAGGGGTACTGATGGCACGCAGGGACCCAGGGAGGTCTTTGCGGGCCTCCCTAGGCTGCTTACCCTGCCCGCAGCCCACCTCCTCCTCGTTCCCCGCGCTTTTAAGACGTCCTAACTAGCTCCTCACTTAGGCTGCGGCTAATATTTTTCCTCATGAATTAAATTGGCGGCGGCTTCCAGTTTGGAACTTTGAGACCTAGAATTTACAAATCAAGTCATTGTAATAGAATTTAAATTAAACCTATTTGAACTTACCTAAGCTCTCTTAAGGTATTAGTGAATTCACTGAGGGAACTCAGCAAGGGGACTAATTGGCAGGAAACATGCAAAGCATAAAGAAACTACCCATGCAAATAAAACGACCAAGCCCAGGAATCATGGATATTGATGTATTACTTAATACTATGTTGAATGTAAAAAATCTTGATAAATCATAGTGCAATGTACAAGCTAATTTTATTAAGCACAAACACAAAACTAAAATTACCATCCTCTCTCATTCTTCTAGAATTCATACATGTCCAAAATAATGAACTCCTAAGATAGGTTTTAGTCTGAACAATCAAGTAACATTCCTAAGTATGTCTGCTATGATGGGTACAAAATAAAACCAGTTAAACTCTTCTCCCTTCAGTATCCCAACCTGGCTAACTAGGATCTTACTACTTTTCTAACCTCAGGGATGCTATTTAGAAACAGAGAATGTTATTTGAATGCCCTTTCCTTCATTCACTCTGGTTACCAGAAAAGCAAAGTTGATTCCGTTCGGATGAAATACTTATACTGGATTCTTCATTTTAGCTAATGGTTTATCTTTTTAAAACAGAACTAGCAAGTATCAAGTAATTTAATTAATGCAATTTCTTCAGTTCCCTGTGCTTTCATAAAAACAAAACAAAACAAAAACAAACGAAAAAACAAAAAGCAAGAAGGCTAGATAACTTATTATTCAGTCCAGGAGTTGAGTATGCCATCAGAATTCTGTTTAGAAATAACTTCAAGAAAGTTTTCCAGTTCCCACATATTCCACTTCCCAACCACTTGCAATAAAGCAGTTCCAGTATATGTTATCAATAATGGTAACCATGAGTCCCAGAAACAATCCACAGAAAAATACTCATTAGCATTTGGAGTGGGAATTCTGATCAAAATTATATACCTCTCTATAATAAATTAGCTACTGCATAAATAAATGCTAGTTCATTTCCAGGCATTTGGCTATATGAATGGAGATTACAATAGGTTTGGGCTGCATTGAGACCATCAGAGTTATACCTACCGGAGAAATGGTCTGAAACTGAAAACAAACAAAAAACCACAAATCATAAAGGATTCTAGAGATCTAGAAGAGGAAATCAGGACTCATCAAAGTTCCAGAACTAGCTAGAACCATTCAACAAGGCTAAAACTAGTATATCTACAAAATCCACAAGTGAGCGAAATTGGAAAAAACATTGGTAGTAGTAAAAAAATGGAAAATCTGCAAATAAATAAGCAGGGCTAATTATAGATCATGAATTGGCTATCAATCTGCCCTGACACTGGCATTCTTCTAATACACTCTTATTATTGCAATGCAAATGGATACATGTGCACTTTGAGGAAAACAGCAAATATGAGAGCTGTTAAAATGTTCTTTAAAACAAAAAAAGCTCCTCATCTAGGCATCTCTCACTCCTTGGAACTGCTCCAACAAAAGAAGAGTTTTAAAGCATAAAGGTATGAAAATGTGCACTGCAGTGTAATCTGTAGTACAGGAAACTGAAAACAACCTTGATGTTCAAAAGGAATACTTAAAACAATTAGGATATACTGAGAAGACGAAGTCTACAAAAACAGTTATGAAGGCCACGTAGAAAAAGTTACTTTTCCTGTGATGATAGCTCATGATTTTTTTATTTTTGTGAGACACGGTCTCATTCTGTCACCTAGGCTGGAGTGCGGTGCCGTGATCTCAGTTCACTGTAACCTCTGCCTCCCACATCAGCCCCCCAAGTAGCTGGGACTACAGGCACGTACCACCACACCCAGCTATTTTTTTCTATTTTTTGTAGAAATAGGGTCTTTCTATGTTGCCCAGGCTGGTCTCAAACTCTTGGGCTCAAGCGATCCTAAAGTGCTGGGATTACAGATGTGAGCCACTGCGCCTGGCCAAAATTAATTTTTTAATAAAACAAAATTGCTCTTTAGTCTTTCTGGCCACACTCCTAATTACCAAAAGTGGCCTGCGGCTTAAAGGGCTTGGTAATGACAAGTATTTCAAATATTTGAAAACAGCTTTATCATATATTTGCACCTAAACTTTCATTTACATTAATAGGTGAGTAAATTTTCCTCCTACATTTTGAAGGACAATCTGCAGTCTTTGCTTTCTAAAGGATCCATTCAGAAACTAAAGATTTATTTGACCTTATAAAAAGATAAATAGGCTTTTTCTTCTCCTCACTTCTCATCCACCCTCAGAGAGTGGCCCATACTGTCTTCCATGCCCAGTCAACAGTGACTTCCAAACACAGGTCAGCCTCTCCCCTCCTCCTCTAGTAAATCTTGTTACCACCCTTAACACAGTTCCTGCTGTCCTCATGCTTTTTAACACACCATATACATGTTAAGAACTATCTTAGACCATACAAGCCATGCAACTCTTTTCTCCACCCCCTTTCTCCTTTTCCCTCCTGGTAGAAAATTTCATTTTTCCTATTGGTAAACAATTAATTCATAGGACAATGTCACTAGGGAAATATCAAAGTAATAAGCGACTTCCAAACCCAGAATCAGAATCACCTGGGAGCATGTTAGGCACTCAGATTAAGGTACCCTCTTTTTAGGTCTGTGGTGGGATTCGTGTGGTTCTCAAACCTGGCTGAACAACTGAATCATCATAGAGCTTCTAATACTGTAATGCCTAAGCACCCCTGCCAGAGAAGTTTTCACTGAGGAACAGAGAGGGCACCCAGTATCTTACATCTTTGTTTAAAGTTCCCATTTAGGAACCATTGCTAAGGCAGTTTCATACAGCTTAACTAAAAAAAGCTGAAGTGGTCAACATACAACATAAAGCCTCACTTCTCAACGTGTGGCCTCAGGACCAGGAATTGATATCATGAAGTGGGAACAATGAATTCCCTGTACATTTAAACAAAATCCCCTCATGATTCTTAGGCACATCAATTTAAGAACCAATCAGTTAGGATCAGGCACGGTGGCTCACACCTGTAATCCTAGCACTTTGGGAGTCCGATGCAGGTGGACTGCCTGAGCTCAGGAGTTTGACCCCAGCCTGGGCAACATGGTGAAACTGTCTCTACTAAAATACAAAAATCAGCCGGGCGTGGTGGTGCATGCCTATAGTCCCAGCTATTCTGGAGGCTAAGGCATGAGCATTCCTCATGGGAACATGGGAGGCAGAGGTTGCAGTAAGCCAAGATTGTGCCATTGCACTCCAGCCTGGATGACAGAGCAAAACTCTGTCTCCCACACCTCCACACAAAAACAATCAATCACCTAGGTCAGTGCTAGGTGAACTTTCTGTGATGATGGAAAAGTTCATCGATATTATTCAGTGTGGTAACCACTAGCCACATGTGGCTCAAGAGTATTTAAAATATGCCGGTGAGACTGAGGGAATACATTTTTTATTTAATTAAATATAAATAGTCAGATATGGCTAGTAGCTACTGTATTGTACAGGGCAGATCCAGATAATTTATACTGGTCAGAGGACATACATTTACAGATACAAATCTATGGCTGCAAAAGGAAATCCACAGGAGTCACTGCCTACAGAACTGTCTTCTCCTCTTAATGAAGACAAAAGCCAGGTGTTAAAAAGAATCCATTTATTGGGTTTTAAACTAGTTACACAACTGAAATCAGTTTGGCACTACTTTATACAGGGATTACGCCTGTGTATGCCGACACTTAAATACTGTACCAGGACCACTGCTGTGCTTAGGTCTGTATTCAGTCATTCAGCATGTAGATACTAAAAATATACTGTAGTGTTCCTTTAAGGAAGACTGTACAGGGTGTGTTGCAAGATGACATTCACCAATTTGTGAATTATTTCAACCCAGAAGATACCTTTCACTCTATAAACTTGTCATAGGCAAACATGTGGTGTTAGCATTGAGAGATGCACACAAAAATGTTACATAAAAGTTCAGACATTCTAATGATAAGTGAACTGAAAAAAAAAAAACCCCACATCTCAGTTTTTGTAACAAGATAAAGAAAATAATTTAAAAACACAAAAAATGGCATTCAGTGGGTACAAAGCCCAAAATCACTATAATAAAGAACTACACGTGAATCTTTACAAATTACACAATGATGTTGTGTAAAAGGTTGCATCTGTACAATGTCTTGCCAATGCTATCTCTACAGTTTATACACTCTTTTACATTTATATAACATATTAAACAAATCAATTAAATATTAAGCCTTATTAGTCTCTCAACGATTCTGCAGGCAAAATAAAAAGGGAGAGAGAATAAAATAAATTAAAAAATTACAAAATTTCCACAAACACAGCAGTCTTCCATTTAGGTGAAGTATAATAATTTTCAGAGGGTCAAAAAATAGTTGTAAAGAATACAGGGAAAAAACAGCCAGTCAGGGTTTTTATTGTTGTTGCTGTTTATTTTTAAAATCACACATTGAATACACACAACAATCAGATTTCTTCACCAAACCCCCAATTTTTTAGCAACTGGCTCTATTCAGCACCAAAAACTCCAGTCTGTGGGAAGTGCACAGACACAGACTTCACTTCTGTGTCTTGGTCGAGCAATCCATCAGGTCATTGGTTAGGTTCAGGACTTGCCCTCTTTTCCTTCCCTCTTCATGGCTCTCCAGACCCAAGGTTCTCAAGGCTTCAGATTTATGGCCCACAGCCCCTATTACCACCTAAATCCAGCAGCCATTTGGGAAGAATTCAAAATAATTTGAGATGAATGAAATGACAGGACCTGTATTACAGATGGGTATTCTCCATTCCAAGTAAACTGTTTCTTAATGAGTTCTGAGACTCTGGTCTTGGATGCCATGATCATACTGGGTAATTATTTCTAGTCTGAGACTTTGTGACTTTGTCAGATGCCTCAAAAAAAAAAAGTGATCAGTATTCTGGAAACACTTCCGGACAAGTTGGGAAATCAAATGGCAACTGAGAAGCTGTGGAATGCAGACTAACGAGATCTAACACAGAAACCACCAAAATGATGAGAGCTCAGCAGAGGCAGTTTTAAAACTTGCAGAGAGCCACCACAGATGGTACCTGAGGGTGTGGAATTTTTGATGAAAAGAGCCTGAAGTGAGGACTAGTCATCTGTATCAGGGAGGAAAAAATTTCAATTAGGTAACAAGACATCCAACTCTAAAAGCCTAATAAATGAAATTTTTATTCTTCCTATTCCAGTAGAAAGGCTTCTGGGTACTCCCTCTTTAACAGAATGGGTGTAAGAATCCAGATCAAGTTCTCACAACTTTTAGAACCCAGAGTCCTCAGGGCCACACAAAATGTCCCAGCCCCACCCAGGAGGCAACCAAGAATAAGATGTATTTTCCTTTATCTAACTATTCCCAGGCTGACACCACTCATCTACAAAGGTCCAAAAGCAGTCACACATTTTCTCTGCTTTAAACCTAAAGCAAGGAGGCACAGCAAAATTCTCATTTCCAATGGCCGTAGCAAAAGCCATGTTTAAAAACAAACAATCCCCGCCATCCAACTTTATCTAAACACTGACATCTAAGAATGTCAGCAAAAAGAAAAAAAACAATAAATATCTAGTTCTCAGTCACCAAACCAATGTAAATTCAGAACTTTGCTGACTTACCTTTCTATGCATAATAGCATGGTGACACAAGAAGATCGGTGAGAACAAGCAGTTGGTCATCAGTGAATTGCTGTTTATGTTCCTGCCAGTTGTCATGGTGAGTCCTTCGGAAATTGGATAAGGTTTTTTTTACAGTCATCTGTAAAGTAGACAACCCACATACGTTTTAACCTCTCTGGACAACCAGGATCATATGTAGGATACTTTTAGTTAAATTACCGTCCCTCTAGACTTCAGATCTCACACAATACCAAGTTCTACAAAACCAAAAAGCCAATGAGAAGGACAAAGTGAATGGTCTTTTGAGTTACTAAAAATGCCATCATAATTTCCTATTTAATATTAGCTTCCAGTAAAATACTTTGCAGTGCTAGAAAAATAGAAACATAAAATTTATCACAACAATATTGACAGTACTTTACTTCCATTGGACTGGGAGGGATAGAAGCTACAATAATTTCCTCACTACCAAAAGATCTCAAATATCCATGGCAGCAAGGTCTCTGTAATTTTTTAATAATTACTGGTGAGCAGACTAAGCCTTGGCAGAGGCAGCAGCTTTATGAAAGCAGTTAGTTCAGAGTGTATAGGAAATTATTATTATGGTTTCTTAGAAAACATCACTGATAATACACGTACAAACTAATAAGGAAGAACTGTACCTCAATAGGCTGAGGATCATTTAGATGTGCACTGAGATTCATGAGGAGCTGGGGCATCCAGGTGGGAACATCGTAAGGACTAGAAAGAACACATGCACCAAGTCCTAGCACCCCAGCATGGCGTTTGACCAACTCTGCAAAGAGAATAGCAACATTTGTGCAAATATATATATGTCTCTAATGCACTTGTTACAGTGAGATAAAATTAGTTTTCAATTGTGTTGTTTTCAATATGTGAATTTCTGCATTTAAAATGAATCTACATGTAAACACATCAAATACTTGATTTTGAGGCTAAACTAAAAATAATTCTGTATTTAAGAATTTGTCAGCTGGGCACAGTGGCTCATACCTGTAATCCCAGCACTTTGGGAGGCCAAGGTAGGAGGATCACTTGAGGCCAGGAATTTGAGACCAGCCAGGGCAATAAAGTGAGAACCTGTCTCTCCAAAAATAATTTTTAAAAATCAGCTGGTGGCCAGGCATGGTGGTTCATGCCTATAATCCCAGCACACTGAGAGACCAGGGCGGGTGGATGACCTGAGGTCAGGAGTTCAAGAACAGCTTGGCCAACGTGGCGAAACCCTGTCTCTGCTAAAAATACAAAAATTAGCTGGGTGTGATGGCATGTGAAGTCACAGATACCCAGAAGCTGAGGCATGAGAATCATTTGACCAGGGAAGCAGAGGCTGCAGTGAGCCAAGATCGCACCACTGTACTCCAGCCTGGGATACAGAGTGAGGCTCCGTCTCAAGGAAAAAAAAAAAAAAAAAAAAGCTAGGCATGGCAGTGCATGCCTGTGGTTCCAGCTAGACAAGAGGCTGAGGCAGGAGGATCGCTTGAGCCTGGGAGGTCAAGGCTGCAGTGAGCCATATTCAAAACCACTGCACTCCAAGGAGGGCGATAGAGGAAGACCTTACCTCAAAAAAAAAAAAAAAAAAAAAGGATTTTTAAAGACTTCCATAGTTGCTTATCAATGACAGCATAATTGTACCTAGGCCAGTACAATCCCTGATTCTAAAACAATCTCCAATCAAAATTAGCGTGGTTTTTTTTTTCTGGATGTGACGCCCCTACCCAGAATACATCAATTCATTAGTAAACACATCATGTATGAAGAATGTCTATTTCTTAAAACAGAGAATTGCAGCATGTCTGTATTCTAAAGAGTCTCTATTCTTTCTGTAGTAGTGTAAGTTAGTTCTGTAGTGGTGTAAGTGGTTTCAAATTCTCAGTTCCTCAATAAAGGTGTGTGTATTCACATGTTTTAAAGCATATTACATTTGTATTTGTGACACATGGAAAATAGGGAGTTGAAGGTAAGGAAAAGAGAATTTGGACTGGTCAAAATTGTGAACAATATCATTTGGTGTAACAAAAGACCTAAAAATACTTTGGTGCTTTATCATTAAAAAAACAGAGTTCTCAGGCCAGGTGCTGTGGCTCACGTCTGTAATCCCAGTATTCTAGAAGGCCCAGGTGGGTGGATCACTTGAGGTCAGGAGTTCAAGACCAGCCTGATCAACATGGTGAAACTCTACTAAAAATACAAAAAATTAGCCAGGTGTAGTAGCGCGCGCCTGCAATCCTAGCTACTCGGCTAACAGGGGCATGAGAATCGCCTGAACCCAGGAGGTGGAGGTTGCAGGGGGCTGAGATCATGCCACTGCACTCCAGCCTGGGTGACAGTGGAAGATCCTGTTTCCAAAAAATATATATTATAAAATATATTTATAATATATATATATATGATATATATTATAAAATATATTTATAATATATATAATATATATTATAAATATATTTATAATATATATAATATATATTATAAAATATATTTATAATATATATATAATATATATACATACATATATATATCCCAAAAAGCAAAGATACTAGAATGTACATTGATATTTTATTGGATTCTGTTACTAGGTAACTTTATGACATAATTAAGACACTAATCAGCAGTAAAAGCTTTATATTTAAGCACTTCCTCTAAATTCAATAAAATTCCTACTTACTATTAATCTTTTTATGTATTTTCTATTATGATTACAGTTAACATGGCAAGATGCATCTTTGTAATCACATTTACATTTCTTTTTAAACATGACATAGTAGTCAGATCTTATTCTCGTGTTTATCTTGTGTCTATATTCAATTAGATTGGAAGCTCCTGCAATGACTCCGCACCCTCTCACCAAAGGACTAATGAAGGACCGAATAATCCCCTCTCCAAATAAAAAACAAGGCTTGCTTTAGTTTTTTCTGTTAGTACATCTACATTTAAGTTCTAAATTCCAAAACAGGTTTTTCAGACCCTCCAAAATAACTAATTCTGAATATCTCTTTTTTATGAAGCTATTCTGGGCGGAGGGTAGACTGAATACAATAGTTGTTAGGTAGCAGTTCTACAGGTTCCTTTCTATCTACCTCAATTTTAGCTTTTCTACATTCCAAGTCCTGCTTTCTATATGCAAAACTCCTCAAAAGTAGGGAAAACTTTTCCCAATACCTAGCATAGACCTGGGCACATACATACAAGTTATTCAATAAATATGAGTAAGCCTGGTTAACCCTCATTAATTCCCAATAGGATACAGGTGTTTCCTACCAGCAATGTTACCTGCAGAAGGAATGGTATCTCCTACAGAACCAGGGTCTCGCTTTCTTTTCTTAGGTAGTTTTGTTTTGCAAAGTTGCTCAAAATGAATCTGCATAGGACTGTCCATGGTAAGAAAGTTACACTGTAGCAGACCGCTTAAGGTAGTAGCAGCCATTTCTCGAACCTGTAGATATAATAATTTCTATTAGGACTGACATTCTAAGTCTGAGGGAATAATGGAGGATAGGGGGTAGTGTGGGAACTGGGGTGAAGACCTTCCCTGAAATTGCATGCAAATTTTGTGTATGCTCTTTGGCAGTTTCTTAATAGAGATTTCAGCAGATTCTCAAAGAGTTTGTGGCCTCATAATGGATAAAAACTACATTAGGGTTATGAGCATAAACTTTTATCTCTTTTAGCAAAATTAAATTTCTCCATAAATTATTTTCCCTACTGATAGCTCTCATCAGGGCTATAACTGTAAAAGCAGTGCCAGAACCTGACATTAAGATCAAGTTTTTCCAGACTCTACATCTCTGAAGGCCACTGCTATAGCTATTTTTGTTAGTAACAAAGACACAGACCAACCTAATTTCTGTAATTGGCATACATCATGGAGACTTACATCCTATGTGATTCTTATGAATTTCACAGGCTGCTGTCAGATCACAAACACAGTTTACAAAAGTACTAAATGAAGCGTGTACACAGTCCATTTCAAATTGGAATGGTAACTCAACTTTTGGGAAAACAAAAAAGCGGTAAAAAGACATTGTTTCACATATAAATCACAAACATTTGTTTAATATTCATAATACACAATGATAATTTTAAAAAACAGATGTTTTGCTCTGTTGTATTCCTTCAAAAGGTTTCTCATAATTTTATCATCGTCTGTCGAGTACGTAACATGTTCTTTGCTGCGTTCATTACACTAGCATATGAAATACATCATAAAATGTTTTACTGGTTGCACTATTTCCTATAAAGCTTATATGCCACAATTTCTTTTCTTTTCGTTTTTTTTTTTTTTTTTTGAGATGGAGTCTCGCTCTGTCACCCAGGCTGGAGTGCAGTGGCGCAGTCTCGGCTCACTGCAAGCTTTGCCTCTTGGGTTCATGCCATTCTCCTGCCTCATCCTCCCAAGTAGCTGGGACTACAGGCACCTGACACCATGGCTAATTTTTTTTTTTTTGTATTTTTAGTAGAGATGGGGTTTCACCGTGTTAGCCAGGATGGTCTTGATCTTCTGACCTCGTGATCCGCCCACGTCAGCCTCCTAAAGTGCTGCGATTACAGGCATGAGCTACCGCACCCAGCCACCAAAGTTTATTTTCATAAATACTGACTAGATTGCTTTCATATTCTCAGTACTATGCTATATTCTTAATTTGTGTAACTTTTCATATTACAGTATATATTTTCAATATACTCCATTTTTATTTTTTTATTTTTTGTAGACACAGGTCTCACTTTTTTTTTTGTTGCCCAGGCTGATCTCCAACTCGTGGGCTCAAGCAATCCTCCTGCCTTGGCCTCCCAAAGTGCTGGGATTACAGGCGTAAGCCTCTGTGCCCGGCCTGCAGTATATTTTCTTAGAATAGATTACAAAAATTGGGATTAGTAAGTTTAAAGATATAAACAATTTTACAGCTAATTTTATGGCTATTAGTTGCTTTTCAAAAAAGCTAGTGCTAACATATAATGACACAAAACTTAAATGTGAACTACCAGTTATACCTTACACTGCTTTTCATCACTACACATTTTTGTTTTGTGAAGGGAGGAAAACACTAAATTAGGAGTAGCTAAAAATGCCTCACTGTTTCAAGTTTGCATTTTCCTGGTCATTGGGAGGTGTGACTTTTCACTGCTTATAGCAAGTAATGTCTTTATCTGTATACTTTTTTTTTTTGAGATGGAGTCTCGCTCTGTCACCAGGATGGAGTGCAGTGGCACGATCTTGGCTCACTGCAAGCTCCACATCCTGGGTTGATGCCATTCTCTTGCCTCAGCCTCCCAAGTAGCTGGGACTACAGCTACAACCCGCTGCCACGCCTGGCTAATTTTTTTGTATTTTTAGTAGAGATGGGGTTTCACCATGTTAGCCAGGATGGTCTCGATCTCCTGACCTCGTGATCCGCCCACCTCGGCCTCCCAAAGTGCTGGGATTACAGGCATGAGCCACCACGCCCGGCTATCTGCATACATTATTACAATACCACCACCACTCTGAGTAGTCAGATCTGTGCATGTTTTGATGTGACGTCTATTAACTCAAAGGCTTAGAAAGTCATCTCTGCTCCTATTACGTTCCTATAAATAATATCCAAATCCACTTTCTCCTAATTTATTTTTTAAAGCCGGAGGTGGTGATTGGCAGGGCATGGTGGCTCACGCCTGTATCCTAGTACTTTGGGAGGCCCAGGCGGGTGGATCACCTGAGGTCAGGAGTTTGAGACCAGCCTGGCCAACATGGTAAAACCCCGTCTCTACTAAAAATATAAAAATTAGCTGGGCATGGTGGTAGGTGTCTGTAATCCCAGCTACTCAGGAGGCTGAAGCAGGAGAATCGCTTCAACCCAGGGGGCAGAGGTTGCAGTGAGCCGAGATCGCACCACTGCACTCCCGCCTGGGCAAAAAGAGTGAAACTCCCTCTCCAAAAAAAGGGGGGGCGGGGATGGTAAATCTCTTTATCAAAAATATACTGTAATATGAGATGTTTTAATTTATTTTTCTCTTACTTCAAATTGCTAACAAATGATCCCCAACACCTCCAACTGATTTATGCTCTTTTCCAGTGACAGGGTCTACTTCTGAGATATTTTACTCCAGGGTACATGTCTATAATTAACTAACTTTAAAAAGTGAGGAAAGAATATATTTAGCCTTCTCAGCTAAAAACATACTATTTTCCTCTATTTCTAAGAAGTTTCCTTTAAATACAGTAAGGTTTCTTTAAACAGTTCTCATTTAGATAACATTGTTTTTCCCCATACTATCAACGAACAGAATTTAGCGAATTATTACTGCTTTTTGGTTTTACATGTTGCTTTAAAAATATGATAGTTTTAATGATCATGGTTATGTTTATATAACAGCTATGTTTAAACCTCTATATGGAAGAAAATATAAAAATAATTTATAAGGCCAAGGCGGGTAGATTGCTTGGGCCCAGGAGTTTGAGACCAGCCTGGGCAGTATGGCAAAACCTTGCCTCTACAAAATCACAAAAAAAGTAATTCCGTGTGGTGGCAAATACCCATAGTCCCAGCTACTCAGGAGGCTGAGGTGGGAGGATCACTTGAGCTCAGGAGGCAGAGGCTGCAGTGAGCCATAATTGTGCCACTGCACTACAGCCTGGACAACAAAGCAAGACTTGGTCTCAAAAAAAAAAAAAAAAAAAAAAAAAAAGAGAAACCATAAAAATGTTCTAAAAGAAGCTCCTAAATGCAAGCGGTATAATAATTAAAGTTAGGAAACAATGACAAGGTCATTGTTTCCACTCCTTTAGGTTAGTTTTTAAAGAATAATAAGAAATTAAAAAAAAAAAATCACAGCTGTAAATATTTTAATTGAAGTCTGTTAAGAGTTGTTATAACCAGGCCAGGCGTGGTGGCTCACGACTGTAATCCCAGCACTTTGGGAAGCTGAGACAGGCAGATCACGAGGTCAGGAGATCGAGACCATCCTGGCTAACATGGTGAAACCCCGTCTCTACTAAAAATACAAAAAATTAGCCAGGCATGGTGGCGGGCGCCTGTGGTCCCAGCTACTTGGGATGGCTGAGGCAGGAGAATGGCGTGAACCCAGGAGGCGGAGCTTGCAGTGAGCTGAGAGCGTGCCACTGCACTCCAGCCTGGGTAACAGCGAGACTCCGTCTCAAAAAAAAAGAAAAAAAAAAACAGTTGTTATAACCAGTCTGTGAGTACCACCGGGACTAGAAAATATCCACTCTCAGAATATAAGAAATATAAATAGACTCATTAGGGAGGTAGAGAAATTTCCATTCCTACTTTCCTGTGAGTAAAATCTATTTTCAATACCAATAAGTATATAAAATACTGTGAGTACTTTACTACAAGACAAAACTATGAAGTCCATAAAATAAGCAAAATTTTCACCAAAAATTCCATTACATTTTCTTCCTTAATGCCAACTTAAAAAGTAGTATCTCATGCCATATTTACTGCCAACATGCTCTTACATTTGGCTGTATGGGATAATACATTATCTTTTTGTACAAACCATTAATGTAACCTCACCACAAAAGTTACCTTTTTCTACCAAAGAAAAACAAAAAAAGGACAGCAAACCTGTATTAAGTCTACTGGATAGCAGCGCCTATGTGTAGATTTTTAATCCCTTTGAAACTGCCATCATGCACATTCTCATGAGTTCCTTAAAAATCAGTAGGACTAGTGGGACAATTACAATTATCATCCCCAATTTCTCATGGTTAAGAAAACTTGGGTTCAGGAGTATTATTTGCCCAACTGCAAAGAAGACAGAACGAAAACATGCCCAATTTTTCTTCCATTTGTATTATAAGGAATCATGATTAGGGTATCAAAATTACTCACATAGGGCTATGTTAAAATTAAAGTTATTTTTATTTAATTTTTTTGAGACAGGGTCTCACTCTGCTGCTCAGGATGAATGCAGTGGTACAATCACAGCTCACTGCAGGCTCAACCTCCAGGCTTAAGCGATCCTCCGACCTCGACCTCCTGAATAGCTGGGATCACAGGTGCACACCATCATGTCCAGCTAATTTTGGTACTTTTTGTAGAGACAGTCTTGCTACGTTGTCCAGGCTGGTCTCAAACTCCTGGCATCAAGTGATCTCACTGACTTCGTCTCTCAAAGAGTTGAGGTTATAAATATAAACAATTGCACCTGGCCGCAAATACTTATTAAAAAGGGAACCATGATGGTTTCTTTAAATTGACTGAATTTCCGTTTTCTATAACTTAAATTTTACCTCCAGTTGTTCGTCCTCCAAAAGACTTATAACCAGCCACCTGATATCTTTAACTGCATCTTCATTGTTTAGGAAAATAAAGAGGTTATAAAATACCATGGTCTGGAGGTAGGTCAGTACTGTGTATCGTGCATGCCAAGAACTGCTTCTTGCTGTCTGTGAATGACAAATAAATATAAACGATAAAGCAGTACTGACAAGAACATGAGATGACAGATAGTGACATTACACACAAACAATGTAATATTCTAATTTAACTCTATTTACACAGGTATAGTTAGGACAAGCTCATATTTCGTTATAAATAAAAGGTTGAATGAGGCTGGGCACAGTGGCTCACGCCTGTAATCTCAGTACTTTGGGAGGATGAGTGAGGTGGGTGGATCACCTGAGGTCAGGAGTTTGAGATCAGCCTGGCCAACATGGTGAAACCCTGTCTCCACTACAAATACTAAAATTAGCTGGGTGTGGTGGCAGGCACCTGTAATCCCAGCTACTTGGGAAGCTGAGACAAGAGAATCGCATGAACCTGGGGGGCGGAGGTTGCAGTGAGCAGAATGGGGCCACTGCACTCCAGCCTGGGCAGCAGAGCGAACTCTGTCTCAAAAACAATAACAAAAAAACCCACACAAAGGTAAAAGTCAATTTCACAAGAGACAGTCATGATTAATGGCTCCTAACTCCTCTGAGGATGGCACATTATTTTACTTTTGGTAGCAACAGCAGGGTCTGGAAAGCAAATGATTAACAACTACTAAATTCTACTACAAAGAAATACAATTGTAGGTTGTTGAAAATATTTTCCAGTGTGGTTATCAAATTTAAAATGAAAGCTATGGGAAGACGTCCACTTCTATATAACATGTGTAATGTCTGGATAAAGCTGACCATACAGTATACCAACAATGCAGGCAGAAAATGTACAGTCAGTATAGGTCTCTCTAGAAAAGACCAGGTAACAGAAGTGAGCAAAACAAAGGGGAACTGGTGGTAGAAAGGAACCACCATCCACCTTCCTCATAAGCACTTTTTATCCAAAGCACTTAATAATGAATTAGCTATCTGCATATTTTTGGCTTGACTGACTTGCCCAAAGTCACAGAAGGCAGGGGCAGAGCCAGGCACAGAATCTAGGTCTGTTTCTTTGGTCAATATATATGTCTTCTCTTATACTAAAAGAAAATTCAAAACAAAAACTAGGCGCTGTGTGCACTGCAGCTGACTGAAATTCTTAGAATGGTAAACCAAAATCCTAATCAAAAGACATAAATATTATAAACACTCTTACTTGTTTTAGCACCTGAAGTACCAAAGGCACTTGATGAGGGTAAAGCAACCCCTGAGACATTAATGATAAACATAACTTTGCATCTCTTTTCAGTTCATCGTAGCTATTGTCATTTTCCACTGGGGCAATCTAAAAAACAATGTAAAAAGGACAAAAATGGAAAAATAATTGCCAATAAGTACAAAGGCATCCTACATGAGAGACAACACATCTTTAATTTAACAATTTTTATGGAAAATTTCAAACACATAAACTAGAGAATAGCATAATGAACCCCCATGAGCCAATCACCTCTTCAATAATGACAAACTCATAATCTTTTGTTTCATTTTTCCTCCCCTCTGACTCTCATTCCCCAATGAAATTATTTGAAGCAAATCCCTGACTGTTTCATCCTAAATATTTTATTATGTTATTTCTAAAAGGTCCCTTAAAAAAGAATCATGTAATGGACATCATCACACATAAAACTTCGTTACAGTTATAATATAAAATATGTGGCGGTACTCAGATTTCCCCAAGTACCACATTCATGTGTTATTACAACTGGTTTTTTGAAATCAGGTTTAAGGTAATGACCACATATTGTACTTACTTGGTATGTTTCATAAATCTCTTTCAATGCATATATTCCCCCCCGCAACTATCTTAAAATCCCTTGCTCTGTATTTTTTTTCCTCAGGGAAAAAAAGCTGTGTCTGTTGTTTTATAGTTTCCCCACTGTGGCCTTTGCTGATTGCATCCCTGCAGTGGTATTCCTTGGCCCCAGTAAGTCTTATAAATTGGCTATTAGATGTAAAGGTCTGACTTTATTGAAGTTTCACTTTTTTGGGCACAACATAAGTGGTGCTGTGTATTTCTTTCATTGATATTTAGCTTTGTCTTTCTGTGATAATCCATTATAAAAAGAGAGATTTGCGAAATGGTCATTCCTTCTTCATTATTAGCTAGAATACTTATATATATATATATAAGCTTTCCCTCATTTGGAATAATGATTTCCCTTCTGTCCTCCAAAAGTAGATAAGAATTTTTAAAAGACTATCATTATGAATTCCAACAAATCTGATGGCTGTAGCCACTGTCATTCTTTTTTTTTTTTTTTTTTTTGAGACAGGGTCTTGCGCTGTAGCCCAGGCTGGAGTGTAGTGGCACAACCATGGCTCACTGTAGCCTCAACTTTCTGGGGTCGGTGATCCTCCCACCTCAGCCTTCTGAGTAGCTGGGACCACAGGCACGCACCACCGTGTCCAGCTATTTTTTTTTTTAAATGTATGGTAGAGACAGAATCTCACTGTGTTGCCCAGATTGGTCTCAAACTCCTGGGCTTGAGCAATCTTCCTGCGCTGGCCTCCCAAAGTGCTGAGATTACAGGCATGGGCCAGTGTACCCAGTATCCGTATTTGTTTTAATGAAGAAATCAGGTTTGTCTGGTACCATACTTTGACTATGAATGTATGCTGTCTGATGCCTTAAATACGTTTTAAATATTTAAAAAATATACCCTTGCACATTCAGTAGGGGAAAGCTTTAATAAAGTTTGCTAAGGGACTCCGGGGTGCTAAGTTGGAGGGATTCTCATGAGGCTGGCATGGATAACAGAGCAAGATCCTGCCTCTACAAAAAAAAAAAAAAAAAAAAAAATTAGCTGGGCTTGGTGCCACATGCCTATAGTCCTTGGGAGGCTGAGGTGGGAAGATTGCTTGAGCCCAGGAGTTCAAGGTTACAGTGAGCTATGATCACAGCACTGCACTCTAGCCAGGGTGACAGAGTGATACCCTGTCTCTTAAAAAAAAAATAAAGTTTGCTAAGGGAAATTATTTCTATCAAATACTGGACAAACTATCATAGTGAATTAATACACTCAGCTTGAAACTGTTGTTAAAAAAAATTATTCTGACATTTGATAAATTATTAAGGAAAAGTTTATTCAGCGACATCAGGGGTAGGAGGTTTCCTCCTAAACCTACTTAACGGGATTCCTGCAAAAGGTAGAATAGGGTGATCAGATACCAAGGGTGGGGGATTCTTTCTAAACTAGATTAGAGACAGTCTTGCTAAAACTGGACCAAAGACAGACAGGCCAAAGACAGAGCCCAAGGTTGAGATCTAGTCAGAAAGATGGCTCAGAGGAGCTGACTTAAGTTTGGTCAAGGAGAGCCTTTGTCATAACAAAGGCATGATTCAGTTCTTTTTTTGTTATGGGTATGCAAAGACATTTCATAATGCTGAGCTTTAAATATTTTACCTCAGTTAATATAATCCTTGGTATTTTAGAATAAAAATTATTTCTTTTTGCAAATTAAAACCATACTGAGTTATATGTTTCCACCTGTTCTACTGGGAAAAATCGGGATGTTTAATATCATACTGTAAAAGTGAGTCTCTGAGGAAATAACCAATAAAGAGGGGTGTGTAGGAGTGTCTAGCAAAAGCACATATTCATTTACTTTCTACTGGCTGTTGCAGGAAGTCAGGGACCCCAAACGGAGGGACCGGCTGAAGCCATGGCAGAAGAACATAAATTGTGAAGATTTCATGGACATTTATTAGTTCCCCAAATTAATACTTTTATAATTTATTATGCCTGTCTTTACTGCAATCTCTGAACATAAATTGTGAAGACTTCATGCACACTTATCACTTCCCCAATCAATACTCTTGTGATTTCCTATGCCTGTCTTTACTTTAATCTCTTAATCCCATCATCTTCATAAGCTGAGGATGAATGTCGCCTCAGGACCCTGTGATAATTGTGTTAATTGCACAAATTGTTTAAACAATATGAAATCTGGGCACCTTGAAAAAAGAACAGGATAACAGCAATGTTCAGACAACAAAGGAGATGACCTTAAACTCTGGCTGCCTGTGAGCCTGGTGGAACAGAGCCATATTTCTCTTCTTTCAAAAGCAAATAGGAGAAATATCGCTGAATTCTTTTTCTCAGCAAGTAACATCCCTGAGAAAGAGAATGTGTCCCTAAGGGGAGGCCTCTGAAATGGCCACTTTGGGGACGGCTGTCTTTTACAGTCATAGCTAAGGGAGGAAATAAGCCCCGGTCTCCCGTAGTGCTCCCAGGCTTATTAGGATGAGGAAATTCCTGCCTAATAAATTTTGGTCAGACCAGTGGTCTGCTCTAAAACCCCATCTCCTGATAAGATGTTATCAATGACAATGTGTGCCCGAAACTTAATTAGCAATTTTAATTTTGCCCAGGTCCTATGGTTCTGTGATCTCGCCCTGCCTCCATTTCCTTTGTGATATTTTATTACCTTGGGAAGTACGCGATCTCTGTGACCCACACCCTATTCATATACTGCCTCCCCTTTTGAAAATCACTAATAAAAACTTGCTGGTTTTACGGCTCAGGGGCATCAAGGAACCTGCTGACATGGGATGTCTCCCCCGGACACCCAGCTTTAAAATTCCTCTCTTTTGTACTCTGTCCCTTTATTTCTCAGACCGGCCGACACTTAGGGAAAATAGAAAAGAACCTATGTGAAATATTGGGGGTGAATTTCCCCCAATACTGGCAATGTATGTCTACCCTCCTACCTCAAAGATATACTGGCAAACATATGAAATGTCTACACAAAGATCTACATTGTAGCACTATTTCAAAAGCACAACATTGGAAATAATTCAAATATCTATTGGATCTAGAGAGTGTCTGGTTAAATAAACTGTAGTACATCCTTGTAGTTTAGATATCCTATCGTATGAATCATTCCTATTGTTATAAAGTAATCCCTTAAAAGTCTCTTCAGAAAAAAAGCAAAAGCAAAATGAAATAAGTGAAACTCACTGTTTATCTGGCTGGCAGGAAACATACTTAGAGCAGTGACTTTTAAAAGCAGGGTAATATAATGCTTTGTGGGATGTATAAAAATCAAATTTAGAGTAACTGTCAACAGGAACCAAGAGTTTTCACATGAGAGGTAAAAGATATAAAAATACAAGTGGTTAAATAAAATCTTAGTAATCCCAAATTTGAATTGAAAATGCCAGTACGAGCTATTTCTCTTAGAAAATGTGCTGTGTCTACCAAATAAGCCCAGAAACACTAATCAACTCAGTAACAATGAATACCCCTTGAGCCCGGGAGACTGAGACTGCAGTGAGCTATGATCGTGCTACTGCACTCCAGCCTGGGTGACAGAGCAAGACCCTGTCTCAAAAAAAAAAAAAAAAAAAGGAAAAGGAAATAACATTGAACATTAATTATTGAACATCAACTGGTGCGATGTCAGAACACATTATTTTTTATCCCTGGCATGTGACCAAAATTACTTTATGAATTTAATTCAATTCCAGTAGGAATTGTGTTTTAAAAGGTTAAAAAAATTACAGAAGTATAAACTTGACAAGGAGATTCAAAACCCTGCCTTGGTGTGGAGGAAGAATATGGTGGAAGTAATTTAACCACATCTCCAAAATGGCAGGACATCCATAGCAAAGTAACTTAAGTTGGAAAATAAAAAATGAGCAGTATAAGGGTATTTCTTTAGAGACAAAGAGGTGTGCAAAAGCTTAAAAGTGGTAAACTTGGGCTGGGCAGAGTGGCTTATGCCCATCATCCTAGCACTTTGGAGGCCAAGGTACGAGGAGCACTTGAAGCCAGGAGTTTGAGAGCAGCCTGGGCCACTACAAGTGAGACCCCATCTCTACAAAAAATAAAATTAGCTGGAGTGGTGGTGCTGGCACACGAAGGTACTTCCAGCTACACAAGAGACTGAGGTGGGAGGATTGCTTGAGCCCAGGAGTTTGAGGCCATCCTGGACAACATAGCAAGATATCATCTCTTAAAAAAAAATGCAGATACATCTCTTTTGCCCAGCAATTTCACACCTAGGCAGTATCCTACAAATATGCTCACATGTGCAAGATACTTAAGAAGAGCCAGAGGTTCCATCAACAGAAAACTGGTTAAATTTTTAAACGATGGTACAATTTAGTCATAAAAAGAGGCAATTTTGTGTAATGATATGAAAAGATGGACATGATATACTGAGTTAAAAACCAAAATCACCTTGCAGAATTAAGTAATTGTTATTCATAAAACAATTTCAGAAACACTTTCGTAGGGTAAAGCAGAGACACATTCATAGTCAAAGGCATAAAAGGACATACACCAACAAAGTCAGGGTACAAATGGTAAATACTCAACAGTTCAAATCTCTAGGCATTACACGTGGAGTTGTTTTCCTGGTCATTTTATTCACACTCACAGTAAATATGAGGTGATTTAGAGTTTGGGTAGTTAACTGTGGTATAAAAAAGAAGATATTCATTTACTGGCAAGGTCTATTACCACCAGAATTTAAGATGACTCACTTCATCTGTTGAATCAGCCGTCTCTCTTCCTACCATTACGAAAAAAATGTGTCTTTCTAATGAAATTAAGACACAATACTCTCAAGTACAGCATGGGTGAAAATGTTCTACTAAAAACAGTAAAATTCTAAAATCCAATAGATAAATTTCACCAGATAGATTATATACTAAACTATGTTAACCAGTAGAAAATGCTGTTCATTTAGTTAGCAAAGGAATCACCTTATAAGATATTTTTCTCCTGATTATTGAAAAAAATAGTTTTTCTAAAGAAATACCAACAATGCGAGGTGACTGTATCCAATGTACCACAATATCTGTACATTCTTCTCTAAGTTTTACATATGCGAAACTATAGTTGTGGATTTTGATGAGCATTTTCTGAAGTTTGAAACTTAGGATAAAATACCTCTCTGACCACCACCATTTGAGCCCTTAATTGTTCCAAATTAAAATACAGTTAAAGATTAGTAAAATAATAAGTATGTACTTTACCACTGTGCTTTCTGCTTTACAGGTATGTCATTTCATCCTTCTAACAGTTCTGTGAGGGACACTGATATTAAACTCACACTCTTTATATAGGAGACAAGTTCAGAAGCTTGTGCAAGGTCACAAAGAAAGCACCTGTCACAGGCAGAATTTTTTTTTTTTTTTGAACTGTCTCCCAGCTGGAGCACAGTGGCGAGATCTGGCTTACTGCAGCCTCCGCCTCCAGGGTTCAAGTGATTCTCCTGTCTCAGACCCCTGGGTAGCTGGGACTACAGTATCTGCCACCACACCTGGCTAATTTTTGTATTTTTAGTAGAGATGGGGTTTCACCATGTGGTTCAGGCTGGTCTCAAACTCCCGATCTCAAGTGATCTGCCCGCCTCGGTCTCCCAAAGTGCTGGGATTACAGGCGTGAGCCACTGTGCCCAACCTAAAGGCAGGATTTTAAACTAGGACTCTATTTACCCGAAAGCCAGGACTTTGTAAGCTATTCTTGGTTGGAAAACCTCTTCCTTTAATCTTAAGAATATGAAGACTCTTAGACCAGAATAGGCAAGTTTATATATAGATATATATAAATATAATTTTAATACATATATATTTCAGGATTTTTTATGGATATAAAACTGCTTTTTATGGGATAGGATAAATAAGATTTTTAACAGAACAGCCAATGTACCATATGTTTCTTACAACAATGTGTTAGCTGAAGTAGATCCAGCATTTTCACTTCTGGTGATTTATTCTATAAAAAATATGTGCAAAGTGCAAAAGATATGTATAAGATGTTCACTGTATCATTAATGAAGAGGAACATGTCTACAGTGTTTACCATGTGCCTGATGCTGCTTTAAGCACTTCCCATATGAAAATACCCCTTATTCTCTCAATTTAGGATGCAATATCTTTTAATTTAAACTCTTGCTATTTGCTAATGGCAACTCAGGAAATGGAAAATGCACATAATTCCTTGTTATCAGACTCAGCCACCCACTCCTCAATTTGGACAATGAGGGACACGTATTAACTCGTATAATCCTCGTAACATCCTTAGGAGATGGGTGGTATCATTATCCCCATTTTACTGATGAGAGGGATAAAGTTCAGAGGGGTTGAATTAGATGCCCATGATTACCTAATTAGTTCATGGGCCATGGAGATGAATTTGATCCAGGCAGCCTGGCTCAAAACTTCACGCTGTTAATGACTCCACTCACTGCCTCTTGTTGTCTATCTGGTGAACAACTGTCATAAAACCAAACATCTACTACTAGAGAGCACAGGATATTAAATTCTAAAAGCCACATAAGGAATAACAAGTATCTACTTACTGACATGGAAACGTACATACAATATATTGATTGGGTTCATAAAAGGGAAGCTGCAGAGCTACTGGCCTGACTCTACTGACAAACAACTGTGTAGGAAAATAACATTTGAGGAAATACAAAAAAAAATAAATAAATAAGATAAATATAAATAAAACTATGAACAGTGGCTGTTATCATACACAATTAGTCTTGTCAGTCTATCTTATACTTTTATGAATATGTGCTGCTTTTATAAACTCACAATAATTTTAAGAAAAAAAGATACATATAAGAAAGGTTAATGGTAATGGTAGTTTATGAATATTTCCTTCCAACTTTCTCAGTTTTCTCTCAAAAGGCATTTATTTCTTTTAAAAAGGAGAGAAATTAAACTTACACTGTTACTGAAATTTTCCACAAACTTCAAAGTTTTTTTTATTAACTATTTTTTATTAAATTAGGAATGGGAGACCAAAAATAGTAGCTCACACCTGTAATCCTAGCACTTTGGAAGGCTACGGTGGGAGGACCATTGGAGACCAATCTAGACAACATGAGACCCCATCTCTACAAAAATTTTTGAGAAAATTAGCCAGGCATGGTGATGCATGCCCGTAGTCCCAGCTACTCAGGGGGCTGAGGCAGGAGGACTGCTTGTGCCCAGGAGATTGACGCTGCAGTGAGCCATGACTGCACCACTGCAGTGAGACTGTCTCAGAAAAAAGCGGTGGGGGGGTGCGGGGTCCATGTGATAAGCTGCCATTCGCTGGTCTCTCCTCTGATATGAATGTTGTTGACCATCCACAATAAAGAAAGGTAATGTGGGTTTTAAACTTTGGACAGTTGAAAATAATCTAGTCCTCTTAAATGGTTCTAATTTAGTTCATATAAAGTAAGTTACGAGGCATATGCTAACTGAATCATCTCTATTTGTTGTGTTCTCATCACCCTAACCTGTGAATGTTGGCTCAATTCTTATACTTCTTTTTTTTTTTTCCATCTACACCCATTCCCTTGATGATCTCATTCAATATCATGGTTTTAAGTATCATCTCTGTTGATGACATTTAAGTTTGTACCACTATTCCACTGAACTCTGCTGCACTATTCCACTGAACTCTGAATGTTTATCCATTATCTTCACTTATAAAAGCATCTTCACTTATAAGTCTTATAAGCATCTGAAATATGTTGGAAAGGGAATTTCTGACCGCCTCTTCTACTCCTTCTGTGCTCCTCTCATGGTTTAGTAAACACGTTTCTTTTAAACGCCTCTCTTTATCCTCACACTCTACACATCTGATTTATGTGCAAAATAACTATGACATGATGCCTTTGTACCTCTGGCCCCATTCAGCATGATGGTCTAGTATTAGTATATCGTCAATATTAGTATATCCAGGTGAGATGTTAGGCTTGTCAATGGTAACTTATATCGTACAGCTTTCTTTTCTTTTCTTTTTTTTCGAGATGGAGTCTTGCTCTGTTGCCAGGCTGGAATGCAGTAGCACGATCTCAGCTCACTATAACCTCCACCTCCCGGGTTCAAGCGATTCTCCTGCCTCAGCCTCCCGAGTAGCTGGGACTACAGGCGTGCGCCACCATGCCCAGCTAATTTTTGTATTTTTAGTAGAGATGGGGTTTCACCATGTTGGCCAGGATGGTCTCGATCTCTTGACCTTGTGATCCACCCGCCTCGGCCTCCCAAAGTGCTGGCATTACAGGTGTGAACCACCACACCGGGCCTCTATCGTACAGGTTTCTAATGATATAAGTTTTTTCATAAACTTCAAGTGGATTCAAATCATCCTTCTACCAACCTCTTACATACTTGCCTGTATTTGTTCTGAATGAAAGAAATGGGATGGAACCCCAGCTATCCTAACAATCATTGCACATTATGAATTTATGAATGTTCTATATCCGCTTGGTATGTGACAGAGGAAAAACATTTAAGTACTAGGCAGACAAAGCCTACATACACCAAAGACCTATAGGTAAGAAGGACCTATATACTAGCAGCTACTGTCTACTTTTATACCCCAAAAGATCCCAGGGACATTCATGGGTATCATCCTTTGCATAGCATTCTTAAAAGTATTTTAGTAGTACAATCTTTGAAAGTTACTGGTACAGTTAACTGTGAAATTTCCTAACGACAAAATATACTATAGCAAATCAAAAGTTTAGCATGCCATTTGTTAACAATAATAAGGGCCCTCCTCCTTAGATAATAATAACTGTACTGATGAATAATGTCAAAAAGTGGTGATGTTTATGCCAAGCCTTTCAAATGCACAATTAACACTGTTTTCCTAACCACAGCCAACCATATCATTATTGCAAACTATGATTTTGGAAACTAATGAGTCAACCTGTGACCTTAGTTCCACTAGCTGCATCCCCTGAGTAGATGATTAGATAAAACCACCTCAAGCCATGCCTTTCATTAACAAAATGTCATTATATCATACCAGAGGCAAATGATTTCCTGCAGATATTTGTTAGAAACAGTTATAGGGTCCTTTAACATTGTAAAACAAACACAATATACTGAACATTTTCGTTTGTAGATTATATTAGTAAAGAAGTCAGAAATGGCTAGATTAAAAAATTTCTTTGTAGCTTTTCTTTTAACTGTCAATAATTCCTCTAATCTGCTATTACTCAGAAATTAGCTACCAGGTAAAACAATATTCCGTTAAATTTTCATGTAGCTGTCAAAATCCTGCTATCACCTAATACTAAAACACGATTTCAACAAATATTAAACCACTATCACCTAATGATTTTCCTGTGACCATTCTACTTTTCAGAGATCCAATCAAAATTCACACTGTCTGAAGAACTTCAACCATCAGATGATGAACACAAATTCCTTATGAAGGTCAAAAGGAGATGCATTCTTAATTTCAGCAAAACCTTACCTTGAAAAACAAAGGTAGAAGCTGAAGTTGTTCTGTAACTGCTGTAGAAAAGGATCTTCCTGCACTTGCCATCAGCCATTTCAATACTATTTTGAAAACAAAGATGCAGAGTAAGTCTTTGCCATTCATTTACAGACCACAAAGTAGAACAATATTGTAATGTTATTGTCATACAGCCACTCTGACAGCTCTTCGGTGCTATGAAAGATATCATCTATGTTACTTCATAAATTAGACACTTATTAAGAAGCAGTATAACAGCACCCAAAATAAAATTTAAAACTTTTGTGCATAAAAAGACATTATCCAGAGAGTAGAAAGACAACCCACAGAATAGGAGAAAATATTTCTAAATTGTGTATCTGATAAGGGATTGATATTAGAATAAATAAAGAACTAAAACTCAAAAACAACAAAACAATCTAATTCAGAAATGGGCTGGGTAAAGTGGCTCATGCCTGTAATTCTAGCACTTTTGGAGGCCAAGGCGGGAGGATCCCTTGAGCTCAGGAGTTCAAGACCAGTCTGGGCAACATATGGAGACCCCTGTCTCTAGAAAATATTTAAAAATTAGCTGGGTGTGGTGTTGCACACCTGTAGTCCCAGCTACTCAGGAGGCTGAGGTGGGAGGATCTCTTGAGCCCCGGAGATTGAGGCTGCAGTAAGCAGCCTGGACGACAGAGTGAAAGGCAGCAGAGGGCTGGGTAATGAATGACATGAGTAGATATTTCTCCAAACAAGAAATACGAATGGCTAATAAAGATTCTTGAAATATCAGTAATCATTAGGGAAATGCAAACCAAAATCACAAGATACCTCTTCATACCCACTAAGATGGCTATACTTTAAAAAAGCAAGCAAACAAACAAAACAGGTGGCGAGAACACGGAACCCTTGTGCATTTGCTGACTGGAATGTAAAATGGTGCAGCTGCTGCAGAGAAGAGTCTGGCAGCTCTTCAAAAACTTAAGCACAGAAATACTACATGGTCTAACAATTCCACTTCTAGGTACATACCCTAAAGAACTGAAAGCAGGAACTCAAACAGGTACTTATACAAACATCAATGTTCAGAGCAGCATTAGTCACAATAGCCAAAGGTGGAAACCCAAATATCCAGCAAACAGATGAATGGGTAACAGATTAAGGACACAACATGATTCAGAAATTCATTCATTCAACTTGAAAATACTATGTAACATGAAATAAGCCAGACACAAAAAAGACTTATGATTCAACTTATGTGACCTACCTAGAATGGGCAAATTCAGAGATGGAAAGTAGACAGTGGTTATAAAGGATGAGGGGAGGGAAAATGAGGAGCTGTTGTTAAAGGGTACAAAGTTTCAGTTTCGTATGATGAAGAGGATTCTAGAGATAAATGGTGATGATGGTTGCGCAAGGATGTGAATGTACTTAATGCCACTGAACTGTACACTTAAAAATGGTTAAAACAGTAAATTTTTCATTATGTCTATTTTACCACAATAAAAAAAGTGGTGCAAAAAACTCTACAGGATAATCAAATAGATGTTTTCAACTGAGTTTCTACTAATTTTATCCACTCACTGGTTTTCAAGAGTTTAATGCCCTGAGTTCGCTCATCTTCTTCACCAATTCCATTTTCTTCCATAACATGGTTCTGAATTTCTTCATCCACATCCATGAGAGGTTTCAATTTCTCCAGAATTCGAGCAGTAAACTCAGGGACATGAGGCGATATGGTTGGTGTGGTATTTGGCAAAGATACATCTATCATGAATATGTAGGTCAGCACACTGCAAAATAAAATACTTAATAATAGGAAGAGGTGCCACATTATAAATAAAAATGAGGTTCAAAAGTTATGACCCAATCAAAGTAAACTGTCCCAAGACAATTCCTGGAGTGGGTCTTAGATTATGCCTGTGTGTAAAAGAAGCCTTATAATTAAGGGGTATTAACACTTAGGTGTTGTGACTGCTCATCTCTGGCTTCTGAGCACACTGCTGTCCTAGTTTACATTCAGAGTGTTTCATCTTGTTTCCCACGACACAATAGCAAACAATTTGAGAAAGACACCATGAAACCCACTGACAACATAACCAGCATGTATTATTACCTATTACAATTTAAAAAAAAACAAACAAAGAACTCGAGAGGTACACCACAGAGAAAACAGTACCTACCTTCCTATTCTTTCTCTGACATTTTTGTAAACCTGGGTGAGTTTGGGTTCCAAGTACTTCAGTAGTCTGTGCAATAGTTCAGGCACTCTCCATTCTTGCTGGGCAAGGCCACCTTGTAGTACATAAAGTCGACTAAAATTAAAGCATCGTAGTGTTATATTGGAGGCCCTTTCTGCCTTTACATATTGACAGTATGGACAGACAATATCTGTATTTCACTTAAAGCTTTTTCGTTTTTTCACTTAATAAATACTACAATATCCACAACTCAAAATAGCCTCTTTATGAAGATTTTATTTTTCCTATATCATTTTCTCTGTATTTGCATTTCATCCACACTACTAGAAAACTGAAAGAAATACTGACTTAAGAATACTCACTGACTAATATTTAAACATCACAATTCAAGTTTTCTCATTAATTAAGTGCTTCTTCTTTTTAATGAAATTATCCATATTACTATTGTCTAACTTTCTACAGCACCATATGCCCCAAACAAGGCAGTTTTTCCTTGAAATGATTACTCTTTCTTTGTATCTTTTTAACAGGAAAAAGTGAAAAATAAGATGTGATGAAGACACAAAAGTACAAAAGACAATTCTGATAAAATATTTGACAGCAAAGAATGCTGACTCTAATTTGTGTTTAAATTGCTCAGGTTGCCTACATCTCACTTACTTGTCCAACTAATAAATAACTCTTATTAAGTATCACATGTTATATGGAACCAGATCACATCACCTTCCAGAAGAAAGTAATTACTTCATCTAGACTTTACAAGTATAGACCATTCATTTCCATTTATACATAAGTTAACACAAAACCTTTCGTGTTAACCTCATAGGTTTTTTAAAAAAATTTACCATGCATCTACAAAGGATCCTCCTTCACCACTCAATGGTGATTCCAACAGCAGTTCAAAAAGCCAGTGAAGTTTCCGGGGATCTCTGCTTTCCTGTGTTTAAAATATGATGTAACAGTTCAACAGAGAACCTACAATTCTGTAAACAAATCATACTCAGTTATTTAATTTAATTTTATTTTTGAGGCTAGGTCTAACTCTGTTGCCCAGGCTGGAGTGAAGTGGTATGATTGCCTCCCAGGCTCAAGTAATCCACCCGCCTCGGTCTCTCAAGTAGCTGGGACCACAGGCATGCGCCACTATGCCTGGCTAATTTTTTATTTTTTGTAGAGACAGAGTCTCCCTACGTTGCCCAGGCTGGTCTCCAACTCCTGGCCCCAAGCTATCTTCCTGCCTCGGCCTCCCAAAGTTCTGCGATTAAAGTTGAGAGCTAGTGCACCCAGCCATATTCAATTATTTTAGAAATACTGAAAACATATATAAGTATAGTCGTCCCTTGGTATCTGTGGTGGATTGGTTCCAGAACTCCCTTAGGATACCAAAATCCACAGATGTTCAAGTCTGTTATGAAAATGGTGTAGTATTTACATATAACCTATGCACATCCTCCTGTACACTTTAAATCTTCTCTAGAGTATTTGTAATACCTAATACAATGTAAATGCTATGTAAATAGCTGTTATACTGTATTGTTTAGGGAATAATGACAAGAAAAAAAAAATCTGAACAGGTTCACTATAGACACAACCATCCCCCCACCCCCTTCTGAAATATTCTCCATCTCCTCAGGTTGGCTGAAACCACAGATGTGGAACTCATGGATATGGAGGGCTGACTGTACAGGAGAAGAAAATCAAACTAAAACTGATAGGTGACTCAAACTCAAATGTGACTATCGCAGTTCAAGTTAACAGTGAGAAAGCTGTTGTTAGCTAAATGGATTATCTTCAATCAAAGTACACGAGCTATGGACATATCTGGTATAAAAAATAATACCTATAACTTTGTATTATGTGGCTTTTACTATATGTAAGTGACATTTCCAAATACATGACTGTCACTTAATTTTAAAATGCATTACCACAGCAGAGAAGATATAATAATCACTTAAGAGTTACTTCTCAAGACTTATTTGAAAGGCTGAATAGAGCCATCTCCAATTACATAAGATGACAAAAGTATGAACAAACTTTCAAGATTCAAGAAGTGAGTTACCTCACTTAGAATAATAGTCTCTAATCCCATGGAAATAAAAAATAAAAACAATTAAAAAACAAAACCCAAAAAGATTTAAGAAGTGTTATGAGATTTCACACACTTTGAGAGACAGTATCAAACAGTTTGAATAGATCAGTTAGACAAAGAAAGATGTAGGGTAACTTACACAGGATGTTGCTATACAAGCTCCCCAGTCATTATAAGTTTCTACGGTAATATTGGACAGTGCTGTTCTAAGCAGAGGGCACAGAAGCTCCCAAAGCTTCTCCACCTACTCAAAACAAAATATATGGGTAAGAGTTAATGACACTCAGAACATTTTTCTTCAAATATCTTTCTTTACCTGGAAATGTACACACATACAGGTATATCATTTAAATTATTTTTGAGACATGGTCTCATGCTATTGCCCAGGCTGGAGTGCAGTGGAATGATCATACCTCGATGTAGCCTTAGGCTTCTGAGCTCAAGTGATCCACTCGCTTCAGCCTTCCAAGGAGCATGGACTATAGGTGTGTGCCACTATGCCCTGAAATATTTTTTATGTTTTGTAAAAACAGGATCTTGCTATGTTGCCCAGGCTGGTCTTGAACTCCTAGCCTCAAGCAATCCTCTCACCTTGGCCTCCCAAAGTGCTGGAATTATAGGCATGAGCTAGCATGCCTGGCCCTAATTATTTTTTAGAGCACCCAAATAATCCAGCAAAGTACATTATCACCATACATATCCAGGTATAGGTGAAATTTTTTCCCAAAAAATATTCAGAAAAGAGTAAATACTTTGCATGGCGCTTTAAAAAGTATCTCTTGGCTGGGTGCAGTGGCTCCTGCCTGTAATCCGAGAACTTTGGGAGGCCAAGGCAGGAGGATCACTTGAAATCAGGAGTTCAAGATCAAGCTGGTCACATGGCGAAACCATGTCTCTACAAAAAAAATAAAGATTAGCTGAGCGTAGTGGCACATGCCTGTAATCCCAACTACTCGGGAGGCTGAGGCAGGAGAATTGCTTGAACCTGGGAGGCAGAGGTTGCAGTGAGCCGAGATCATCCCACTGCATTCCAGCCTAAGCAACGGAGCAAGACTCCGTCTAAAAAAACAAAACAAAACAAATCTCTCATATGACTGATGTGTTCTTAAAAATCTTGTATAATAGTACGCTAGGCTGAAACAAAACCTCAATCAAGTTTTCCATGTTTATCAAGATCATTTGATTAAACCTTAAAGAGGCAATGACATTTTAATTTAATTTAGTAATCAGCCTGAGATATAATCTTCAAATTCCAAGTCTTGGATAAATAGCCCATAAAAACATGTACGTCGTACAGAGACTGCATTTACACACATAGATTTTCTCATAGGTTAATGAGCATACAAATCACCTTGAGGTCTTGATAAAATGCAGATTGATTCATGTCAAGTGGGCCTGAGATCTTACTTTCCTAAAAAGCTTCCAAGTGCTACCCCTGCTGCAGGTCCATGGACTGTATTTTAGTTAAAAAGGATATACCTTGATTTCATCATTACACATTGTGTGCATGTATCAAAATATCACATGTACCCCATAAACATGAACAGTTACTATTATTAATTTTTTAAGTTCCTAAAAAAATTTTGAATTTTTTTTTTTAAAAGAATGAATGAAGGCCAGGCACAGTAGCTCACACCTGTAATCCCAGCACTTTGGGAGGCCAAGGTAGGTGGAGTTCAAGAGCCAGGAGTTCGAGACCAGCCTGGCCACATGGAGAAACCCTGCCTCTATTAAAAATACAAAAATTAGCCTGACAAGGTGGCGCATGCCTGTAATCCCAGCTACTGAAGGTGGCTGAGGCATTGCTTGAACCCAGGGAGCAGAGGTTGCAGTGAGCAATGATCACACTACTGTACTCCAGCCTGGGCGATAGGGCGATAGAGTAAGACTGTCCAAAAAAAAAAAAAAAGAGAAGACAGACAGACAAGGAAGATGGACGGATGGATGGACAGACGGAAGGACAGATGGAAGGAAGGAAGGAAGGAAGGAATTCTTCAATCAGCAGGAAGGGTTTGAGACAAAATTTCCAGTGGCAGCACTGTTTTGATTTTATCAAAAAAAGCTTTATCTCAAAGAACATATAGGGATAGGAATTATGTTTTGCAAAACAGGTAACTCAAGAGTGGCTTTAGTAATGTAACGGATGACAAGAATACATGTGACATTTTAAAATAAAATTGTTTCTTGTAGGCAAAAGTGTTTGCAGTCCTCCTAAAAGGTGACCAAAAAACCCTATTTGTGTCATCTCTTCGACAAAATAGTGGTCTACCTTATGCTCAGGTGGTCCTGACATTTGACCAGGTTATTTTTAGTCTCGTGTATTTTGCTAATGAACTAACCTTAAAGGCAGGTGTGTGAAAACTATATCTTACAATTAAAAAGAGGGATACTCTAAAAGGGAGAGTCAAACTCCAACTGTCTAAAAGACTGGACAAGTAATATAAATGATAAGGAGGCTAAGAGAAAGGACTTAATGAGAAGCTGGAATGGCTTAATGAAGGGAGAAGCACACGTGCACCATCAGCAGAGTGACACAGTGCAATAATGTAGGACCAGTGTTCCAGGATCTTCCTCTTTTTCAAGAAACTGGAATTCTTTTTTAATTTTTTTTAAATTTTTTCCCCCAATGTGGATAAAAACTTCAAAAATTTAAAGATAGTAAATGTTCCTAGAGACCATTAGGCTGTAATCTGTAATCAAAAGCAATGTCTACATATCGGCATATTTCATATCACTGAAGATTTCATATTTTAATTATCAGTATCTAATGTGTTGGGAATTGCCACCAAAATGGGTAACATAGCTTTAACAGGAAATGTTCTGTACAAATATTAATACATCACCTTTTCAAATGTCCAGTGCTTAGAACCTCTGATTAAACCAGCTATAATTTCTGCAACACATCGCTGGGTGCTTTCATGTGAATCTGCAACCAAATGTTCTAAATGGGGCTTCAGAACTGGCAGGAAGGCATCATCAAAATTCCTGAATATACCCTATAAAAACAAAGACTGTTCTTCAGTACTCAAATGACTATCATCTCGATTATAATTATGCTTGTAATTATTCTGTACATTACTAACGTGCTTAAAAGCTCCAAGCACACTCCCCTTTAGAACTGCTTTAACAATTGCGGTAAGTTAAAATAGTAAGAATACTGTCATTTTAAATATCACATTAAAATGTAACCAATGAAACAAACATTAATAATCTCTCTAAGTATCACACCTCAAAAAAAGCAACTAAACATAAAAAACGCATGCAGTTTTGGGTATTTTTTTTCCTTCTAATGCCAATTACAACAAACATTAAAGATAAATACAGTCATCCCTAGGTGTATGTGGGGAAATGGTTTCAAGATCCCCACCCCAAAATACCAAAATGTTCAAGTCCATGACATAAAATGGTATTGTATTTGCATATAACCTATATACATCCTCCTGTATATTTTAAATCATCTTAAGAGTACTTTTAGGACCTAATACAATGCTTACTAATTGTATTATATATTAATGCTATGTCAATACTGGTTGTAATGTCTTGTTTAGGGAATAACGACAACAAAAGTCTGTACATGTTCAGTGTAAATTCCAGTGCCATTTTAGATCAAGGCAGATGGCTAGCTTTGATCAAATATTTATAAGTTATGAACCTACGAACTGAATAGTTACTAAGCATTACAAAGAGGATATGTAAACAATATAGTTACCTTAAAGAGGCAAAAACGTCGTGGATTAAACTTATCTTTTCCTTTTCTGTCTTCTAATGATAGAAAAGTAATTAACTGCTCAACAAATTTAGGATCAGAAAAATGATCAAATATAATCTGTTCTGCCTATAAAGTTAAAAAAAGAACAATATTCAGCGTTTAAAATCCACTTAAATACATGATTCTGAAAAAGTTAAAATTACAAGATTTTGATAGTCAAAAGCAGGCTGTATTTTTGTTTCCATGAATTCTTAGTTCTCATAGACTACAGTGATTTCTAAAACCAAGTACCTCCCTCTAAAAATGCTAAAACAGGAAGTTTTCCTTCAGATTCTCAAGTTTGAATCCTATTTCTCACACTGTGAATTAAAAATCAACAAATGTTCTGCTTGGGAAATGAAGACTGAAAGCCACTGTAACACCTGGTGTGCAATTTGTTAAAATCCCCAAAACTATAAGTCAAGCCCCAACAAATCACTTCCATATTTACCTAACACCAGAAGTTAAAAGGCAAACTGTTCAGAATCAGAAAAAGTTACAATACCATTAACTCAAGGACCAAGTACATAAACTTAAAAACCCTTTCTCAACTTTCTTTTTTTTCTTTTCTTTTTTTGGGACAGGGTCTCACTCTGTCATCCAGGCTGGAGTGCAGTGGTGCGATCATGGCTCATTGCAGTCTTGCCTTCCTCGGGTCGGGTAATTTTCCCACCTTAGCCTCCCAAGTAGCTGGGACTACAGGTGTGCACCACTACGCCCAGCTGATTTTTGTATTTTTTGTAGAGACAAGGTTTTGCCATGTTGCTCAGGATGGTCTCAAACTCCTGGGCTCAAGTGATCTACCTGCCTCAGACTTCCAAAGTGTTGGGATTACAGGCATGTGCCATGGCTCCCAGCCAAGTCAACTTTCAAAGTGAAGTAAATTAAATGAAGTTTAAGGAGTTTTAACTGAAATCTACCAACATGCATTTACGGAGATCCCATAATTTATATGCAATAGAAAACTAAAAATCAGTCATTAACTTTTCCTTCAAAACGCTTGTATCAGAACTGATACAAGAAATGAGCAGCAAATTACATAAAGCAGTAGCCAACGGAGGGCTGAATGGGGTAGTAACTCAGTCTTAGATACATCAACATCTATGTCAACTGGCACTAGTATGAAGGGGTTGAGGAGAATGGATTACATAGTCACCAATATTTATGCAGTGCTATACAGAAAAACACAAATTGTATTAAGAAAAAAAAGAAGAAGAAGAACTGAAGTGAGGTTGAGATAAATCAGTGGCCCAAAACAAGATGCATTTGAACCATGGTGAAATGGAATGCTTACCTCTGTCATATCCTCCCTGCTTCTGCCAAGCTTAGGCTGCTCTTCCACACCAGCATAAACAACCATATTCCTATATAGTAAGAGTTCATATTTATCATACGCATAGAAAAAAATATTAGAGCTTCATGGATAGAAAGCATTAGAAGGCACTTTTAATGAACTCTAACTAGATGCTAAGTTTGGGGAGATGAGTACAGCAGTAACAGTCTAGGCCTTAAAAATCTATCAGATCACTGTGTCCTAATGACAAATGGAGTAAATAAGGAGAGAAAAATATGTATTTCTCTGGGCTGGTTTAGGCATATGTATTATTAATAGGTAGGAATATAATTTAGAGCAGCTATTAATAACCTCCTTAGCCATATAACCATGGGATTCAGAAAGGCTAAGGGTTTTTGCACAAGGAAAGAGGCAGGAATGAGGCATAGCATTGGCAGGAGCAAAAGAAAGAGAGGACTAGGGAAGGGGAAAGATAAAAGAACCTTCAAGTGCCTCTGAACCTCCCCAGAAACCAAAATATGATAAAGCAGTTATATCAAAGGCATTTAATGATAAGGTGCACAGTAAGTTACTTACTTTGGCCAGGTGTAGTATCCCCAGTGAGTTTTTTCCACAAAGCAACTTGACTCCCATTCTTTTTTAGTTCTTGGTATAGTTTTGCTGTCATAATGCAACCAATGATTATCAGGCCTATCACCAGCAATAATTTGGGTGGGTTTAGGGCATCCACCTAAGGAAAAGACAATCACATTTGATGAATTTAAAAATATTCGCCCAACAATTATTACCAAATTTCAATCAACAGTACCAGCATAACTTTGTCTTCACAAAACAACACTACAAAAATAACATTAAGATAACATATATATGAGCAATTGGAGGCACATTTCAAAACAGAGTAGATGGCATTATCTACTAAATTGTGTTGAATCAGTTATTTTGGGGGAGAGATCAAGTATGAAACACACTTCATTCCTTTTACCAAAATTAAAAGGATTAATTTTGTTTAAACTATTTAGATTTGAAATAATAATTTCAGACTTACAGAGCTCAAAAAATTCCCACATCTTTTACTGAGACACCCAAATTTTGACATTTTACCATGCATACTTTGATATTCTCTCTCTCTCCACACATACTTATCTAAACTATGAGTATAAACTGTAGACATCATCTCAAATAATCAAAATACAATTCTCAAAAAAGCTTTCATTAATACAGTAAAATTATTTCATCAACAGACTTTACTCAAATTTTGACAGTTGTCCCACTGAATGTACTTTATATGAAAAAAATTAAAACATTTTCTTCTGGACTATAATCCAATCCAGGATTAAACATTGCATTAAAGGAAACTAAAGATACCATACAATTTAAATGCAATGTTTTAATCCTGGATTGGAGACCAGAAAAAAATGGTTTTTTCTTCTGAAAAATTCTGGTAATACAATAAGGTATGAGGAAGAAAATTCACCTTGTCCCTAATCCCACCACCCAAAGAGAAACATTTAACAAATTAATAACAGCAATTTAAGTCTTTGAAATACAGTTGATAAAATAATTAGTATAATTGCTTAGTAGGTGAGATAAATATGAAGGCAGAAAGAGTCAATCTATTTTTGTAAATAGTTATCACTAGCTTTTACTAAGTCAACTGTTTCCTTCATAATATTATTTATATTTTGTGTTAATATCCATAGAACAATATTTGAGGTCAAGAACTAGAATTTATACATGTCAAGAAAATTTTCTGAGTTTTATTGGAAAGCACTATTAATTACTTCTGGTAGTACTCACTGATTTCACAGGGGTTAATGGTCAGCTTTTTGTGGGTTCTTTTTAGCTGTTTAAGGATACCAGCAACAGCTGAGATAGCCATCTAGAAAAGGAAAAAGGTACACATTCATAAAAAAAAGTTTAAATCACTTAACTGGTTGTCTGCTTTACTCAAAGCAGAAATAGGATTCTGTTTCTTTAAAAAAACACCTCGCCTATCGACATCTGGCAGTACATCCATGTGAGTGCTAAATCTGACTTAGAATGAATCATAGGCAGTTCTTACTCTACAGTCTTGACACATGCTAGTCTCTCTGCCTAGAAAACTTTGACCCCTTCTTTGTTAAACCAATACCTGCTCATTCTTCAAATCTTAGCCTCAGGGTTTTTTTTTTTTTTTTTTTTGACAGAGTTTTCACTCTTGTTGCCCAGGCTGTAGTGCAATGGCACAATCTCAGCTCACTGCAACCTCCCCCTCCCGGGTTCAAGCGATTCTACTGCCTCAGCCTCCCAAGTAGGTGGGATTACAGGCGTGTGCCACCATGCCCAGCTAATTTTGTACTTCTAGTAGAGACAGGGTTTCTCCATGTTGGTCAGGCTGGTCTTGAACTCCTGACCTCAGGTGATCCACCTGCCTCAGCCTCCCAAAGTGCTGGGATTACAGGCATGAGCCACCAAGCCCTGCCCAGCCTCAGGGTATTTTTAAAGGTCTTTCTCCAATGCTTCAGCTTAGGCCATCTCCCCAACCCCCACCTCACCTCTAACACTTGGAGAGTAAAAAGCTATACCCTCGAGTTTCTTGCCCCTCCTGAAACACACTGCACACCTAATTTTCTAATTGTTAAATCTTTCCCATTAGCCTATAAACTTATTTCCTGCTATATCCCCAGTCTTTTAAACAGAGTGCCTAAACATGTTCATTTGTTAGATGAATCATTATCATCTCTGAATCAACAGGGGGAGATTTCAAATCAATACACTTCAAGATATTTATTAACCAAGTGTGTATTGCTTGTGAAGAATTTAAAGACTTCAGGTCACGTACATATTCTCAAACCCAAGACTGTAGCTAAAACAAGGTATGTACCTTTCGAACTACAATTGCATCATGGTTGAGATTCTCAACAAAAAACCGTATGGCACGAAGAGGCAACACTCGGTCATCTCTCAGCAGTAGAGACAGAAGCCCAATGCCTATATGTTCAAATTTCCAGGGCCTTAAAAGGAGGAAAAATAACAAAGCATATCACACATAAAACCACTTGGAAAAAAAAAACTGTATGTGAAACACCTTATAATTTTAAATTTCTCAAGAATTAAAATAGGTCTAGTGAAGAATACTGCTCCTATCATTAATCCCAAACTTTCCCTCCATCTCTTTTCCTCTTAATCTGCTTCCAAATACACAAACCGGAATATAACTTTTTGTGACATAGTCATTCATAGCCTTCCATGTAGAAAACTCCTATAGTATTTATGAAAAATGCTGTGAGAATTACAAAAATCTTTTGCACTTACAGGTTTCTTTGCTCCACACCATCTAGCAAGGTGTCTACCAAATTTTCATAGTTCCTTTAAAAAAAAGGTGAGGTATTATTTTACTATAATACTAAAATGAACATCAAAAATATAATAGAAATTCAAATTCTAGCCAATTTCACCCTCCTTCCCCACTTACTTCCCACCACCTGACTGTAAACGGCCTGATGAGAAGCAAGCCAGAATGAAAGTAGACAGGTGAACAGAGATGCTGGGAAAAGCTCATGAAAGGCTAGGAAGAGTGAACTCAACTTTTCCTGAATGGACATGCACAAGTAACTCTGTAAGTAGTAATCAATTAATTGGGAGTGGCACACACACACACACACACACACACACACACACACACACGATACACCAGGTTTCTGAAATATATTAGGTAGGCTATAAGAGTTTATTATTTATAGACATTTTAGAAAACAACAAAGAGGTATATTCATATACTAATTATAAGGCAAAGACAAAATCAAGTTAGGAAGACTCTTGCTTGAGTGTTATCAGTGAAGCATTTAAGTGCTTTGGTATCAAGAATCCAAAAACAGTTTATTAAAATCCTGATACCAAATTTGACCAATAAGTTATTACTATTATAAGAACTATTAAATGATACATCTGCTAAACTTGAATTTAGGAATTAATGACTGATGTGTACCAGTTATGTAGTTTCTGAAATATTACTACCTTAAAAAAACAAAAAAAGAAAGATAATTCACTAGAAAAAAAAAGATAGGACAGTGAAATAACTTTTTGTTTTGTTTATTTGAGACAGGGTCTTGCTCTGTTACCAGGCTGAACTGCAGGGGCACGATCTCTGCTCACTGTAACCTCTGCCTCCCAGGTTCAAGCGATCCTCCCACCTTAGCCTCCCGAGTAGCTGGGACTGTAGGCGCGTGCCACCATGCCAGGCTAAATTTTTGTTTTTTTTGTATAGACAGGGTTTCACCATGTTGCCCAGGCTGGTCTTGAACTCCTTAGCTCAAGTGATCTTCCCACCTCAGCCTCCCAAAGTGCTGGGATAACAGGCATAAGCCACCGTGCTCGGCCTTATTTTTAAGATGGTGTTTTATACCTCCATAGCTTAAAAAGGAAAAACAGGAATCTGTGTAGTAATTACTTCTCAACTTTTTTGTATTTTTTTCAGAAGTCAATGTGTAAACATCATTAAGCAGTTATGTTATACATCTATATTTTAGAGATGTTAAAAACTTACTATCGGCCAGGCGCAGTGGCTCATGCCTGTAATCCCAGCACTTTGGGAGCCCGAGGTGGGCAGATCACTTGAGGCCAGGAGTTCGAGACCCGCCTGGCCAATGTGGTAAAACCCTGTCTCTACTAAAAATACAAAAATTAGCTGGGTGTGGTGGTGCATGCCTGTAATCTCAGCTACTCGGGAGGCTGACGCATGAGAAGAGCTTAAACCCAGGAGGTGAAGGTTGCAGTGAGCCATGATCGTCTCACTGTACTCCAGCCTGGGCAACAGAGCAAGACTCTGTCTCAAAAAAAAGCCAAAACTTACTATCTATAATGTCATCTATTGAAGTACACCATTCATCAATTACCTTAGGGCATCGGCATTCTTTTCCTGTTGGCGTTTAATTCCTTCCTTAATTTTTTCTGGGCTAAGCAATATCTGGTTGATAGAGGGGTTTTTTGACTGTTGAAGTAATTCCGCTATTTCAACACATGACTTTGGAATCTTGTTAAAAAGAAAAAAGCAGGAAAAAAAATGAAGTTCTGATGCATACTACCTGAACGAACCTTGAAAATGTCATGCTAAGTGAAAGAGGCCAGACACAAAAGTCCACATATTTTACGATTCCATTTATATGAAATATCTAATAATGGGCAAATTTATTGACAGAGAAAGTGGTTTCCAGGGGTTTGGGGTATGGAAGAATGGGAAGCGACTGCTATTAGGTACTTGTTTTCTTTTGGGGTGATGAAAACATTGTGGAGGCCAGACATGGTGGCTCATCTCTGTAATCCTAGCACTTTGGGAGGTCAAGGTGAGGGGACTGCTTGAGGCCATGAGTTTGAGACCAGCCCGGGGAACACAGCAAGACCCCTGTCTCTCTCTCAAAAAAAAAAAAACAACTTAAATTAGCTGGGTGTAGTGGTGCACACCTATAGTCCTAGTTACTAGGAAGGCTGAGGCAGGGGATGATTATGCCACTGCACTCTAGCCTTGGGGGACAGAATGAGACAGAATGAGAATGAGAAACAAAGAAAAAGGAAAATGTTCTGGAATTTGAGTAGTTACACAGCCCTGTGAATATTCTACTGTGCATATAACATGTCCATATTAAAAGGGTGATATTTATGATATGTGAATTACATCTCAATTAAAATTTTTCTTCTAAAAAATAAAGTATAATCTAATGACAGTCGCAAATAGCAACCCTATGTTTGATTTAAAAGGAATACATTTAGAACAGTGGTTTTTAAACCAGGGGAGAGATGTCAACCATAGTCACGCCAGCCAAGAGGGTGATTCTGCTGTGCTCACCCTTCTTTTACTCACCCCCATGTTCTGAGGGAGTATAAATACAGATTTGCAAGTTCCTAGAAAATCTGCTATAACTCTCAACCTAAGCACCACTGAAAGTTATATTCTTTAGTCTTTCGAGTCAAATCATTCAATTTTAGTTTTCTTCACTATAAATTACGAACCCAGTAGTCGATCTTTTGCGACTTTGGCTAGCATGGTAAACCTCATAAAATATAATTAACTCTTTGAAAAATGAAGCTGTGGGCACACACAAAATAAGGGTAAATATAACAAATCAATAACCCTTTGTGGAGCCCTGGCTGTCTCCCTACCATGCTCCAACTTGCTACTTCACCCTGTTATGTACAATAATGATCAATGAAAGTACAAAAAGCAAACAGGTAACAAACGCTTTTTTAAAAAAACACTGGACTCAAATGCCAAGAATATTATTACTGGAAAAAGGGCAAGAAAAATAAAGGGCATTTTAACAAGACAGGATTTACACTAAAACTTGAATGAAAGAATGATATTGCTTACTGTGAAGTCCAAGCCAATTGTTTCATACTGCCTATGAATCTTTTCTGCAAGATCATCAAACAATCTCACTATTGATGGCTTTTCCAGGGACATTGCTTGGCTAAGCCCTGAAGAAACAATCGCTGGCCACGTCTGTACAATACAGTCCCAATCATGAAGGTTTGCCAAGCACACACCACTGTGATTTCCAAGGAGACAGTACAAGGCACCCTGCAGAAAAAAAAATATATATATGTTTACATGGGAAATAAGAGGCATCATGTAGTTGTAGCCAATGCACCTATGTATTGGTTTTAAATGAGTATTGATTACTTAAATGCTTAATATTGGTTAGTAAAATATGTTCACACATTTAACATGTTACTTTTTAGAAATCTGAACTTGACATTTAGGTGATATCCATTAATATTTTCTCTAAGTCATTTAATAAAGAGTTTGGGACAGGTGAGGTGGCTCACGCCTGTAATTCTTGCATTTTGGGAGGCCAAATAAGGCAGACTGGTTGAGCTCAGGAGTTTGAGAGCCTGGGCAACATGGTGAAACCTCTTCTCTATAAAAAATACAAAAATTAGCTGGGCATGGTGGCACACACCTGTGGTCCCAGCTCCTCAGGAGGCTGAGGTGGGAGGATCACTTAAGCCCAAGAGGTTGAGGCTACAATGAGCCATGCCTGTGCCACTGTACTCCAGCTTAGGTGACACAGCAGGACCCTGTCTCCAAAAAGAAAAAAAGAAATTGTTCAAAGAATGGCTACTAATAAGGTAATAAAGAAATGGAAGGATGTTTCTAAGAACATATATTCCATTCTGATTTTCTTCAACTGTATCATAAAAACCACAACATGTGTCACTCTTAAAATTTTAGAGTCTGAAGTTTGGTGTTTGAAATAATTTATTAAATATTAGTTAACACCTGGTTGCTGAGTAATTTACAAAGTACATAAAAACTAAAGTATACTGCATATTTATTACTCATAAAAGTCCAATTAACCACAATGATTCTGATGACAGCAGGTATCCTTTGATGACAGCAGGTATCCTTTCTAAAGTGCTTTTTCATAAAAAGTTTTTACTATCAAAACTTTTGATTTCCAATTTACCTCACCTGATTCCAATCTAGCTTATTACTGACTTTGTATTCCACTCCTCTACAGGTTCTCTATAAGGTCACTCATAACCTCGATTTTGTTGATCTAATAGATATTTTTCTGTTTTGATTGTACTTGACCTCTCTAATTTTGTCCATTTAAACTGCTCTCATTAAGGTCAACAACAGAATAGTCAATGAGTCAAACCTACAACACTCTTGAATTATACATCTGCACCAGGGGTCAGCAAACATTTTCCATAAACGGCCAGAAAGCAAACAGCAAAGCCATTTGCTCTCTGTCTCAACTACTCTTCTCTGCCACTGTAGAGTGAAAGTAGCCATACATAATATATAAATGAATGAACATGGCTGTGTTTCAAGAAGTTTTAAAAAAGCAAGCTTTTACTTTTACAAAAGCAAGCAACTGAGCCTGAGCTATAGTTTATTGACACCTCTGTCTTACAAGCTTCATGGAAGATGTTTAGGGCTCGTCTTCATTATCTCCAAAAAACAATGACTCTACTCACTGAGTCTTCCTTCTAGAAAGACCTCTCCCTGCCTTCTGTGATTCTTCCCGATTTCTTGATACCTTTCTGACCTCTCCAGGGTCACTCAGCTCTTCTATTTGGCTTCTAAAGGAGTTTCTCAACATATGCCCCTTGGTCCTCTTCTTATTCTCCTCCTAGGCTTTCTTATCCATGCCCATAGATTTCAATTATAATCAACATACATGGAAATGGTATCTTCGGACTCAGATGTCTAACTGCCCACTTGATGGTGCTCTTAGGTCATTGGAACCACTTCAAATTAAACTAGTCCAAATTAACTATGTCATCATCTAACTACTCTCTCTCTCTCTCTGATGTGCCCAGCAACTAGTTGTACGATCCAAAAGCTTAGTAACTTTGACATTTCCTTTTTTCAGTCCCCTCATATTCAATCAACAAGTCCCATCCGTTCTCACTCTTAATTCACTCTCAATCTATTTCTTTCTACCTGACAGTATAAGCAATCATTATATATTACCTATACTTTATTACATCCCCATAGGATGTAGTATTTGCCTTATCCTGTATAATTTCCTTTCTTCTCTACTCCAATTGCATAAGCTTTCATACCACTGCTCAAACTTACCATATTTCTTCCTTCCTGTCTTAAGCCCTTCCTTCACACTGGTCATACTACTCTAAACTTCTTGGTCTTTCATCCCTCTCTCCCATATGCCAGCCAGGCTACTTGGCCACTAGCACTCAAGTTAAACAATTATTTTCCTCAGGAAAGTCTGCTTCTTATATTTTCTTCATCATAATACTGATCACAAACAGAGGTAAATAACTAAATAATGAGTCTCCTCATATTAGTATGAAACAAAGATCATACCTGTTTAAAGGTGAATCGTGCTGATATCTTCAATTTACTTTGAAATACATTAAAAAAAAGAACAGATATGCGATAAAGCAAATACAGCAAAATCTTAAATACAGAATCTCAGTGGTGAAGAAGATATGGATGTTTACCGTAGAATTTTTTCAGCTTTTCAGTATGTTTGAAAATGTTTACAGTAAAATAGGAAAAAAACCCTATACCTTGAATTGTTGCTGTGTAACACCTTGTCTATCAGGCCTTAAGAACTCCAAAACCAAGGGAATGATATCTCTGCAACAGAAGTTATATGCTCCCAAGGCAGCAAAAAATGTTTGCTGAGCCTTATTTCTCACCTGGAGGAAGTATTATTAACAAAGGACTTTTATTAAATAGTAAAGTACAAAGCAGTTTAAAACAAATTATCAAAAACAGTAATGATAATTTACATGTTTTTCTCATTAACAAAATAAATTTCAAAGCACGTACCCTAAAAAAGAAGTAAATGATTATCTTTACTTATATCAAAAGGAAAGCACAATACCACCGACCATATCCATGGTTTAGGTTACACTGACTGAAATATGTTTGATAAAGGGGAGACTGAATGGAACCTATATGCATTTGCTCAGTAACATAGCTAAAAGTAATCAGCATACTACTAAACTTTTTATTCTGAATTATTCTAGATATAAAGAGCCAGATTTTCTCTTATGTCCACATGAGGAAAATTAAAGAATTTCCAGGAGGAACTAAAATAAACCAAAACAGACACATAACAACTTAACCCTTTTAAGGCAAACCTTAAGTACAATCTCACATATTTTTGACCCAAACAAAATATTCAGTATAAATTTACAACTTATGAACTAGTTAAATAGTAATGGATAATAACTGGTTATAGTAGGATGGGCGCAGTGGCTCACGTCTGTAATCCCAGCACTTTGGGAGGCTGAGGTGGGTGGATCACCTGAGGTCAGGAGTTAGAGACCAGCCTGGCCAACATGGTGAAACCCCGTCTCTACTAAAAATACAAAATTAGCCAGGCATGGTGGTGCGTGCCTGTAGTCCCAGCTACCGGGGAGGCTGAGGCAGGAGAATTGCTGGAACTCAGGCGGCGGAGGTTGCAGTGAACCAAGATCGTGCCACTGCACTCCAGCCTGGGTGACAGAGCGAGACTCCGTCTCAAACAAACAAAAAAAGAGTTTGAAATATGTACAATGTGTTGCTTTTACTATAACCAGTTTTTTTTTTTTTCCTGCTCTGTCACCCAGGCTGGAGTGCAGTGGCACCATCTCGGCTCACTGCAACCTCCGCCTCCCAGGGTTCAAGCAACTCTCCTGCCTTAGCCTCCGTGTAGCTGGGACTATAGGCGCATGCCACCACGCCTGGCTAATTTTTGTATTTTTAGTAGGGAGGGGGTTTCACCATGTTGCCAGGCTGGTCTTGAACTGATCTCAAGTGATCCACCTGCCTTGGCCTCCCACCCACAGTGTTGGGATTACAGGCATAAGCCACCACACCCGGCCTCAAACTCATTTTAAACATTACTTTAGAGGGAATCTCTGAGCTAGAGATTAGTTACAGGTTGAGTATCCTTTATCTAAAATGTTCAGGTAGCCGGGCATGGTGGCTCACACCTGTAATCCCAATACCATGGGAGGCCCAGGCAGGCAGATCGCTTGAGCCCAGGAGTTCGAGGCCAGCCTGGGCAATACAACGAGACCTTATCTCTATTAAAAATGAAAAAAATTAGTCCAGCATGGTGGCGCATGCCTGTAATCCCAGCTATTTGGGAGGCTGAGATAAGACGATCGCTTGAGCTCAAGCCCAAGGCTACAAGGCTTGAGTTCAAGACCTGAGTTCATGGTGATGTACGCCTATAATCCCAGCTATTTAGAAAGCTGAGGTGAGACAATCGCTTGAGCTCAAGCTCAAGGCTTGAGTTCAAGGCTACAGTGGGCTGTGATCACACCACTGCACTGCAGCCTGGGTAACAGAGAGAGACCTTGTCTCAAAAAATAAAAATAAAGTAAAATAAAATGCTCAGGACCAGAAATGTTTTGGATTTGAGATTTTTTTCACATTTTGAAACATGTGGATTATAAACTTCCTGGGTGATCATCCCAAATCCAAAAATCTGAAATCTGTAACGCTCCAATAAACATTTCCTTTGAGCATCATGTTGGTGCTCAAAAAGTTTTGGATTCTGGAGTATTTTGGGTTTCCAATGCTTAACCTGTAGTTAATTTACATTATTTCATAAAGATAGAATAATTAGTTGCACATGAATCTCTTTTTCCACTTTTCTGTGCTTGCAGATAATCTCTTGTTCCTACACTAAAGGACAGACCTCACAATTCATGTGGTAGCAGCTTCCTAAAACCCAAGCTTAATGTCTAGGAGGAATTATGTGGCCTTCGTAGACTGGGCTTCAAAATGTGATTGAAGTGCCAGCAATATCACACTAGCACTGTCTTCCAAATTTAAATAAATGAGAAGCAATTACAAACAGCAACATTAAGCATTACAAAAAAATGACTAGCAACCTTAGCTTGAATATATTTGCAATTTGAAAGCTGTTTTCTATGCTAACATGAGTTAAGAGAGCCTAGCTTTTGGTCCTGGTTTTATTACTTCCTGGAGGTAATTACTGGAAATTACAATTTCCAATAATTGAGAGAATAATTCCAATTATGGGTGAAATTATTTAAACTCTCTTCTTAAAAGGGGGATATTAAGATTGCATGTAATAAAATGGGAGGGCATGAGAGTGCAGCGTTTGGATAAGCCTTACCTGACTGTATGAACTTGTAGATAAACGAAGAAGATCTCTGATCATATCTTGATGTATCTTTTTGTATTCACAACCCTCAACAGTTAGTGTCCGTAGCTAAGAAAACAATCGCAAACATTTACTAAAATTTGATTATGAAAACAAAACTAAATACTCATCTGGAAAATTGACATTTTAAAAAGTCACTATGACTGAAAAACATATTTACCTCATGCTGTAACATTACTCTATCAATCAACAGTGCTCTGATATGTTGTTTTTTCCCATGGAGCTGGAAAACAAAGTAGCAACAAATACTTCAACATTTTCCCTAAATGACTTCAACAATGGATGCCTCTAAATACCTTAATAAGTGGTCAAAAAGGTCCCTGGTTGACTGGTGAGTGGTGGTGGTATTTCCTTTATTCTAAAGACATCAGGCTTATATAAAAATGTTGTCTTAATTTTTATGGCTAACAGTAGAAATATCCCCCTTTTAAATAGCCCATCCAACACCCTGTTTTTCTCTGATAGTTTACTATTAGACCCATGCATGGGAGAGCAACAGAGTTGTGTTCTTATTCAGTTAAATACTGAAAGTACAAAAACAGCCTACTAAGACAATTGCTCAACTCTCTTAAATCTACAAATAGCCATAGCCTTTCAGGGTAATCAAATATGTTTACTACAAAATTTAATAATAATATCTTTTCTAAAAGTTATCATTTAAGCTTTTATCCATATAATCTTCCACCTGGTCACCAAAGGCAGATAGTTGAGGCTCAAAGACTCTTCTTCTTTCACACCACAGTTCCTTAGTCATTAAGCCCCCCAATTCTACCATTTTCAAAACATGTTATTTCCATTTCAATACCACTGACTTGACTTAGGCTGTGTTTTTCACCTGGAGTGAAACAGTTTAACTCCCTTTCTTGCTTACAGTATCAATCTCTTTGTACTTACTGTTCACAGTGGTGGCAGAGCTTTTTAATGTTTAGTGAATTGAGTGTTGACTTTTCCAATCAATATTCAAATCAGATCTACTTAAGAACTGTTAATGACTCTCCTACTGCTGAATATAAAACTGAAACACTTTCTCAAAACAAAGTATAAGCAACCTAGTTTACCCTCTACAGCCCCTGGCCCCTAAAAGCATGCCATGTTTTTATATCTCCTTGCCCTTTTACATGCCATTCCTTCTGTCTAAAGTATCTAGCAACTGTTGTCTAAACAATGAACTCATACAACCTTTTTAGACTCAATTTCAGTAAAAGTTTCTGGCGTAAGAATTCTGCCATGAACATCTCTTGGCTTACACTGATACTCTTTCTTCCAAGGCCCCAAAGAAGCTTACAATGACTTCTGCAGCTGAATATAATACAGGGTAACTTTTTCTCAGATCTACATAAAGTGTAATGCTTTAAATTCATGCCCATAGATAATTCCTCCTATTTTTAAATTCCTTCAAGTTCTTACAAGGTAGTCTCAATGCTATTGTCCAAATTCCCATTGAGAGTTTAGAGACTGTCATGGAAACAGGCAGAAGATTCTGTATAAGAAAAATATATTTTTTGCTAGGATCCATTTGATTTCTACCATGATGTTTTTAACTTTTACATACTTTTAAATCTACTATTTTTCCTTTTAGGAAAACTTCTTCTATATGCTGAATAATACCCAAATTACGAGGTTATTATACGACTTTAAAACAATTAGTGCAGACTTTTAGGTGAAAATACTGACCCGATTTTCCATTGATTTCTTTACTAAGTTGAAGCTTTTCCATCGGGAGTCAAATTCATGCTTGTGAGATCCTTGGAATTGTAAAAGGTCTCCAATAATCTGTGTCAAAGAATTTCAAATTGTATTTGCAAGTCATCAATCCAAGCTTGATCGTATTAATCATTATGCAACTATCAAATGACAAATGTACCTTTATAATAAGAAACAATGACTTAGTATCATCTTCTGAATTATCAAGTATGTGGTCTATAATGGAAGAAAGAAAAGGATTTTGGTTAAAATATTTTGAACTACTATAAGAATCTTGAGGCATTAGTCAAGAATCTATTAAGAAAAAAAATCACTGCCCAATATTCTCACCATTTAGAATAAAAAACATTAAGTAAACACATGCATGTTATAGATTAAAATTCCAAAATACTTATTCCAAAGTACAAATAAGTTAAATGTACAGATACACTTACTAAGAAGTTTCCTTATAACTGTAGCAATTACTTCTCGGTGGTTCTCTCGAGACAGATCTATTTTGAAAAAATAAAAGAAGGTATTTTAGACACTGAATGCTCCTCAGACTTTTAAAGTTTATATCAACAGGTTAGGTCAAGGAGGGATAAAGTATTGGAGAAAAAAATAGGTCTGCCTTTACCATAGTTGAATTAATGGCTAGGCATGCTACAGCAACTTCTAAAACCTCTACACTTAAATGACCTGCTTATGAGATGTCTATCATGCTTCAAGATAAAGAAAAATAATAATAATAAAAAATAGATAAAATGACCTGCTTATAAAACTTCATGGGGCAAGAAGGTTGGAGAGGCGAGGGAAAGAAAAACCACCTTTGCCAATATTTCAAAGGCTCTAGTCACTAATTAGAGATTAAAATACATGGAATTTTCTAATTAGTTGTGGGTGACGTAAATCAAGCAATTACAGCCTAGCAATTAATGTATGTAACTTTGGTGTTAATCCAGCGATGAGAAAGGGTGCTAAATTTCTATTAGATTTAGAACATTAACAATAAAATGTTTTACATAAATGTTATTATAAAACTTAATTTACTATGATAGGAAGGTATAAAGTTTTTTTAAATATAGGGTTACAATATTCGTATTTACACCAAGTATAACATATAAGTGCTAGAATAATTTTAAACATAAATGAGCATTATGATATATAAAAGCCTACCTCTGTACATAGCATTCAAATACAGACTGACCCAATTTCTTACTGGCTATTCTTTATACAATAATTTTCCAGTTTCTCCAGAAAAGGCAAAAATGACTACTGTATAATTAATATTCTTTTCATATATCAAAAAAGAGATTAGGAACATCATAATACAAAACTACTTCATTTTAGGCCGGGCAGGGTGGCTCACGGTTGTAATCCCCCAGCACTCTGGGAAGCGGAGGTGGGTAGATCACTTGATGTCAGGAGCTGGAGACCAGCCTGGCCACCACGGTGAAACTCTGTCTCTACTAAAAATATAAAACTTAGCTGGGCTTGGTGGTGCACACCTGTAATCCTAGCTATTTGGGAGGCTGGAGCAGGAGAATCGTTTGAATCTGGGAGGCAGGGAGGCAGGGGTTGCAGTGAGCAGAGATCGCGTCACCACACTCCAGCCTGGGAGACAGAGTGAGACTCTGTCTCAAAACAAAACAAAACAAAAACACTACTTCATACTTCATTTTAGTCCTTGTGGAGTTACTGACAAAAATAATCCACACAGATTTACTCAGATTAGGATTCACATACCATATTCAAGTCCAGTATACAACTTTGTCTCTTCCAAGGACACCATACTTGGTACTCTGTATAAAAACAAGAGTGCTTGCATTTATTAATAATACCAATATGAAGTATTAAAGGGAAAAGTTTCATTGCTGGACTGTTTAAACCAAAACAAAGATAATGTTCTTTTAACAGACACAGATTTCCCATCTTCAATGGGAAAAATCAATCTATCTTTCTCAAGATGAATGCTGTTTCAGTAAGAATCATGTTATTCAACTTAAAGAAAAAATTTAGTGACTTCAGGAGGCCTCCTAAAGGAACATAATATTGATATCCAATACTCAAATGTAAAAGATTAAATATGATAAACCTTTACATAAAGAAAAGTCAGCTTAATAATGGCACAACAGTTAAAACAAATTTTACTAAAGCATATAGAGCTGACAAGCTTATTTAGATAATCATTACCTTCCTCTTAAAATCAGTCAAAAACATCTCTCCTAATGTGCAGTAATAAGACACTCTTTTTGAAGAAATTCAGGTATAAAAATCACTGTTTCCTAATTAAAGATCTGCCATAAAGAATTATGATACCACAACCAGAGGCTACCCTGAGCCTATAAGCGGTAGCCCTGCTCCACAAGGCTACCACAACCAGACCCAGCCAGTTAAATTCATTGAACAGTTAAAAGTCACTTTTTACATATGCAAGGACAGATTTTATAGGAAAATGAGAATTGACATATCTGAAATCTACATTTTCTTTAGTGAAAAATATACCTCAATTTTCAATACTTTATTTCAAAATATGAGATTTAATTCAAAGCTTTTATTAATCAAAGAGATACATTCTAAAAGGAAAAAAAGGCACAAATCAGGCAAGCATATACAGAGTTAATAAACAGCAATCTTATTATTATTACTAATCACCAATGAACTGCACAAGACTTGCCATGAAGAAAATACTATTTTTAAATCAACACATCCCCAGCTATATTGTATACCCTCAAAAAGTAGCTGAATTAAATGGGTTATCTCTACCTTAATATTTGACAGTTATGAATTCAGGTATTTATCTAAGTAATAGGTAAAAACATATTTCTAAAATGTCAGTTATTTAACTATGTTTCTCACCATAACCCAGTACAGAGGATAGCAACAATACCTTCTCAAGTTTCAAAACCAAGCCCATAGAGTATAAACAAAGAATGGCTTCTTTTTCACTAACTTACTTCAAAGCTTATTAATATTGTATATTAATAGTATCAAACGTTAATTTGCTTTTTCAGACTTTCAAGACCAAATTCCTCTTAAAATTTTGTTTTCCTTCTATAAAGCTTCAACCACTGGCAAACCTGAGCATCTTAAATATTTTTGCATGATCAAAAATATGTATGTATCCAAAATCTGTTAGTAAAAAATAAAATCAGATTCCTTTACATGAACGTTATGTCTTTACTGAAATTAGATTTCACCAAAGAGAAAAGGCCTGTACTCAAGAGTAACAAGAATAAAGCACAAGAGAGTTCCCACCCTCCCCCCGCCCACTGTTAGAGCAGGGGAAGTGCTTGCTATGAGCCATCCTATTAGAGTATGTGTCTCCCCACTGCTGCCATAAACACTTAGTTTTCTGAAGTAGAAATATACAGTCTGCAGCTTATGCAGTCTGTATCTAATGCCATATAATATTAAATCAAGCATGAATTTTAATTACTGTCACTTTAGTTACTGTCATATTATACAAATTAAAAAAAGCATTCTTTATAACCAATTATTCTCCATAGTTTTTACTATATCTAAAAAGCCTGTCATTTGGGAATTTAAAGTTTTTCAAACAAGTTTCATCTAAGAGTCCTGACACCAAATTTCTTAAAATCCATGTGACACTTTGAATTGTTTTCTTATCAGGGAATTTGAAAAATAATCATTTATGCTGACTACTTTAAAAAATCCTGTATAAGATTGTAAAATATTAAGTAATGTATTTAAATAAAAGCCTTATCTTCTTCCTCGACTTTTAAAACTTGGATTAAAATACAGCTTCCATATCTCCTACACAGAGGTGACCCTTGAACAACACAGGTGTGGGTCTACTTACACGCAGATTTTTTTTTCAACTAAATGTATTAGCCAGATGAGAAATCTACACATATGGAGGGCTGACTTTTCCTGTATGTGAGCTCTACAGGGCCTACTGTGGCACTTGAGTATGAATGTATTTTGGTATGCTGTAGGTCCAATCCCCTAACTTCACCAAGGGAAGACTATATATAGGACATATCTGGGTAGTATACATTACAGCTTTTGTTTATTCTTATCCACCATAATTTGATCTCTTCTTGCCTACCACAAATTAACTGGATTAACATGATTTACAATAAATGCTTCTCAGCAAGTGTAGCTATTTATTTATTTATTTTTCAAGATAGGATCTCCCTCTGCCACCCAGGCTGCAGTGCAATGGTACGATCATGGCTCACTGCAGCCCCAACCTTCCTGGCTCAAGTGGACTCACATACACCTCAGGCTCTTGAGTAGCTGGTACTACAGGTGCACACCACCTCGCCAGCTAATTTTGTTTATTTACTTTTTGGTAGAGACAGGGTCTCGCTATGGTGCCCAAGCTGGTCTCAAATCCCTGGCCCCAAGCAATCCTCCTACCTCCACCTCCCAAAGCACTGGGATTACAGGCATGAGCCATAGTATCCTACCTCTTCTGACCTTTAGAAGATTTTTTACTAAAAGAAATCTCTACCCATTACCCAAGTAAAATATCATGACTGTATCTCTTTGTGACATTATAGATCTCATTGTGCCCAGGATGTAATCTGTGATATATTAAACTGTTCTGGTAGCTTTTAGCTATGCACATAATCTTAAGTGAATAGTCTTAAGGCACTGTCTTACAGATCTATATTCTGACTAAAAGCTATGTTAACAATATGTAAGTCAAATCAAATTCCATCACTACCTCTCCCTTCCTCATGTGAAATCCATCCTACTCATTCACTAGTTCATTTTACAAACCATAGTATCATTTAACCTAAGGAACAATACAATTCAAAAAAATAATTCCAGCACAACATACTGTAAATAACACCCTCTATGTAATAATAATAAAATTAAATCTGCTTCATAGCTTCTAGATAGTACCAGGCCACCTAACATATAGTAAAATGTATTAAAATATTTGTACCACTAAAAAAGGACCTATGAATTTTCAACAACTATAGTATTCGTACCACTAGATGGGAATCTTCTTTAGATATGATTAGAGCAGGACTATGAAAAGAATCACTGGTAGGAAAGAAGGGATGCTGAAAAAGAAATAACTAATAACACAAAAACAAAATATATAATACAAATCACATATGTAAATGAAGGCTGGGCGAATTGTCATGAAACAGCTGTAAACAATAATATAAAATTCTTCCTGTGTATAAGTGAAAGAACATCCTATCTTCCCAATAACCCTTCCCCTTCCAAATAAAAATAAACATAAAAGATGTAAAACCAAGCCACTAATAGATTTTTTCCCTTCAAAGTACAAATGTCTCACAAGAGACAGTTAGGCCTATTTTTGTGTTCTATTATCCAATTCAATCCTAGGTAGCAATAATAACTATAAACACAAATGAAAACCTGGCTCTTATCCTGCCAGTGAACAAAGGGTCACTAAATAAAGAGAAATCTTATATGTTGCTAGATTTTAAATTAACTCTGAAAACAGGAACTACTTCCAAGTCTGACACATAAGCTTTTAAAAATAAATGAAAACAGTCAGAAGGTGAAATAAGGAGAAAACAGGGTTACTCACCGTGGAGTAGTAACTGTTTCCTTTTCTGTGTGCAGCTCCCCCAGCAGAGCTGGGTAGTTTCCTGGAGGTGCCAAGAGAGGTTAGCTAGCCCTGCCCCTCATTGCATAAGCAACACATCCTTTCACATATCAATGAAATGGTCTCACTATTAGACCTTAAGTATGAATTTCTTTGAGCGAAAAGTTAGTAAAAGCTGAGATCCTAAGGATGATTTAACTAAAAATGACGTAATAAATCTATCAGAGGAAAGGGGACACAAAATAAAGGAATATTTTGAGATGAAAAATGACTCCTCTACCTTGAGTAACCCTGTTTTTTAGATGTTAGTTTTTTGCATCCTGTGATAGCTGGTTAGACCTAAAAGATTATTTAGAGAATGGACTGCAAAAGGAAAAATTAATGATGATTTCAGGATTAAAGGCAAGGGTCCAAAATTCCTGTGACTCTGGAAAGACATAATCCAACTTCCACATCTATAAAGGTAGAATTATGAGTATAAACTATACCACAAATATTTCTCTTAAAACATTATCTAAAGGTTCCAAGAGCAAAATAGGTCCTATTTTAAGATTAATTCAACAACCTGTGATATCTGACAAAACTGTTAAAAATTCAAACTGTTTTCAATAGTACGAAATAAGAAAAAAATTTATCCTTAATTACCCACAATTACTTTATTATATCCATCCTTTGAAACTGTAAAGTTTATAGTAAGTATAAGATATTTAGTGGCCAGGCGCAGTGGCTCACGCCTGTGATCCCAGCACTTTGGGAGGCAGAGGCGGGTGGATCACAAGGTCAGGAGTTCAAGACCAGCCCAGCCAAGATGGTGAAACCCTGTCTCTACTAAAAATACAAAAATTAGCCGGGCATGGTGGCACACGCCTGTAATCCCAGCTACTCGGGAGGCTGAGACTGGAGAATCACTTGAACCTGGGAGGCAGAGGTTGCAGTGAGCTGAGATTGTGCCACCGCACTCCAGCCTGGGCAACGAGTGAAACTTCGTTTCCAAAAAAAAGATATTTAGTAACCCTATATTGCTAAAGGCCCAAAGGTACATGGCATCCCCAAAGTGGATACCATTAGGTAGATCATTTACTTTTATGCTTAGGACTTGGCTTTTTATTTTTTGTCAATCTCTAATATAAGAATATAGCACAGAAGACAGGTTTTCCCATTTAGTAGCCACTTCCCTGAACAATGAGATTTTAAGACCATCCCACATACCCTATTAGGACTAAGTTAGACATTCTCACAGGAAAACTAAAAAGTAACCTAAGCTTTGGCTGGGCGTGGTGGTTCATGCCTGCCAGTAATCCCAGCACTTTTGGATGTGGAGACAGGCAGATCGCCTGAGCTCGGGAAATTGAGACCAGCCTAGGCAACAAAGCGAAATCCTATCTCCACAAAAAATACAAAAATTAGCTGGGCATGGTGACCCACGCCTATAGTCCCAGCTATTCGGGAGCTGAAGTGGGAGGATCACTTGAGCCCAGGAGATGAAGGGAGCAGTGAACCAAGACTGTGCCACTGTATTCCAACCTGGACAACAGAGCAAGACTCTATCTCAAAAAAAAAAAGGCTGGTGTGGTGGCTCACACCTGTAATCCTAGCACTTTGGGAGGCCCAGGTGGGAGGATCACTTGAGCTCACAGACCAGTCTGGGCAACATAGTGAGACCTTGTCTCTCTATATTTTTTTTAAAGTAGAAGAAAAAAAAAAGAAGTAAACTAAGCTTCTAGGGTCTTTTTGTTTGTTTTGTTTTTTTATCACTGTACTCTTCTTCCAGAAGACAAAGACTACTAATACACACACGGCAATCTTAATACTAAGTAATCTGACAAAAAAAAATTACAGCAGCTAGAATTTTATCTAAGATTTATATAAGTTTAAATGTTTAAAAAAAAGAATTTTATGAGGCTGAATGTGGTGGCTCATGCCTATAATCCCAGCACTTTTGGAGGTCAAGGCAGGTGGATCACTTGAGGTCAGGAGTTCGAGACCAGCCTGGCCAACATGGTGAAACCCTATCTCTACTAAAAATACAAAAAACAATTAGCCAGGCATGGTGGCACACGCCTGCAATACTGGCTACTTGAGAATGTGAGGCAGGATAATCGCTTGAACCCGGAAGGCAGAGGTTGCAGTGAGCCAAGATAGTGCCATTGTACTCTAGCCTGGGTGACAAAAGCAAAACTCCACCTCAAAAAAAATTAAAATACAAAAATTAGCTGCGTGTGGGGGCGGATGCCTGTAATCCCAGCTACTCAGGAGGCTGAGGAAGGACAATTGCTTGAACCCAGGAGGTGGAGGTCGCAGTGAGCTGAGATCCCACCACTACAGCCTGGGCAATAGGGCGAGACTCTGTCTCAAAAAAAAAAAAAAAAAAAATCTTATGAATTGCTATGTGCGTCTAAAAACTGGTCTGGTATTTCAGAAAATGCATAATGTCTCCTGTCTCCTAATACCACAGCCAAACTGTTATTAACAATAGATATTTTCCTCAGACATCTTAGACATTACACTAAAATATTCATGACAATTATGTGTTTCATTTTCTCCCTGACCTAGTATATTTTCCCATTTCCTATGGAGCAACTAATGTGCTAAGTTAATTCTCTTTCTCTACTAGTTTCAAATTGATCTGCTGATAATCACCATAAATCATGCTACAGATATTCATTCTTCACACCAGGCAGTATGAATTCGTATCACAGAACAATGGGACCATTTATTGGAATTACTGTATTAGTTTTTTCAAATCAATTTAGATTTAGAAGATTTGAACAATTACTAACCTATATTAAAATAAGCATTTTAGAAATTTTAAAGGCTATTTTATTTTATGGTACTTTATGAAATTAACCATCTGTTAAAAAAAAGTAAAAATGTTACACATAGGAAATAAATGTAAAAAGCTATACTTTGCCAAAATAAAGTTTCAGCTGAAGGTAATGCTAGTTATAAATTAAATACAATTCTATTAAGAACTTGCAAAAGTCAAAGGAAGACGGAAAACTCCCTCTTTTGGCAATTCAAAGGCAAAGACCTGTTCATTTATTCTTAATTTTACTTTATACAATCATTATCCCCCACAGATACATGTAACTAAAAAGAACCCTAAAAATACGTATTATTCAATTATTTTTAAAAATTGAAGTTTTATTGTTTTATTTCATTATATTATTAAGTATCAGGAAGCATTTTATATTTTAATCTATATATGTTTAAATAAATATACATATATTTAATATAGATTTTTATTACTTCATCATATTATTACATTAAATTTTCACTCTAAATGTGCAAGTGCTAAAACGCAAAACCTTTCAGGCTAAATTTATCTTTTCCTTTTTAACTTTTCTGGGAAAAGCAGATAAAAGGATACTCAGGATCAATTTTATAGCTTATAATATATAGTAATATAAACTAATAGTCTGTATCATATGGTATTCATAAGATTATCATAATATATTCTTTTCCTTATTAAAATGCACTTCATTATAAAAAATCTAATTGGCTTTATAATAATCAAATATATGAAGCTTTTGTCATGATGCACATTTATTTCAAAGGATAAAGCCTTTTGCTTCAATTCACTATTACAGTGTACATGGCATCAAGATACAGGCTGATACGAACTGCAAGGAAAATCCCTTGGCCTCTTTAGCTGACCCTTCAGCAGTGCATCCTAATGATTACTCAGTACTAAAAATTTACTAACATTAAAAATACATGCTTTTGCTCTTAGATAAATTATTGGATTAAATGACCACAATTCTAATTGTTGACACCTTCAAGCAGAACTCAATTTGCTGATGTGCAAAGTTTGTTAAGTATGAAATAGCTTTTTGCCTGCCATAAAAGGGTCAAGTTCTTACTGTATTACACACTGTTAAGATCATAGGTGAAAATCGAAACAATTTTTGAAGCCTCTTATTTTTAAATATTGTTCAAAATCAATCTTTTTTAACAAAAATGAATTCTGGTACAACTGCGCTTATATCAAACAACAAAACTAATGAAAAACAAAAGTTCTTTAAAAAGAATTCGGCAAATTCCTAAACACACTTATAACAGATTTCCTTACCTGAAATGACCCTAACTTCTCCTTCTTAAACTTAATAATCTAAAAAGTTCAATGCCTAAGAACAGTTTTTGGAGTGAAAAAAATGGGAAATGCATGACACCAAACAATGACTACACAAAGTATGGGAAAGACATGTAGCCACATTTTGAAACCACTTCTTGAGGCTTTTTAACGTTTTTGTTGGAAAATCAGTAAATCATTTTCCCCTTTGTGTTTTTTGAGAGGGAAGAGAGGGCACTTACTCATTTGAATGTGATTTACATGTGATTTCATTAACTTGCTTAGTAACAAGATATTGATGTTGAAAAAAATGGTCTTAGTATATTTAAATTATTATCTATCTGTTTAATAATTAAGCTAAAATTAATATATACTGCTGATTTTATTCTTTTTGTTTTTTAAAATGTTTTTGAGACAGGGTCTCACTCTATTGCCCAGGCTAGAGTGCAGCAGCATGATCTCAGCTCCCTGCAACCTCTGCCTCCTGGGCTCAAGCAATCCTCCCACCTCAGCTGGGACTACAGGTATGCGCCACCACGTCCAGCTCATTTTTGTATTTTTTTGTAGAGACGGGTTTGCCATGTCATCCAGGCTGATCTCAAACTCCTGCACTCAAAAGATCCGCCTGCCTCATAAGCCACCGCACTGGGCCTCTGCTGATTTTATTCTAACTTAATTTTTTTTCACCTTAAATGGCGGAGCTAACAACGGATTCAATTTAGCTATTCACTCGAAGTAATAATACTCTGAAAAGCACTTAAAAAATCATAAAACCAATTCAAAATCATAATGAATAAGATTGAAGAAATCTTTTTTTTTAAAGTTTTTTGCTACAAAATTCTGAATCAACATTTGCTACAGTCAAAACAAAGCAGTATTTTTCCTTTTTAAAAGAACAGCATTTATCTTAATTAACTCAGTAAACTAAGAGACTAACTTAATATCTCCACATTTGATATTTTAAAATTAATACCTAAAGTTATTCTATCCTGGTACCATGTGAAAATCTGAATAAAGCCTTCAGGTTTATAAATCTAAATTGTACCTCTGGTATTTTTGACCTTAACAGTGACAAATAAAAAGGTTAAAGTGATACAGAAATAAAAGCAATAACAACAACAAACCAATAACTCATTAAGTGACTAAGACTTAAAATATATGTTAAGTGGAAAACAGTTATTTTTACTTACAAGTTAGTAACTGGCTCTCCTTTCAACGGAGGTAGGAGGTTTCCAGAGCCAATTAAACAGTTGTGCACTATAGTCAGACTCTGTAGAATATCATCTCTAGAAAAAAAAAAAAGACATTTTCATATTTCCAAATCCCTATTTAATAAGCCTGCTAGAGCCTAGCACAGAAGTTTTCTCACGTGGGGATATAAATGATTAAGGTAAAGAAATAGCAAATGTCTTCAGTTTACCAACTTAACAGTGAAGAACAATTAAATATATATTTATTGCTAACACTATGCCTGCTTACATTTAAACAGGCTCTAAGTAAATCACAAGTAACAATAATTAACTGCCCTTTGTGAAACAACTGTTAATTTAAGCATCCCTTTACCAAAGACCACTGCCACTAACAAAAAGAGGAAATAATGCTACAGAAGATCTTCCAGCTTATTCCATCTTTTAAAAATGGGACTAAACATTTACTTCCAAAAAGCAGTTCAGAGTACGACAGAGTTGATGTTAGTCAGTCACACTTCTTTCTCCAAGTGCATTCTTAAATCTGCTTATGAAAAATTTGTGGTGTTTGATACATTAATTTTCTTGCTATTATTTTAGAAACTTTCAAACTATGAAAGTCTAATGGTTTCAAATACTTATTTCTTGTTAAATACCTGTGGGAGAGGGAAAAAAAAATCTCATAAAAATAATTCTTAAAATAAAATTTTGAGAACCCAATAAAATCTTAGCTGAGTCTAGGAAAACAGGCATTCCTTTCAAAGGAGGCATATCTACACACACCTTCCAAAAGACAAGTGAAATTGCTAAGTAGAAGGTAATAAAAAAAATTAGAAAAAGAAACCCACAATTTTTGGGTTTAAAATGTTTAAATGTTGTTAAATTTTCTGTTATACAACATTATATTAAATGATTTTCTAAGTACATGTATAGCAGATTTTCAAAACACAATTGAAAATTAATACATGAGATATGCCACAGATAAAGCCAAAAAAGACTTCTTTAGTCTGCAACTGAATAACTCTAATTATAAAATAAAACCAACCTAGACATTTCAAGTTTTCCATCCCCACAATGCTGGAGTTTGACGAGCTCAGGCTGAAGAAAGGAGTCCAAAAGATAAAAGGCAAAAGACACTTCTTCTGAAGAAGGAACATGCCACTGGATTCCCAGATTCCACAAGTCCCCGGGTTTGCCCCAGTCCTAGAAGAGAACAGCATCTACTCAGCAAGTTGAGAAATTAAAAACAACAACAACAAACCCACATACATATACACAATTTTTAAAATTTAAAAGAAAATGTACACATAATCCAAACCTAAGGTAGCAAATGATATACAAAAAAGTAGCATGAAAACAACATCTTACTGCCTCTTCGTTATCACTCCTGAAAAAAGTCTCCCCGAAGAGTACTCATTATAATATGAGTTTGCTCTAAGAGTGATACTGTAAGAGTGATGATGAGTTTAAGTGAGGCTTAGTTTAGCAATAAAATTATATTGAACTATAGACATTAGATAAGGAATATATACGAAGTTGTTTCACATATCAATAGGAAAGAAAACTAGAGTTTCAGTTCCATGCAAAGTGAGACAGCACAAGTTTCACATATTCCAATAATAGTTTCAATAATCTATCTTAAAAGTAAAAAACTAACATATGCAAGAAAAAATAACACTTTGAATCCCTTAAAACAAAAAATCAACATATTCTTGAATCCTAAAGTACTGAAAATGCTTGCCTTGATAGGAAAGTATTCAGAAGGAGGCTTGTCAAAGCCACCTGGCACACTGCAGTATTCTGTAGGGTAGATAAGTGTGGTAGAACGGAGAAGATGATGCAAAAGGTTACAAGACAGAGTGTAACCCTGCTTACAGGTTAAATGTAGGGTTCTTTGGAGAATCTTTACAAGCTGCTCCCTATAAAGAAGCAACTTCCTTCCATCCACTCGAGTAATCTAAAAGGAGGGAAAAAATAGTTGAAGATATTTTGGTTAAAAGAACAAGAACCAATCATTAATGCAAAGTTCAATGTTTGGCCACTAACCTAGTGTTTCTCTAAATGACTTTAATTAATTTTAGGATTGTCACTTTAACTGCATTCTAATAATTAATTGTTTTTTGAAATCAAACACATTTTCTGAGCTTAAGCTTTCATGCACCATAGTAACATCCCTTTCAAAAGAGTCTATTCTATTCAAGCAATTCTCCTGCCTCAGCCTCCCAAGTAGCTGGAATTACAGGTACACGCCACCATGCCCAGATAATTTTTGTATTTTTAGTAGAGACAAGGTTTCACCATGTTGGCCAGGATGGTCTCTAACTCCTGACCTAGTGATCCGCCCGCCTCGGCCTCCCAAAGTGCTGGGATTACAGGTGTGAGCCACCACGCCTGGCCCTAATTAAACTTCTGAAAAAAATGATAAAGAAAACTGAAGTTGGCCGGGCGCGGTGGCTCACGCCTGTAATCCCAGCACTTTGGGAGGCCGAGGCGGGCGGATCACGAGGTCAGGAGATCGAGACCATCCCGGCTAAAACGGTGAAACCCCGTCTCTACTAAAAATACAAAAAATTAGCCGGGCGTAGTGGCGGGCGCCTGTAGTCCCAGCTACTTGGGAGGCTGAGGCAGGAGAATGGCGTGAACCCGGGAGGCGGAGCTTGCAGTGAGCCGAGATCGTGCCACTGCACTCCAGCCTGGGCGACAGAGCGAGACTCCGTCTCAAAAAAAAGAAAACTGAAGTTTGGGCCAGGCGCGGTGGCTCACACCTGTAACCCCAGCACTTTGGGAGGCTGAGGCAGGCGGATCACGAGGTCAGGACATTGAGACCATTCTGGCTAACACAGTGAAACCCCGTCTCTACTAAAAATACAAAAAATTAGCCGGGCGTGGTGGCGGATGCCTGTAGTCCCAGCTACTTGGGAGGCTGAGGCAGGAGAATGGCGTGAAGCTGGGAGGCGGAGTTTGCAGTGAGCCGAGATTGCACCACTGCACTCCAGCGTGGGCGATAGTGAGACAAAAAGAAGAAAAAAGAAAAGAAAAGAAAAGAAAAGAAAACTGAAGTTTGATTGATGGCCAAATTTAAAGTGTAGACCAAAAAAATTCCCAAATCTGATCAACTTTTTCAATTAATGAGTTACCCATATTAGAATTAACTGGTAAAACTAAGTAGATGGCTGAACATGCAGTGATCAACTACACCACTCCTTTGACAATAAGAGTATGACATATTCTGATCTTCTGAAGCCTCATCAAATTTCCAAAACTCTGACTTTTCATATGTTTTAAAGTCATTTTGTCAGAAAGAGCTAAATCCTAAAAGCAAGTCAGTGTTTTCACAGTCATGTTTCTTATTCCAAAGATTTACAATACCTCAGACAAAAGTTGAAGATTCCATAGTAATTCCTTGTCTAGCTCTTCATCATTTAATACATCATCATCTAAAAACAGCAAAATACTATTAGGGGGAAAAACCTATGCATTCAACTAAATATAGCATTTTAAAATACTTCTATTTAATATTTCCAATAGCTGAGGAAAACCTCTTTTAGGAAGACTTTTTATTTCTTCTTCATGAAGCTGAGCTTGTTCCAAAAGGAGGTAGAAACAGAATTTTCAAGAAAATAAACACACCAACCAAGACTTCTGCCCCTCTATATCTCACAAAATAACTGATATTTTTGAAGGTAACCTCTGAATGGTGGTTGTATAAGAATATTAATAAAGTAACATTTTTAAGCTACTGCCAACCTGGATGATATCTTTTTTGGAGACAAATTTTCCCCAAATTGCCAATCAAAATATTGTGAAGCTAAAGGAATCTGTTGTCATTAACAGAGTTTTAGAAACCAAGAAAAAAACTTATCCAAAATTGTAAAGAGAGAATAATGACCTTATGACTTACTCATTGTAAGCTGAGTTATAACACTGCAGCAGTGGGGAACAAAGAGCTTCAAAGATTCTTCTGGGCAGCACTGAAAATGTATTTGTATAAGTAAGGCTTTTTTGAAAGGCAAATATATACAAGATTATATTTTCAGTGGCAGTAAAAGGCTGTAAATAAGCAGCTACTGAAAGAACTATGCATTTTAAGCATAGAAGCACCTCTAATAATTAACCATATAAACTAGTTGATTGTTGAGTCATTAATACATCAGTTCAAAAAAATAAACTCACCTTTACAGCAGCGCGGCACATGTCTGCCACCATGCGACCTGCTACTCTTGTTTCAAATATATGTGAAGTAGAAAAATTAAAAACCTTCTGAAGGGCCACCTGTTAAGATATGAAAATGTTTAATGAGCATTTTTTAAGAAAATTAAACATCTTACAGAACATAAAAGAAAATGATAAATATATTTAGACAATTCCAAAAATAAGCCCATAGGCAATTTTTAACCATCTGATTTTATAAGAATTTGTTTAATGATGTTACATTCAGGTCTAAGAACAATCTTTGCCCACGATCCTAACTTGAACAAAATATTTTAGGTACTGGCTGGATGTGGTGGCTCACACCTGTAATTTTAGCACTTTGGGAGGCTGAGGCAGGAGCATCACTTGACATCAGGAGCTCAAGACCAGCCTGGCCAACATGGCGAAACCCTGTCTCCACTAAAAATGCAAAAATTGACCAGGCATGGTGGCGCATGCCTGTAGTCCCAGCTGCTCGGGAGGCTGAGGCATGCGAATTGCTTGAACCCGGGAGGTGGAGGTTGCAGTGAGCCGAGATCGCGACACTGCACTCCAGCCCAGGTGACAGAGTTAACAAAAAAAAAAAAAAAAAAAAAAAAAAAAAAAATTGAGGTACAAGATTTCACTTGCCACAGAAACCCTACACATAAAATTATACCTGGTGGAAGCAAATGCAATTTAATTGTCTTTCTGGCTAATTGAATATAACAAAGGGAATTTTTTGGAATACCTAATACAATTTGTCATCCTGACAACTACAAACTAGACATCTATCCTTACCCTAAAAGAACTGAAGCAGTCTGTTTATTTTACAGTCATGTCACAAAACTTTAATTTACTTGCTCAATGGAAGAATGAGTTCTATACCTGGGTTAACAATACTGAAAAGTATAAACAACTCTTTTTGGTTAAATAAGAGATGATTTGTGTTCATTTCTTTATACTAACATAATCATAGTATTTATTTCACACAGCTATAAGGCAGTTTGGCTTCTAGGATTAACATATTTAACAGTGATAATTACAGATGATGGGAGAAGAAACAGAAATGAAAATAAAGTGTAGTCTTAAAGGCTACAGATAATAGGTACCACATTACAAATAATAGGTACCAACCAATATTGAATTAGTGAATGCTTACTGAATGTCTTATGAAGATAACTACTTCTAATCCATCAGTTAGTCTTAGGATTTAATTTCTATCATGGGAGTGATGTCATAAGCAATTTCTAAAACTCAGCTGAGTAACTGTTTTTAATTGTAAAATTAAAAAATACAGTTGTTTCTTTTTTTTATTTATTATACTTTAAGTTCTAGGGTACATGTGCACAACATGCAGGTTTGTTACATATGTATACATGTGCCATGTTCCTGTGCTGCACCCATTAACTCGTCACTTACATTAGGTATCTCTCCTAATGCTATCCCCCCTGCGACAGTTGTTTCTTGTTGTTCATGGTAGTCATGTTCTATAAATTTGCTGTGACCACTGAACTAGCAAATACTGAACCATTGCTCCCAGGGGAAATACAGGATTATGTTCCTGTGAACCTATGGTGACAACATTTTCATCAACTGATCAATACATAATCCTAAGTGTGATTCTGTTTACAGACAACTTATTTAATACATATTGTTGATTCACTAACATTTAATCCGCAGTCAACAGCAACATAACTCATGCCTGTTGACGCTTACCTAGCACAGTGTTTTTTCCATTAGGCACAGCACAACTCTCTTATGCTTAGGAACCCTCAACCACTTTAAACAATAAACTCTTGGGAGCCATTTTTGACATTTTTAAACAGCAGAATCACCAATAAGAAGCAAAAAAATGTAAAAAAGTGGCATTAAATAGATCGCAAAGGGGACAGTTGTTTAAGTGGAGCTGGATATAAGACGGCAGAGTGCCTCGTTTGCTCTCAGCTGAGAACACATGGCATATGTGAGATCAAATTTAAGTAACTGAATTTTTGTCAGTCGCAAAAGCTTGATTCTCAGGTTGCAAATAGTTAGAGCAAACAGGTAAATTTGCAAATACGAAATTTGCAAATAATGAGCAACTGTACATTTCTTTAAAACTTTAGTATGAATGTAAATGATAAACTGCATGATATACACAAAGTAACTTGAAGTCAATTTTAAAACATCAAATGAAACTTAAAAGCTGGAAGTTTATTTTTTGCAGCAATGTTCTTACCATAAATATTTCTTTGGAACATTGGGTGAGGATTGTACTAAACGTAGAAGACAGACCTAATTCGACCAAACTCTCCAAGTGTGTCATTTTCTCAGTTTCTGTCTCTTCTCTTGTTTGCTCCAATGTGCTACTTTCTATAAGTCCAAAACATCTAAATAATCCAAACAAAGCATAATTTCAGCAACTAAAATCTGGTTTGACATTTTTGGTGGTCATCAGGTAACTCTCTATTGTCCTAATTATTCAAGTGATAGCTACTTAATTTCTACGTGGTTCACAAATCGATTATCCTTTTATAACTTCAGGAGCACCAGTAGTAGCTAAATAAAGGTTATAATGCAGAAATAAACTAAACTTTCTGGGATAGAAGAGTCATTTTCTAGAATTTCAGCTAAACGTTGGTGTGGGTTACAAGCTCACCTGTCCATAAACTGTAAGACGAAATCCTCAAATTCAGCTGTGGCTGAACAAAGTTCTCGTTCCACCTATAATATCCCAATATGGAGAAAGATTACATATAGCCTTTGTTTTTTTTTCCTGAACTAACAAAACTCAATTATTGCCTGCCAAATGTATCCACACTAAACCATTATATTGGGTACTATGAGAAACAGCACCATGCTAGACTTCATCTACTACTTTCAATTTAGAACAACTTCATCTACTACTTTCTAGGAACCAAAGAAAGAAGAAATTAATGTTATTTTACAAGGGCCAAATACAGAAGTCAAGCAGCTATCTTTATTATAAATTCAGTTTTCAAACTGCTGATTTTTGCAAAGTCTAGTCTCTCACTACCTGAATGTCCAGAAAAATATAAACAATAACATGCTCGCGACTGGGCACGGTAGCTAGCCAGACACTGTGGCTCATGCCTGTAATCCTAGCACTTTGGGAGGCCGAGGCAAGCGAATCACTTGAGGTCAAGAGTTCAAGACCAGTCTGGCCAACATGGCAAAACCCCATCGCTACTAAAAATACACATATACACAATTAGCCAGGCATGTTGGCACACGCCTGTAATCCCAGCTACCCGGGAGGCTAAGGCACAAGAACCACTTGAACCCAGGAGGCAGAGGCTGCAGTGAGCCAAGATGGCACTACTGCACTCCAGCCTGGGCAACATGCTTGCAATAAAGAAAATAGTTCTGGGGGCTGGGTACAGTGGCTCACATCTGTAATCTCAGCATTTGGGAGGTCAAGGCGGGCAGATTACTTGAGGCCAGGAGTTCGAGACCAGCCTGGCCAACATGATGAAACCCCATCTCTACTAAAATTACAAAAAATTAGCCAGGCATGGTGGTGCATGCCTGTAGTCCCAGCTACTCGGGAGGCTGAGGCAGGAGAATTGCTTGAACCAGGAGGTGGAGGTTGCAGTGAGCCGATATCACATCACTGCACTCCAGCCTGGGTGACATAACAAGACTCCATCTCAAAAAAAAAAGAAAGAAAGAAAGAAAGAAAGAAGTTTTGAAAGAGCCAGACAGAAATGAATGAAGAAAATCTTTCTTCATTAAATGTCAATCCCTTGGACAGATTTATTACTAACCTAAGATGATAGAAAAATAAAATATCACCATCTTTTGCTTAACAAAACATTGAAAAGTGACATAAAACTGAAATACACCTCCAGATGTCAGATGTTTATAGAAACAGCCTATTTTTGAGCCACCTCCTGTGGTGGGTGCTCTGTAGACTCTCTTGCCAATGATGTCCTGGCCCTCCATATGTACCATTCTAGTCACAAAATAGTGATTTTACTTCCAAAGTCGTTTCTAAACTGTCAAGTGTTACTATGCATATGCAATAATAATTAGAACATCTTAGCCCTTTTATAACCATAAAATACCCTTACTTCTGTGAGGTCATTTCTTTCTTGTAGTACAGATGAACAATCTACTAAAGGCACCAGAGTAGAAAATGTTGCTATGAACTGGAATGTGATCTGTGGAAACATACAAAGGATTTTCAACATTACATAATTCTAATTCAGAAATACAAGTATACCATGAACTACAATAAATTACCCCAATAAATTATCTTGATCAAAATCCCACAACAGTTTTTCTGGGTATTCCTCATTTAGAATTGAACACTGTAAGGTTCTTCATAATTAACTAGCTGTCGGCCGAGCGCAGTGGCTCACACCTGTAATCCCAACACTTTGGGAGGCTGAGGCGGGTGGATCACTTAAGGCCAGGAGTTCGAGACCAGCCTGGCCAACATGGTGAAACCCTGTCTCTACTAAAAATACGAAACCCAGCCAGGCATGGTGGCGTGTGCCTATAATCCCAGCTACCCAAGAGGCTGAGGCAGGAGAATTGCTGGAACCCAGGAGGTGGATCACAGTGCAATGAGCCGAGGTCGCGCCACTGCACTCCAGTTTAGGTGACAGACCAAGACTCCGTCTCAAAATAAATAAATAAATAAACAACTGTTACTTTAATAATTAAATTATACAACATTTATTTTCATATTTATATTAGGCTTATGCACAAACTTCTCCAACCTTTTGTCACTGAGAAGTTTACTTTGCCTCCTACCTAAATACGGAGTGTATAATCACCAATATACTCACCATGCATTTACTAAAGTCATTTGGATCCACCCCAGGCAATGCTCTCATCAACAGAGGTAGCATATGTGTAGGACCTTCAGGAAACCATCTGCCTCCTGATACCAAACTGCGGGCTACTCCAATTACACAACTTAAAGTAGCTGTGAGCTGGTGAGGTTCTGTTAATGTCTCTAATGCAGGATATGTTCTACAGTTTGAAAACAGAATTTTTAAAGTCTCCATCACAGATATGCATAATACCATAATACATTAAATATAATAAATTCATAAACTGCACTTTGACTTAAAGGCTTACAGTTAGCAAAATACTCAGAGTGAAAATCTGCAATCAAAGTTAACAATTACAGTAGCCCCGTTATCTGTAGTTTCCGTAGTTTCAGTTAACAAAGGTTAACCAAATATTTGTGTCCTGAGAACGAGAGACCATATTCACATAACTTCTATTACACTGAACAATATATTTTTATAATTGTTCTATTTTATGATTGTTTTTAATCTCTTACTGTGCCTAATTCATGAATTAAACTATCACAGGTATGCATGCATGTGAAAAAACACAGTATACATAGGGTCCAGTACTATCCATGGTTTCAGGTATGCACTGGGGGTCTTCAAACACATCCCTCACCAGTAAGGGGAGACACTACTGTACACAAATAAAGGAAAGATACACAGATTATTTATTGCACATGTCCCCAATCCCCTGCTACCTTACCAACTCTTTCCATGCCAATTCCACAGTGAAAAAAGAACACAAACTGGTAGAGGCCAGGGTGTGATGGCTCACACCTGTAACACTAGCACTTTGGGAGGCCAAGGCAGGCAGATCACCTAAGGTCAGGAGTTTGAGACCAGCCTGGCCAACATGGTGAAACCCTGCCTCTACCATGAATACAAAAATTGGCGGGGTGTGGTGGTGCATGCCTGTAATCCAAGCTACTCGGGTGGCTGAGGCAGGAGGATCGCTTGAACCTGGGAGGCGGAGGTTCCAGTGAGCCAAGATTATGCCACTGCACTCCAGCCTGGGCGACAGAGCAAGACTCTGTCTCAAAAAAAAACCAAAAGAACATCAACTGATAGATCCTGCATGATTTCAGCCATCCTAATCTATATTATACTAATCTAACGGTCAGTCAGTGGAATAACAAGTTACAGATACTCTACTCTTTCTTTCCCCTGACCACCCCCAACCCTGGAGTCAGGGTTTTACTCTGCCCCAGGCTGGAGTGCAGTGGCCTGATCACAGCTCACTGCAGCCTCCACATTGCCCAGATCAGGTAAACCTCCTGCCTTGGCTTCTCAAGTAGCTGGGACTACTGGCAAACGTTACCACTCCCGGCTAACTTTTGTATTTTTTTTGTAGTGACAGAGTTTTGCCATGTTGCCCAGGCTGGTCTCAAATTCCTGAGCTCAAACAATCCATCTTCCTCAGACTTCCAAAGTCCTGGGACTACAGGCATAAGCCAGCCTAGCTGCTTATTTTTTTTTTTTTTAATGGAGAAAACATACCAAACTCTTTAACAGAAGCTTTCTTGGAGATGTAAAACTAAGTGTCTAAGATTTTTTTCTACATTTTTAGTTTTTAAAAAAGTTTTGCTTTTATTAAAAATAAAATCTTTGGCCAGCCATGGTGGCTCACACCTGTAATCCCAGCACTTTGGGAGGCCAAGGCAGGCGGACTGCTTGAGGTCAGGAGTTCAAGATCAGCCTGACCAACATGGTGAAACGCCATCTCTACTAAAAATACAAAAATTGGCTGGGCATGGTGGCAGACACCTGTAATCCCAGCTACTCGGAAGGCTGAGACAGGAGAATCGCTTGAACCCGAGAGGTGGAGGTTGCAGTGAGCTGAGATCATGTCACTGCACTCCAGCCTGGGCAACAGAGCAAGAGTCTGTCTCTAAATAAATAAATAATAAATAAATAAATAAATAAATAATAAATTTTAAAAGGTGATGCCACTTCAAAACAGCACCAAATTACAACTGAAAGTCTCAAAAAATGTCATTGTATTGTCAATTTGGTCTATTAAATATTTATCTTGGCCAAGCATTCAATATCACTTAATATGCTGATATTACATTTGTCCAAAATTTTAGGACTAAAGAAAAACGTGATAGGTCTATTTATTTATAAGCTTTGTTCTTTCTACTAAGAATTTAGCTCACTATTCATAATTAATCAGCTGAAAATAACAAAGCAAAGGGGAACTAAAGAAACATCAAAAACACTCCAAACTTCAAAATGTTAGCTAAGCAAACAGATGAAGTCCCTCCTCTCCAGGGAGCATCAGGGAACCTAACATTAACTGTTGGCTTCTGCTACTCTGTGGAGGCCAAGAAGCAAAGAATACTGGGGGTTGAAGACGGACAGGAAACTGCCTATCTTCCCCCACTCCATTTCCTAATTAAGTTCTATAAGCTGGAAGAGTTTCAATGCCCCAAGATGTATATGTAAAAATAGGAGAAGTTGGGAAAATGAAGTACGGCCTAACTTGAATATTTATGGCAATGAGGGCAGGTAAGGCAGCATCAACAGCTCAAAATTATAGATAATGGAGGCCCATTTTGGTTAAGATCTTGAACACGGTATCCTTCCCCAAGTAAATATGACCAACACTTATTCTGTCTCAACAATAAGTCAGAAAATAGGCTATAGTCTGAATTCTACCACTAGGGACCTTGGACAAATTTTTATGGAACTCAATGGCTAGATCCTTCTGGGTTCTAAAAACTAACATTCCTCCTCTATATTTGACAAAAACATTTAGAAAGAGATCATAAAGCTTCAGATAGTGGAAGAATCAGAGGTACAACAGAAAGCTTAAGTAATTTGCTCTTGAACAAGTTACTTTAAAAATTGCTCTCAAATTAAGAGTAGGCCGGGCACAGTGGCTCACACCTGCAATCCCAGCACTTTGGGAGGCCAAGGCGAGTGGATCACCTGAGGTCAGGAGTTCGAAACCAGCCTGGCCAACATGGTGAAACGCCGTCTCTACTAAAAATACAAAAATTAGCTGGGTGTGGTGGCGGGCGCCTGTGATCCCACCTACTCAGGAGGCTGAGGCAGGGGAATCCTTGAACCAGGAAGGCGGAGGTTGCGGTGAGCCAAGATTTGCACTCCAGCCTGGGGGACTACAGCAAAATTTCATCTCAAAAAAAAAAGAAAAGTAGCTGTCTCTCTCTTTGTAAGTATACCACGCCTATTCTGTGACAGTGGCTAGGCAAGTAAAGAGTTTTCCTTACCATTTCAACACACAAAACACAATGAATAAAATAAAACTTACACTGTAAAAACAACACACCTGAATATATAATACATGAAAATAATAAACACAATTTTCTTCTCTACCACTGATTCTAAGAAATAAAAGAAATCCAAAAACCACTTTCACTGCCATATTCTCAATCCTTAGTGACACTCAACATTTCGATCTAAAAAGGAAGGCCAGATCTTAATTCATAAGCATATAATTTTGGTAACTAAAATGTGTGAAGAATCCAAAAGATGTATGTTACCCATTTCATTTCAATTTTTTTCTCTCCAATAAACCTTTATCAAGTTACCAATCATTACATTAAAATGTCCTGCTTCTCCTCTAGGAACAGGAATAAGCATCGAAGAAGCAAAACAGAAGCCACAGAGGAGAAAAGAGAATCGAGCTGAACAGACCAAAAGAAAAACCTAGCTGTGGCTGAGACTCCCACTAACCACTTACCTTTCAAGTACAGGGGGTATTACCAATTCAGGTCTCATGAGTGCAAGATTCTGCAAAGCCTGGGCTGCTTCTAGACTACCGGTTTTGCTAAACATAGCCAAGAGGACAGGCTGAATAATGCATTGTACAAAGTCTGTAACATCTTGATCAGTAAGCTTGTGGCTATCAGGCACAGGAGTTAACCAAGAGGGCTTCTTGTATCTTTCACGATGCAATCTTCTAACAACACTGTTTGGCAACCGCTGAAGTAGTTTCATTAACTTGTTCTGGGGACACAGAAGCAAAAAGTTCTAAGTAGGTTCTACTTTGCCGCATAGACATTCATGGTTGCTCTCTAGCTTCTTGAGAAAAGATTTTAAAAATAACAGTTCTTATTATCTTATTACAAAGAACTGCACAGCATAACTAGATAGAATTAAAAGTTACCAATTAATTATTCCTAATAATTAATGAAAATGAGTTTCAAATTCCAGTCTAAAAAAATTTCTAGCACATAATTTTCCATTACATGAAAGCCATTTTAACTGGACAACTTAAAAACAACAAAAACAGATGACAGGATAAAACTGAAAAGATGGTTCTATGCTTCTAAGGCATTTTTGTTACCATTTTTTTGCAAAAATGAGCCATGTTGTCAACAGTTACCACATCAATATTATTTATTTAATTTATATGCTCTCCCACACAGTAATTTAATTTAAATGTAAGCATTTACATATAGCTAAAGCTATGAAGGACAGAAAATGTATTACAGGTCACACAATAGGCAATAGTCAAGGATGACCATATCTTTAAAAATTCCAAGCCCTATAATGCAAAACGAAGTTACTCACCAGCCAGCGCCCATTATTTGAAGGATGGTAAAAAGATGTGATGCTGTTAAACAAACCAGCTAAGTGTTTTTGCACTAGCTTACTTGGTCCACCCTGTCCAGATAAAAGAGTAAAAATGTCAGTACCCACATCATACTGTAAAAACAGAGGTCAACAGGCCCAAGCCTATACGTAAATCACTAATACAGTTTATAGTCAACTTGCTGACAAAAATAAATTCTACCTTTAAATAAGAGTCAAAAACAATTCCCTGATGAACTTCATGCAAACCAACTCAAAATATTCTACTGCAAATAAGGGCAGCTTACTTGAACCAACATAAAAAACTAAAAAAATACCTGTCAACTTAGGATAACAAACAGCGTACTTTACTGTTCTGCAGTAAATAACCTGGATACTAAAATTTATCACTAAGATTATCATCTTAAAATTACCAAGAATGCTAACATCAGGCATAAAAAACCTGATGTAAGGCTGAGGCGGGCAGGTCACTTGAGGTCAGGAGTTCGAGACCAGCCTTGCCAACATGGTGAAACCCTGTCTCTACTAGAAATACAAAAATTAGCTGGGCATGGTGGTGGGCGCCTATAGTCCCAACTACTCGGGAGGCTGTGGCAGGAGAATCACTTGAACCCGGGAGGTGGAGGTTGCAGTGAGCTGAAATCACGCTACTGCACTCCAGCCTGGGCGATAGAGCGAGACCATCTCAAAAAAAAAAAAAAAAAAAAAAAAAAAAGCGTTTCCCTCTGTTGTCCAGGGTGGAGTGCAGTGGCACAAACATGGTTCACTGCAGCCTCAATCTCCTAGGCTCAAGCGATCCTCCCACCTCAGCCTGCTGAGGAGCTAATACCATAGGCATGTGTTATCATGCCCGTGCTTACTTTTACTTTTGTTTTCTTGTACAGGGTCTCGCCATGTGGCCCAGGCTGGTCTCAAACTCCTGGGCTCAAGCTATCCTTCCATCTCGGCTTCCCAAAGTGCTAGGATTACAGATGTGAGCCATGGCACTCAGCCATATTTTCACACTTAACACAAAATGAAGTTGCCAATGAGAACTGTGTGAGAAAGCAGAGCAAAATTCACTCACACAATAACTAATACTAATCACTATCCAATTCTGTAGCCCCCAAAAATCCAGTTTCAACTCACTGCATATGTAAGATAGTAAACATCTTTCAGTGTTTGCTCCTACTGATTAAGAAAAATGGGATTTTTCTGTGTAACAATAAAATGGCAAAAACAAGGGGGGGCTTAAATTTGTTTTTCTTACAATGAAGTTTAAGAAGTAAACTTTTAAACAAAAAAAAATTGTCTTTTCCACAGAAACAAGCTAACGTGTAAAACAGAATAATAATTCATGAAGAAATAGCTGCAGAAGCAATATATGAATGATAAACTAGATAATTATAATAGGAAGCTGTTCTAATATTCTTATATGAAAGATGACATTGAAATCTAAGCTTGATATGTCTTCACTTTCCTTTAATGATGTCAACAAAGTAATCCTTCACATCTCTCCCTTCACTAAGATTACTTTGTTAGTAAGCTTTATGTTCAATGCAATGTTTTATGTGAATATTAACAGTGAGTAAGTAATGGAGTCTAAGCACATACAAATCCTGAGTTGTAATCCTACCTTGGGAAAGTCTTCCGGGCTACAAGTCTGGTTCCCGGACAGTAAAAATGTTAGACATCGTGAATCCCTCAAAACCCTAGATTTTTGACTCTATTTATAATGTCCATTGGTTAGGGAGATTTAGAAATGGTACCACTATATTCTGGATTTGATAAACATGAGCTTGCTAAATCAGAAAATATCCAAGAATCAAGTCACCAACCAAGCCACTATTATCAACTTCTGCGACTATCCACAATTTTTGTAAGGTTAACACAAAATAGGCGTAAACTACAGAAAACAAATATAATGTATTACAAACCATCATGGCGGTGATCCATATTACAGCATGTCCTATATCATAAGCATTTGTTAAAAATCTTGGGACTAACACTTGACTGCTTCCCACTGGGAGGTTCAAGCTTCTCAGAATTCTTGTAAATATCTTTTAAAAGAAAAAAATAAGTAAGGATATTTACAGGTATCAAAATAATTCTTTAGCTTAGTAAGTGCTGTATATTAGTGTTACTGAAGATATTTTCATTTTATCACAAGGGTTTTTAAGTGAAATTACATAGTATTTAGTAACTTGCTTTATTCTTCAAAAATTACATATAAATATCAACAGATGTGCTGTATGACACTCTGAGGTCAGAGGCACATGGACATAAAGCAGTTGTGTCCATGTATCCAAAGAACAGACAAATGTGATTATTTATGGCTAAATATAAAAAGACAAAAACATACTGTGGCTAAACATGAAATATTTTGACTTCTTTCTTGTCCCAAATGCACAAATAATTTTTCCTGAGCTCCTATTCCATGTCAAGCATGCACAACAGCACCAACCTAAATGCAAGTATCTTCTAGCAGAATGCTTTCCCTTTCAAAATTTTAATGGTGATTTGATTTTTCCCTAAGAATTTGTATTTTAGTCAATCACTTAACAATTATAATAAAATTAAATTTATATTCCAACTCTATCATTACCAATAGGTAGCGGCCCAAAGGTGGGGAGAAATGATTTCTCTTCCACAATTAGTTTCTAATGGCCAAACAACACAGGAAGACACCACAAGCAAAAGCAAACAGAGCATCTGCATCCAGCTACTCCCCAGCTTTGCTCTAATGTAAGTGTGTGCATCAGAATCACCAGGATATCCCCCACAAGCCCTACTCAAGCTCCACAGGTTATTCTACCACAGGTGAAATAGTACTGAAGACACACCTGGAACATCTAGCTTTATTTACTCTAAGAAAATATATACTGTGATCTAAAAAGTGGGCAGCACTGTAGAGGAGCAACCAAATACGGTACACAAAATCCATTGGAAGGTACAAATGTATGATGCTCTCGATAATATACTTAGTACTTTCCAAATTACTTTGACACTGATAGTTCATACCCTGCACAAGAAAACACATTTATGATACCTTAATATGGTCTAATTACCTTTTGAAAAGGTAATTGGACCCAGCCCTGTAAATTATTTATATATGTTTTTACTAATGATCAAAGAAAATTTTATGTGCCACTTGGAATTGGCATAGAAAAAACGTTTCTCCTTTACAACATAAAATTGTTGTTGGTGCTATCGTATTTATGTTCAAAATGTTTTTTTTTTTTTCCAGATGGAGTCAAGCTCTGTCACCCAGGCTGGAGTGCAGTACTGCAATCTTGGCTCACTGCAACCTCAGCCTCCTGGGTTCAAGAGATTCTCCTGCCTCAGCCACCCGAGCAGCTGGGATTACAGGCGCCTACCACCCCATGCCTGATAATTTTTTTCCCCAAAATGTTAATTACCTTTGGTACATATGGATCCCAATCTATGTACCCTATATTATCTGTAGCCAATCGAGCAAAGAGATTTACTAGTTGCTGAAAGTAAACAAAAAGGACAAAGTTAATATATTTGTTGTTATTGTTTAAGTGTCATAGTCACACCCCTCCTCCATTTGTTCTTTTTGGCAATCATTAGTGCAATCTACTTAAATAGATAGTTTATGACTTTGTTTTTTTTAAAACCTCCAAATTTAAATTGATTCATGTCACGCATTTAAAATCAGTTGCAGTTAAAATGCTTCTAAAAAGAAAAATGACAAAGCACCATCCACAATGAATATAGAAAAGGAAATTTTAATCCAACAAATATGCTGAAAATATCCACTATATGTCCAGCAGCATGATAGTACAGGTACCAAAGAAAACAATGGGATCTTACATTTCATGCATTTTACAATACATGCTTATACTCCTAAATATTGATAAAACCAAAATAAATGCATACTTTTGTTAGAATACAACAAATAATATAAAATTGAAAAGAAACTGATCATAACATGGCTAACAGCCAATCCTAAGGAACTTCAAGTTACTTACCAAATGATCTATTAATATTTATCTCCAAATTAAAAAAGTATGGGGGGGAAAAAAGAAAAAAAAAACTATAGGGGGGAAGAAAGGGAAAAAGGGATACTTACCCCCTCCCATTGTGGGAGATTTTGCACTGAAACCCAAAGGCCAATTAATTCATCAAACCAAAGTCTAAAGAAGAAAAATGTTGTTATGAATAGCAAGTGATTTTAAAGTGGTTCAATGCCAGCTATGCTTTGTCTTTTTTATAATCTATTATTCTTACTGATAACTACGTTAACTAGAAAAAACAATACTGAAGTTATAAACTTAATAAAACAAAGGGGTATTTCTTGTCTGAATATTCCTTTCCTAATTTATTTAAGAAATATGATCTCACAGATTAAACTTCTGCTTCATTACTAAGTACTGTCCATTCTTATTTAACAATTGTTTTCAATTTTCTACCTCCTTTTCCCTGCCCTTCTCCTTTTATCTGTTTTCCTGTTATTACCCCTTCTGACAATTTTTTCTTTCTCTTAATTTCTTAAAGCCCTCATCTTATTTGGGTGTCATCTCTTTACTTTCAATCTTACAACCGTTTTAGCCTTAACACACTTCAAGTATAATAAACTTGAAGTACAATAATGGCTGAACTTGCAAAATGATTTTTCTAGTTGTTATTGTTTTACTAGTTTCTTTATCTGTATTTCCTACCGTATTTTTAGAATTTGTCAAGATATGAACATACTTACTTAAAACCTTTATGATGAAGTTCTGGAGGAAGGGAGGTAGGAAGAAATATTTCAAAATAAGTGATGGCCTTTTGCATGGTTACATCAAAAGGGCACATTAAAGGTCGCCATTCTTCTAGCATCTCAGCGGTGGCATCTGCTGGAAAATATCTAATAAAAAAAGAAGGTTTTCATGTATCTGATTATTGGCTAAAAGCTCTACAACAGCAATATATATAACTGACCAAAAGGCTGGGGGAGGAGGAGAATATATGTCATAGCATGTAACACAGTCTACAAATGTCCAAACTAACACACATTTTCACAATACTAAAATAAATGCCCCAGTTGGGTGCAGTAGTTCATGCCTGTAATTCCAGAACTTTGGGAAGCTGAGGTCGATGGATCACTTGAGCCCAGGAGTTCAAGATTGGCTTGGGCAAAATGGCAAAACCCAGTCTTTACAAAAAATTTGCCAGACATGATGGCGGCGCACATCTGTAGTCCCAGCTACTCAGAAAGCTGGGGTTGGGGGATCATTAGAGCCCAGGAGATGGAGGTTGCAGTGAGCCAAGACTGCACCATTGCACTCCAGCCTGGGCAACAGAGTGAGACTCCATCTCAAAAAAAAAAAAAAATTCCCCATCATACTTGGGATAAAGTAAATTCTTCTCTTGTCTAAGGGAATTTTTCTAAACACTATGAAGTTGATAAAACTCAGATAAAATACAAGTCACTCAGTTACCTATAAAATTAAACAGAGTTTTTGTCTTACTTCCTTTGTGCTATGTAACAATTAAAAAAAAATCTTGTCAAAAAGAATCCAGTCTAAACAGGAAAAGGATTACCAGTAGACGAGAAAGAGAACATCAGTCCAGCAATCTCTAGGCATGTTGAATAAACCATTTACCTTCCTTGGAACACAGAGTCCTCCCCTATACGAGAAGACTAGATGATCTGGTCTACAGGCTGTGATATTCCATAACTGTATGATATGGACAGGAGTGTCCCTGGACAAAATTAAAATCCAAAGTGTGCATATACACACAAAATGAAGGTAAATAAAGAGGATACATGTAAAACTGCTAAATACACCTTAATGGGCTTTTTTTTTTTTTTTTTAAAGACAAGAGTCTCACTGTGTTTCCTAGGCTGGACCCAAACTCTTAAACTGAAGTGATCCTCCCACCTCAGCCTCCCAAGTAGCTGCTACTACAGGAGAGCACCACCGCACCCAGCCTTAAGAGGTTTAAAATACAAACAGCATATGAAAAATTCTGATTCTTTCCAAATAAGTTGGGAAACTCTTTCAAATAGACTTATAGGCTTGGCCCACACAGCATATTATTAATCCTACTATATCTTCATATACTTGTGTTAATTAAAATCATACTGCAATCTTCTATGTGAAAAATAAAATTATATTTCTAAGAATACTTCTGTTGAGTTCACAAAGCGTTTATGTGTCAGGTCCTTGTGTAACAGGTTGGAATTTTAAAAAAACAAAAACAAACTATGCTCCACCTTCAAAGATCTCACATATCAAGGATCAATTCTCCTTCTTAAGTTTTCTGATTCAATTGTTAACCCTGTAATCCAAAATAAAAACTTGGGAGTTCTATGAATTACCTATGAGCCAGTAAGTATTGAAGTGATAATCAAGTTTCCAGTGAGGAAACACAGGCCAAGAAGGTAACTGCCTCGCATAAAATGACACTGTTCATTGGTGGCTTATGACTCAGGGTGAACCTTAAGTTGCTTGAGAGACAGATATCTCATATTCCGAAAATACATTTGCCCAACATTGAGTAATACAGAAGGTCAGCAATAAATATCCGATTTATTAAATATGTATTTAAGATGAGTATTACAAGCATATAATACATGGCTTTTCACCAAAAAGGAGTCACTGATTCCATATCATCTAAACAGTCTTAGAATAACTTGATAACAACACAAAAAAAGTTCAAGTACGTAAAATTGAGCTTTAATTAATTAAAATTAAAGATAACCAAAAAAATTAAAATTAAATTTTATCCACACTCATCTTTGATCATATGAATATAGGATAATTGGCTGGGAGTGGTGGCTCACACCTATAATCCCAATGCTTTGGGAGGCCAAGGTGGGAGGACTGCTTGAGGCCAGGGGTTCAAGACCAGCCCGGGCAATACAGCAAGGCCCCACTCTCTACAAAAAATATTGAAATAAAAAGAAAAGAATATGGGATATTTAAATATTCTACAGAACATAGTTGAAAAAAGTTATGAACCACCTTCTTGGCATTACTCCTATTTTTTGTCTGAATAACAAATAACAATACTCTAGGAAATGCTTCCAAATAAAGATGATTTTATGTAAAGTATGGTATTCTTACTTTACAATGGATGACTTTAAAATTTCTAAATTTCTAAATGAAATCTGAGAAGTTCAGTTAATGAACTGGAAACGGTATGTTGTGCTCAGTGACTAACATCACAATGTCAGGAACTATTTATACTTTTCATTTCCTTTTCAAACCATACTAAAGATGTGGAAAAGCCCACAGAAACAACAAGAGGCTTTATAAATTGAGAAGCTACTTACGGTCGGCAGCTTTTCACGAGTGTTTTGAGAATATTTTCTACAGAACTGGGGGGGGAAAGCCATTTGATAATTAGATTGGTGTATTTTAAGAACATATCTAATTCAATTAATAAATATCTATAAGATAACCTCACACATTCAGGTATTATTTGTTTACATGTAATAATTGAGCCTTCCCTTTCATACAAACGGAACTGCAAGGATTAACTACCTAAACTCCTTAATCTACTCTTTCCTTTGCCCTCATTTCGCTGTCTCTGGTATGAACTAAAGGGAAAAAAAGGTTACACTGGGAAAAGAACAAATTGTTTTCAGTCTTTACAAGGTAGGCAGCAATGACCACACACCATATTTATCAACACAGTGGCTTAAAACTTCAAATAATTTTTACTAAAATACTTTTACATCAAAACACAAGCAGCAGACAGACCAAAATCTGGGTGTTTCCATCAGAAATTAGCTTTCACAACCAATTGATGAGAGTTCGATAACCCTCCCAGGCACTTTAAGGCCAGCAACAATTATCAAAAAGAACAATAGCATCTCTTTGAGCAGATACTTATAAAGTTAGTCGAGTAACATTAAAAATTATAACTTACTTTACAACATGTAGTTGCCTCAAGTGAATACAGGAGACCAACATAAAAATGTGTGTATGAATTTATAATCCACATTTCTTTTTTAATAAAAAGGCCAATGTGTACTGGTTTAAACACGTGACCAGAATGGAATATTTAAATATTTACTAGATCATAGTCAAGCGGTCAAATGCAAACAAACAATATAAACAATGGAGCACTAGATAATTTTGAGCTGGAATTTTAAAATACGTGTGTGACTACTTACAGTATGATATGTACAAGTAAAAATAAAATTCCCCAAATCTCAAAAAAATTTATATATATATAATATATATTTAAATATATATAATACATATTTAAATATATATAATACATATTTAAATATATATATAATACATATATAAATATATATATACATATATATATATATATATATATATATATATATATATATATATATATATGAAAGGAGTAAGTTTCAGGCAATGTCTCCACCTGACACTTTCTTATTAAGCTTTTTGAAATTCTTAAGTCCAGAAGTCTATCCAACTTCTCTGAAAGTTTAGGAACTAATCTGCAAAGAAATTCCAAGGAATAACAGAGAGCAAACTCATCACAAATAATCAACATATTATATAACCAAGAGAGGAAAACTATAATCTCATTACTTGGAGCAGTAGAAATCCTCTTTAATTTCAAAACTACTCAGAGAAAAATTAACTGAAGAGGCAACTAGATTACAACACATGAGATGACTTCTAAAATAAAAAAGAAACTACATGGCCAAAAGGCCATCAATAAGCACTGTCTCTGATCATGAGAGGGAGGTTCTTCTTTTTCTTATGAAAAGGCTAAGCAATTCAAAAACACAGTTTAGAGAAAATCTAAGTTTGCCCATTAAAAAAAAACAGGGCAAACTTCTATCCAACTACGTTTAAAGCTCCCTGAAGACCACAGCTATGATTTTTATTTCTGGGCACTTCCAAAGTGCTTATAAAAAGGCTATCTGCTCATATATATTTATACTTATCTGTCTATTGATTTGTAATAATAAACATTTTATATCAGAGTAACAAAAAGCACAGATCTTGGGTCTTCTTTTAGTAACAAAGTATAGAATTAACAGCTAAGGTTTAAAGAGTCATCTAGTTTTAAACTAAATTACTCAATTTAAATGAAGATTTTTAAAAGGTAATTCTAAAATTGTAAACTGTTTATCCATGAAAATGAGCATAAGATACATAATTCTATCAGTACTAATGCTTGTGTTCTCATTAATATTACATTTATTTTATTGGTTCTGCGCTACACAGAAAACCTGCTGTTTTCACATACGACCTTGCTATACCAATATACTTTCGCATAATGTCATAAACGATTCTAGAAAGCAAGTCATAAAAGGCTGCAAAGCTACATGTTTTCTTCAGTTCCCTTCACGCTTCAGAAGAATAGGAAGTTAATTATAACACTTGATAGAGTCACTTCACTTATTAGAGGATTAGGGTATGTGGGAATGCAATTTAGTTACTCTAAATAAAGTCAATTTCAACCCCTTCTTAAATATAAGGCCTGTACCATTGGATTTATGATGTTTATCCAGAAAAGGGTACAATCTCTCTAACCTGTGATATCTGTATAGTGACCTTTTGTGATTCTTGTAATCTCTCAAGATGAAGGGAACAATGTTTCTGTTTAAAAATAAAATAAAAGGTTAAGGCTAGATGCTACTAGACTACATTTCACTAATTTTTAGAGGGAGTGAATAATCACTAAATACTTTCCAACTGTTGGAAATGTATAATACTAAAGTGATAACAATTCAAAACACTTGTTTTTTTTTTTAAAATCAAAAGGGATCTACAGAGTAACTAAGCTTTGGATGGGTTTTCTTATACCCTATTTCCTCTTTAAAAAGATACATCAGGTTGAAAAAGAAAGCCACAGTAGTGCATATAATGGTTTACAGTTTGGCCTTAGAGTCAGACAGATCTTAATTTGAGTATCAGTTCTGCTACTTCCTAGTTATATTATAGCTGTTTTCTCATCAATATAAGCAATAATACCTACCTCTCATAAAGCTGTTACAAAAATTAAATGAGATAAGGTATAGAAAGCAGGTATACGGCCCAGAATTAAGGATAATAAATGTTAATTATTATTTCATACTTAGCCATAATAAATTGTATTCTCAATTTCCTTAAGAATTAAACTTTTGTGCTTATTTTGCTCTTACTGCCTCTGAGTAGCTACTAATTTATGATTTAGGAAATCACATCAAAATAGGAAATTCCTCCCCAACTGCCACCCTATTATTAAGGGTAAAAAGAGAGTTCTTGTCCCAGTTCTTAAGCTCTTGTTCCAGTTTCAACCAATGATTCTGTGTGAATTTTCCTCTCTGGACCTCGATTTCCTTATGATGCCATTAACAAAGTAAATGTCAAATACTAACAGATAAGCCTGAGGAAAACCAATAGTCTTCGCCTCCAGTTACTGAGACAGTGAACCATATAAACTTGCAGATTTATGCCTCCTGCCCCCTTGGCTCTACCAGGACAATATTCACTTCTAAACCAGGGAAAAGTATAGCAAATGATATATTCAAGATGAGAGTAAACTAGGCTGCTCATAGCCAGAAGTACTTGCAGCTTCACTTGACAGTTCTTGAACTAAAATTTAACTTCAGAATAATATTTGCTTTTTCATAAATGAACTGGTTTTAACTGTAATGATGGACTATTCTGTATATATCTGCCTTCATCCCTTTATAATTTAATGGTAACTGTTTATACAGTATTTCTTTTTCTTAAACCTGTGCCAGGCACTTCATCTAGAAGTCAGTTATACTTGCCTTCTCTACACCCAAACAAATCCACCGTAAGTTAGTTAGACATTATCCATCTCATATCTTATCTTCAAAATCTAATATTGATTGCTCAGTTAAACTAGTAAGTAGTCATTTTTCATTGCCACTTCACTCAAAATTAGGGCCAAGATAATTTCACCATAAAGAAAGGTATAAATACGCCAGGTGCAGTGGCTCATGCCTGTAATCCCAGCATTTTGGGAAGCCGAGGCGGGTGGATCACGTGAGGTCCAGAGTTCAAGACCAGCCTGGCCAACATGATGAAACCCCATCTCTACTAAAAATACAAAAAATTAGCTGGGTGTGGTGGCGCACACCTGTAATCCCAGCTACTCAGGAGACTGAGGCAGAAGAATCGCTTGAACTCGGGAGGCGGAGGTTGCGGTGAGTCCAGATTGTGCCACTGCACTCCAGCCTGGGCAACAACAGCAAAAAAAACTCCATCTCAAAAAAAAAAAAAAAAAAAAAGGTATAAATAATAAGTATAGCATTTTCCTTGCTGATGCACATTAACATTGACTTTTCATTAAAATTACTTTTAAAAAGTATACTTTTAGGGCAAGGGTTAGGAAATTATAATAATCCTTACCACTCATGTAAAAAGAGCATACATAATTGTTTTAAATGACAATAAGCCTGATCAACTTGAACTAAGTATTTTTTAAAATTGCTTTTAAAAGATCAGTTTTTAAAGAAAGAACACTGTAGCACAGAAACAACTTTTGTGAGAAACACTATCAAAATCATTAATAAAATCTGGTAAATTTTTTTTTTTTGAGATGGGTGTCTGGCTCTGTAGCCCAGGCTGGAGTGCAGTGGGATGATCTTGGCTCATTGCAGCCTCTGCCTCCCAGGTTCCAGTGATTCTCCTGCCTCAGCCTCCTGGGTAGCTGGGATTACAGGCATGCGCCATCACACCAGGCTAATTTTTGTGTTTTTAGTAGAGATGGGGGTTTCACCATGTTGGCCAGGCTGGTCTCAAACTCCCGACCTCAGATGATCCATCTACCTCAGCTTCCCAAAGTGCTAGGATTACAGGTGTGGGCTACCATGCCCAGCCGAATTTTGTTAAAATTTTAAATTTCCAAATAAAAGAATATTTTTTAAATAAATAGGATGTTCTCCAAATACTACATTAAAAAATAATTGTAAATATCATATTAATAATCGTGGTTTACAACCATAAAATCTTTTAAATTTCAACAAGTTTTAGGAGAAATTTTTCTCACCATTTGATTATCATATTAAATTTTGTAATTACATATCATCCATGAGCTGCTGGTAGTAATTTAAACTCCTAAGCATGGCCACATGTGCCAAGAAACCCCAAACAGAGGTCTGGAAAATGTCATTTCCATGTGGTGAGTGTGGGGAGCTGAGGACAAAGGATTTAACTGTATCTTAAAGAGCACCAATTCAAATAGCTCTTTAATAAATCAATAGAGAAACAAATGCCATAAACAAATACCAGAAAAATAAAATATCAAATTGGTTCTCCAGAGGCAGATTAATATGAAAAAAATGAAAATATAATACTATATGATACCCTTAGAACAATACATGTAAAAGAGAATAGATACTTTTAAAAATAAATTTTAAAAAGTAGTAAACAAGTTATGTAGGCCCAAGCTACTCATGATGCAAATATGAAAACCTTTACTACCACCCACAAAAACCAAATTAGTGGTAATACTAAATAAACAAATTTATACACATAGCAACTGAAATATGAATTGTTTGTGCCCATTTGTAAAAGCATACCTATGCATAATTCTCCCATATTTTGTTAGTAGCAACACCATTAGTATGTTGCCTATACTATAACTTGCAATATGCTACTCAAAGTAAGTGTATGGGACATTGTTTTATAAAATAAAACCATGTCCATAAGATTCAAAAGCTTCATTTATAAAGTAAATAATAATTCTTATATCGCTAACAATTAGTTCACACTCATCTCCTTTCCAATTTTACTTCTTCTATTGAATAAAAAACACTACCAATTCTTTCTCCAGTAGAAAGTAGACTGAGATGAGGATAAAGAGACTAAAAAGGGTCTTTTGTCCTAGAGGCAAAAAGACAGACAGAAAGCTAGAAGGAGGAAGGAAGAGAAGAAAAGAGGGAAACAAGGATAGGAAAGGGGATGAAGAGAGGATGGGAAAGGTAAAGAGGAAGGGAAGAGAGGAAAGTTGATAATCTTTGCTTCAAACAATAGAACTAGCTTTTAAAATCATGTTGAAACACATGCCGCTCTAAGCAGTGATTTCAATAAGGACTAAAACATAAGGCACATGAGTTTAAAATTTGAAAGACAGTTAACAAATTAAGCAATCTTTCACTTTTGATTATAAAAATAGCATTCTAAAAATAGTATGAACACATGTAGTCAGCTGACAAAACTGTTTCAAAATGTGGCAGAATATATCTAAGAAGAAAAAACTCAAAATTGTCACAGTGTAGGTAATGAGTATAGGTAGGTTATATGATTTATAAATTTTATTTTAGAATAATTACAATTACAAAATGAAATGCTGAGTCTGTTAAGAGTTGAGAGTCAGTGCTGTGTTTCAGTCACAACGTCTCTTCAAAAGATCAAGAACAGCCATGGTAAAACTTTTAAGGACAAGGATGATGTGACACTTTAGGAAGAGACATGGTAAACATAATCAATAAGCACTGACTGACCAATACTAATAGAAAATTTCCAGACAAACAGCTCTTATCACTGAAGAGGAAAGCCATAGATACTTATTAATGACCACAAAGGACTTTAAAAGCAGCATGTGCCTTTGCAAAGGTAGACCCTTAAGGCAGGAAAGTAGGACGCTTGGTTATGAAGCAGCAAGAAGGCATACTGAAGAACAGGGTATCACTGAAGAAACCGCCTTACCTCCTCCTTTCATTTACAAAATACTTTCAGAAGCAGCCAAAATTATCAGCAAGAAACATCTCAGAAGGATAACTGATCTGAACACAGTTCAAAGGTCCCTGAGATCTATGAAATAGTGAAGCCTGTCTATGGCCATACCACCCTGAATGTGCCCAATCTCATCTGAAATGGTGAAGCCAGTAAGAAATTCCCTGACCTCTTATTTAAAGAAGACTCAGTCAAACCAGTATAGGTCATGGTCCCTGTGGCAAAAATAACACCCAAAAGGAATATTTACAATCAAAGCTTTTGTATTCAATTTTGAGTTTTCTTAAAAAATACTGGGGCCAGGTGTAGTGGCCCATGCCTGTAATCCCAGCACTTTGGGAGGCCAAGGCGGGAGGATCACTTGAGCCCAGGAGTTCAAGACCAGGCTGGGCAACACAGTGAGACCCTGTGTAGAGACCCTGTCTCTACAAATAAAAAATTTTAAAAATTAGCCAGGCATGGTGGCACACGCCTGTGGTCCCACCTTCTCAGGAGGCTGAGGCGGGAAGACTGCTTGAGCCCAGGAGGTCAAGGCTGTGGTGATGCAAGATCTTGCCACTGCACTCCAGCCTAGGCAACAGAGCAACCCTGAAAAAGGAAGGAAGGAAGGAAGGAAGGGAGAGAGGAAGGGAGGGAGGGAGGAAAACCTAACAAATATTGGTAAAAGCATACTTGCACAATGCACTATTCTATTTCGTGATAAAATTTGCTATTTTTATGGTTGAAATGAGTTTCCTTGTTTTAACACATGAAACTTTCAAGAAATAAATGACTTCTAACCACCTTACTTGTGCAAAACTGTCCAAAAACCAATTAGGACCTAAGTTGAAGATCATGTTTTACCTCTTCCACTTACACCATTTCACATTTGCCATCTGCACTCATTTTCAAAAAATTCTATGGTAAGGGACAAAGACTGTTGACCTAAGTAAAGGCTGAGGGTTAATCATAGATTAAATGAATTTAACAAGACATAATGAAATAATGTAGACATGCCTAAGACTGAGAGAGAAAACTGCAGAAGTCTTTAAAGACTTAATTTATAAAAAAGAAAAAGGAAATTAATACAGGCATAGAGAATGGTGCTCTTCAAGAAATGAGTACACAGGCTGGGGGTGGTGGCTCACGCCTGTAATCCCAGCACTTTGGGAGGCTGAGGCAGGGGGATCACGAGGTCAGGAGATAGAGACCATCTTGGCTAACATGGTGAAACACCGTCTCTACTAAAAACACAAAAAAATTAGCCGGGCGTGGTGGTGGGCACCTGTAGTCCCAGCTACTCGGGAGGCTGAGGCAGGAGAACGGCATGAACCCTGGAGGTGGAGCTTGCAGTGAGCTGAGATCGCACCACTGCACTCCAGCCTGGGCGACAGAGCGAGACTCCATCTCAAAACAAAACAAACAAAAACACTGAAGAGGCCAGGCGTGGTGGCTCATGCCTATAATCCCAGGACTTTGGGAGGCCAAGGCAGGCAGATCACCTGAGGTCAGGAGTTCGAGACCAGCCTGGCCAACATGGCGAAACCCCATCTCTACTAAAAATACAAACATTAGCTGGGTATGGTGGTGCATGCCTGTAATCCCAGCTGCTCGGGAGGCTGAGGAACGCGAATCACTTGAACCCGGGAAGTGGAGGTTGCAGTGAGCTGAGATCACACCACTGCACTCCAGCCTGAGCGTCAGAGTGAGACACCATCTCAGAAAAAAAAGAATGATAAGCCAAACGTGCTAAAACTGAGAAAATTTAAAGCTAGACCACAACTGGACAGAAATGATACCTGTCAGTCTAGTATGAAATCACTATTAACCAAAAAAGGGCAGATGATATTTTATTATATAAACTCAGAATAAAATATAAAACCAAAAATTAGCTATCAAAGAGGCAGGATGTAGGTGCAAGAAGTCAATGATCTGCAAGAGAGATGCAGCCTCAGATACAGTTTATAGAGGGCAATGAATTGTTTCAGGAGTCAAATTACACAGAAATAGGCACATTAAAATATCTGCTTGTTTCTTTCAAACAACTCAATATTTTTCAATCATGATCACCCCCCTAAAAAACCCCAAGTACTCCCAAATAAGTGCTTTAAATGGAAATACTTACTTAGGAAACCAATTTAATCCTAGGTGCTCTGTCTTGGAATATAATATTCTTTCTACCATGTCATAAAGTGGTCTCCAGGGTAACTCCAAATCAGCTCTTGAAAGAAGTTCCTTTTTCCTAAAAAGTAAAATAAAATAAATACCTATGTATGCATATGTGCACAGATGTGTGTATACCACAAATACTACACAGGGACAGTTAAACATTGCTGCTCATCACCATGGGTTTTGCTTTCCCCATCCATGGCCACTCACTAGCAGAACATAGTATTAAGAAGAATAATGCACCCAATTCTTGCTGCTGCTCAAACCTCAAAGAGCAGCAGATAAAAGAGGGCATTTAAATTTGTGTCGCCATTATTGTGGATGAATTTCATGTTTTCCCACACTATGGAATATTTAATGTTTCCAGCATTGAGTTGGATGCTTCAGGGTAAGCAAAAGAATCCATGATCTTTGTCTTGTCTTCTCAAGGGACTTAACAACCTATAAAAGGGGAAGTTCAATGGGTGCTAGAGAAGAGACCATGTCATGGAAGAGATGGAATTTTAACTAAAAGGTTAACTGACACATTTGATGAAAATTAAGATAATGTTTTTTGCAATCATTTTCCAAATTGGCAATTTGAGACTTGGTCTTCTTACCAAAAACACTTAGTCCTCATTCCCTAAAACCCTGAAGAAACAAACAAACCTTAACAGAAACCTCTGGAAAAAGACTTACTTTAACAAGTTGATCAAAAGGCGGGCAAATCCCTGCATCATGCTGATTTCCAGTTTTGGAATTGATACCAGCTCATACAATAACTTAATAAAAAGAACATGATCTTCTTTGCTAAATTTTCTCCCATAAAGTCGAATATATCTGCAAGAGAAAAATAGATATACCCTTTAAAAATAGGTATGATGACACATCCATGTTCAATGCAGCATTATCCATAGAAGCCAAGATGTAGATGCAACCTGAATGGCCACAGAAGGATGAATGGATAAGGAAAATGTGGCATATACAACACAATGGATTATTGTCTTTTTTTTTTTTTTTTAACATTTCATGGAAAACTTTTTATTGGTTTTCTGGATAGAAACAGGAATTTATTTGCCAGGAAGAATGATCCCATCATACTTCAGCTAGAACCAGTGATGAGGATGATTCAGTCTTAAAAAAGAAGGAAATCCAGTCATAAGCTACAGCATGTATGAATGTTAAGTGAAATACGCCAGTCACAAAAGACAAATACTGTGTAGGTATCCAAAGTAATCAAACTCATAGAAACAGAAAGTAGAATACTTGCTGCCAGGGGTTGCAAGGACCAGGAAATGGAGAGCTGTTATTCAATGGGTATAGTTTCAGTCAAGTAAAATAAAAGAAGTTGTACAACAATGTATATATGGTTAACAATACTGTATTGTACAGTTAAAAATTAAGATAAACTTGATACTTATTTTTAATGACAATTTTTAAAAATAGGTGTGGTAACAATTTCAAATGTCTTTGATGGTTAACTATTTTATATCTATTCTCACTATTATGCAGTAAAAAATTGTTCTGTACTTCAATTGAGACATAACCAGGCCAGGCAAAGTAGTTCATGCCTGTAATCCCTGCACTTTGAGAGGCTAAAGCAGGAGGATCACTTGAACCCAGGAGTTCAAGACCAGCCTGGGCAACGTAGCAAAACCCAGTCTCTACAACAAATACAAAATATTAGCCAGGCATGATGGCGTGCGCCTGTGGTCCCAGTTACTCGGGTCGGGGGCTGAGGTGGGAGGATCACTGGAGCCCAGGAAGTCAAGGGGGCAGTGAGCTGGGATGGCGCCACTATGCTCCATCTAGCCTAGGCGACAGAGTGAGATCTTGTCTTCCAAAAAAAAAAAAAGGAGATTGCCAAATAAGTATCTTATGGTAACTGAGTTATCATCAATATCTAATGACCAATTAAAACACTGCTCTCTTATTGTAAACAAGTTACATAACTTGTACTATTTGTTTCTAACAGTTAACTTATAATTACAATACAATTAGGTTATACCAAAAATAATTTAATATTTTATCCAAAATTACATTTTTAATTTCTAACTATAAACAATGTAATCAAAAGCATTAACTTTAAGCAAATTTAAGAAAAAGGTGTCCCAATGGCCAGGCACAGTGGCTCACGCCTATAATCCCAGCACTTTGGGAGGCCGACGTGGGTGGATTACCTGAGGTCAGGAGTTTGAGACCAGCCTGACCAACATGGAGAAACCCCGTCTCTACTAAAAACACAAAATTAGCCAGGCGTGGTGGCACATGCCTGTAATCCCAGCTACTAGGGAGGCTGAGGCAGGAGAATTGCTTGAACCTGGGAGGCGGAGGTTGCGGTGAGCCAAGAGTGTGCCGTTGCACTCCAGCCTGGGCAACAAGAGAGAAACTCCGTCTCAAAAAAAAAAAAAAAAGAAAAGAAAAAGGTGTCCCAAAACCCAAGAACAACAAATCAGAGTATATTTAAGAATTCAGAAGTAACTGATCCAAATAAATTACTGTAGACTTAAAATCATAAAACCCCTGGAGGAGGGTCATTTTATTAAATATGTAAGTCAACGGGAAAAAGAGCATTAGTATTCCTCGTAAGATCTTTAACACTCCCCCAGTACCTGAGATCAAATAAAACTTACATTTAACTTCTTTTTTTTCCCCCCAAGACACAGTCTTGCTCTGTCACCCAGGCTGGAGTGCAGTGGCCTGATCTCAGCTCACCGCAACCTCTGCCTCCTGGATTCAAGCAATTCTCCTGCCTCAGCCTCCCCAGTAGCTGGGATTACAGGCGCCCAACACCACGCCCGGCTAATTTTTGTAATTTTAGTAGAGATGGGGTTTCACCATGTTGGCCAGGCTGGTCTCAAACTCCTGACCTTGAGATCCCCCCTGCCTTGGCCTCCCAAAGTGCTGGGATTATAGGCGTGAGCCACTGCGCCCAGCACTTACATTTAATTTCTAAAGTTAGGGCATCTAACTGCTTTTTTATCTTCCAGAAATTCTTCAAAATTCTTGGTTCATTAACTCATTTTTATTTTCTCAAGCTGGTCTGAATTTATTCAGCTCTTTTCTGTCATTTCAAGGTATAATCCCATGATCTCACATTAGTACTATGAGACCAGCAAATATAGAGGGAGGAGCAATGAGACGTGAGATCTTGTTTTGGTTCTGCCAGTACAGGTTGAATACCTTTAATCCGAAAATCCGAAACCCTCCAAAATCCAAAACTTTTTGAGCAACAACATGACACTCAAAGGAAATGCTCATGGAGTTTTCCAATTTCTAATTTTTGGATTTGAGATGCTCAATCGGTAAGAACATAATGCAGATATTATAAAACCTCAAAAAATCCAAAATCCTAAACATTTCTGGTCCCAGAATTTCAAATAAGGGATACTCAAAATAATTATTATGAAAGTTTCTTAAACACCCTAAAATGGTAACGCACGTAGATTAGTGAAGACAAAAGATCCTACACCCAAATATATTATTATTTTGGGCTGTTGAATAAGCATAATGATAGAGCCTTCTGATGCCTCCCTCAATTTCACTCTAAATTTAGGAGCAAAAGCTAGAATCATTAAAATGTTATTTTAAATGAACACAAACATCTCCCTAAAAACTGGAACACATTTTTAAGATAAAGACAGAAGACATCAAAGAAAAATTCCCTGCTTTCAGTGGCTGCTTCAGGCCTTGTCAATATTCCAGATACCAGCCAGGCGTGGTGGCTCATGCCTGTAATCCCAGCACTTTGGGAGGCCGAGGTGGGCAGATCACGTGAGATTAGGAGTTCGAGACCACCAGCCTGGCCAATATGGTGAAACTTTGTCTCTACTACACACCTGTAATCCCAGCACTTTGGGAGGCCGAGGCAGACGGATCACGAGGTCAAGAGATGGAGACCATCCTGGCCAACATGATGAAACCCCTGTCTCTACTAAAAATACAAAAATTAGCTGGGCATGGTGGTGCGCGCCTCTAATCCCAGCTACTCGGGAGGCTGAGGCAGGAGAATTGTTTGAACCTGGGAGGCGGAGGTTGCAGCTGAGCCGAGATGGTGCTAGAGTTCTCCAGCCTGGGCAACAGAGAGAGACTCAGTCTCAAACAAACAAACAGAAAGATTCCAGATGCCCCTGGAGTCATGCATTCATTCTCCCCTGTGGTTAGGATACTTCTGCAGAAAAACTAGAGAAACACTGTACTCTAAGCCAGCAGTCCCCAACCTTTTTGGTACCAGGGAGAATCTCATAAGGAGTACACAACCTAGATCCCTTGCACGGGCAGTTCACAATAGGATATGAGCTCCTATGAGAATCTAACATCATGGCTAATCTGACAGGAGGTGGACCTCAGGCGGTAATGCCCAATCGCCTGTCCACTGCTCACCTCCTGCTGTGCAGCCCGGTTCCTAACAGGCCACAGACCCATACCAGTCCCTGAGCTGGGGGTTGGGGGACCCCCTGCTCCAAGCCACTGAAGTAACTTAGCTACAGCCCATTGTTTTCATTGCAGTAGACAGACAACTGTATATTTAACATTAGTTAGGGACATAAAATTAACAAAGCTCAAATTTTAATACTATAAAAAGAGACCAACAGGGGGATTCCTGGAAAGCCTAGGGCTGCTGACAAATCTAAAGATTCTGGAGGGACTCCTCAGAAAGCTTCTATTTCCCCCAGTTCCTCGCCAACCAGCAAGTGGTTCTTATCTCAGCATTTATCAAAATATGGTGCAAGAGATTTGTTTTAAAAGGGCACAAAAGTTCTAACTATAAAAAGAAAATTAATAAATTGGTCTTTATCATAAATAACTTCTAGTCACTATAAGACACCATTAAAAGTAAAAAGCCCAGAAATACATATATTTGACAAAGAACTCATATCCAAATTACTAGTAAGAAAAAGACATAATCCAATTAAAAATGGGCAAAAAGGCTGGGCGTAGTATACCTGTAATCCCAGCACTTTGGGAGGCGAAGGCAGGAGGATCAATTGAGATCAGGAGTTCAAGACCAACCTGAGCAACATGGTGAAACCCCATGTCTATTAAAAAAAAAAAAAAAAAAAAGAAAAAGAAGAACTATGCAGGGTAACTTTTAAAATGCATTATTCTTGGGATCCAAAAATCCTAGGAATATTAAATCTCAGTAAAGCTGTTTGTCTTTTTTTTTTTTTAAGGTGAATGAAAAATAAATTCCTGGAGTGCTAGAGTGCAGACTACCAATCTTCATTTTTTAGACTACTCTGGTTTGACTTTCCTGTAAGCTTAAGTTCAAAAACCCTACTTTAGACTGTATCTACAGATGGTGCATTCCCTCTTTCCAGTTAATTTTCACATTAGGTTTTAGGACTAATGATTACTATTAGGTGTCCCAAAATAACTGAAAACCCTGGTAAACAGTCACGATTGAACGTGATTGATATAGAATATTTCTTTCAACCATCCAGAATATATGGATAACAAGTCATTTTGTTCCATCCTCCCACAGGGGAAGAACAAAAAAGAGTAAAAGATAATACAATAGCATTTCCAGCCGCTTCCTCCTCACAGCCCTACAGTGTATTAATCAAATGATTTAATTTTTAATCATAAGAAAGACAGTGGGCTGGCCGGGCGCGGTGGCTCACGCCTGTAATCCCAGCACTTGGGGAGGCCGAGGCAGGCAGATCACGAGGTCAGGAGTTCGAGATCAGCCTGACCAACACAGTGAAACCCCATCTCTACTAAAAATACAAAAATTAGCCGGGTGTGGCGGCACGCGCCTGCAAACCCAGCTACTCGGGAGTCTGAGGCAGGAGAATCGCTTGAACCCGGGAGGCAGAGGTTGCAGTGAGCCAAGATCTCGCTGCTGCACTCCAGCCTGGGCAACAGAGGGAGACTCCATTTCAAAAAAAAAAGGAAAGAAAGAAAGACAGTGGGCTAGGCGCCATGGCTCATGCCTGAAATCCCAGCATTTTGGAAGGCAGAAGCAGGAGAATCACTTGAATCCAGGAGTTCAAGACCAGCCTGGGCAACAGAGTGAGACCCTCATCTCTATTATACATATTTAAAAATGTAATAATAACAAATTAATAAAAATCCTTCATCTAGCAATACTATCTTGAGTAAATAATTCAGGTCAGGTGTAGTGAGTCACACTTGTAGTCCCAGCACTTTGGGAGGCCGAGGCAGGCAGATCACTTGAGGTCAGGAGTTCAAGATCAGCCTGGCCAACATGGCAAAACCTCCACCTCTTCTAAAAAATACAAAAATTAGCTGGGCGTAGTGGCAGGCGTCTGTAGTCCCAGCTACTTGGGAGGCTGAGGCAGAAGAATCAGTTGAACCCTGGATGTGGAGGTTGCAGTGAGCCAAGACTGTGCCACTGCACTCCAGCCTGGGTAACAGAGAGACCTGTCTCAAAAAAAAAAATAACAATAATAATAATAATTCAGAATATCAAAGTCAAAATGCCAAAATGAGCGAGACACTGTGGCTCACGTCTATAATCCTAGCACTCTGGGAAGTTGAGGAGGAAAGATCACTTGAGGACAGGAATTCAAGACTAGCCTGGGTAACAAGGAGACCCCGTCTCTATAAAAAAAATCGCCAGGTGTGATGGCACGTGCCTGTAGTCCCAGCTACTTGGGAGGCTGAAACACGAGGAGCATCTGAGTCTGGGAGGTTGAGGTTGCAGTGAGCCATGATCTTGCCACTGCATTTCAGCCTGGGTAACAGAGCAAGACCCTGACTCTCCAAAAATAAAAAATTTTTAAAAGGCCAAATGCACATATGTAATTTCCAAAATTTCCTGAAAAAAAATCTATAAGTCTAGTATGAGAATGGCTTGTTAAAGTGTGGCTTATTCCTTTAGACTAAGCTTGTCCAACCGATGGCCCAGGATTGTTTTGAATGTGGCCCAACACAAATGCATAACTTTCTTAAAACATTTAGGTTTTCTGCAATTTTTTAAAGCTCATCAGCTATCATTAGCGTTAGTATATTTTATGTGTGGCCCAAGACAATTCTTCCAATGTGGGCCAGGGAGGCTAAAAGATTAGACACCCATGCTTTAGACTATAATGCAGTCACTTAAAATTGTGTTTTCAAATAACCTTTAGTAGAATATGGAACGGAATATAATATTTATAAAGCAAGGCTCAAAACAAATATATATAACTAAATAAAAATACATAATCATTCAAGGAAAAAGAAACAAAACAGGCCCAGCACAGTGGCTCATGTCTGCAATCCAAGCACTTTCGGAGGCCACGGCAAGCAGACTGCTCGAGTCCAGGAGTTTGAGACCAGCCTGGGCAACACTGCGAGACCTCGTGCCTACAAGATATACAAAAATTAGCCGGGCGTGATAGCGCATGTCTGTAGTCCCAGTAACTCAGGAGGCTGAGGTGGGAAGATTGGTGGGGCCTGGGAAGCGAAGGTTGCAACGTGCCAAGATCGTGCCACTGCACTCCAACCTAGGCAACAGTGAGACCTTAGTCCCCAAAAAAACCAAAACAAAACAAAAAAAGAAAAAAGTAGATACCATAAAATAGTCTCTCTGGGAGCCAGGTACAGTGGCTCACGCCTATAATCCCAGCACTTTGAGAGACTGAGACAGGCAGATGGTTTAAGCCCAGGAGATCGCTTGAGCCCAGGAGCTTGAGACCAGCCTGGGCAACATAGCAAAACCACATCTCTACAAAAAATTTAAAAATTAAAAACAAAACAAAACAAAACAAAAAACCTACCTCTGGGTGGTAAAACTGAGAAACTTTTTTGTGTTTTTCAAAACACATTTTCAGTTTTTTCACTTTCTAAAAGTAAATAGGCTGGGCCTGGTGGCTCAGGACTATAATCCCAGCACTTTAGGAGGCCAAAGCAGGAGGATCACCTGAGGTCAGGAGTTTGAGACCAGCCTCGTCAACACGGTGAAACCCCGTCTCTACTAAAAATACAAAAAATTAGCAGGGCATGGTGGTTAGTGCCTATAATCCCAGCTACTCGGGGGGCTGAGGCAGGAGAATCGCTTGAACCCGGGAGGCGGAGGTTGTAGTGAGCCGAGATCACGCCACTGCACTCCAGCCTGGGTGACAAGAGCAAAACTGTCTCAAAAAATAAAAATAATAATAATTTAAAAAAGTAAACAGGAATTATTATTCTATATATTTTTTGAGATGGAGTCTCTCTCTGTTGCCCAAGCTGGAGTGCAGTGGCCCAATCTCAGCTCACTGCAACGTCCGCCTCCCAAGTTTAAGCGATTCTCCTGCCTCAGTCTCCCAAGTAGCTGGAATTACAGGAGCCCACCACCATGCCTGGCTAATAGGAATTATTTTTATAATTAGAATTAACAATGAAAAAATTAATATCAAAGTTCTAATGTAAAATACAATGTTTAAAATCAGATAATCAATATTTCTGCATTTCTGTGTATTATCTTAATTTAAATGTCCCTTATCAAAGGCTACTTAAATAACGTCTTAAGAGTCAACTTGAATAGGTTTCTCACCAATCAAAAATGAAAAGGGTGTGAATCAAGGTAATTGCAACTGATATGTTTAAAACCATTGAGTTCATGAAAAATATCAAAACAAAACAAAACCTCACAGGCCACATCTTTCAGGAATGCCAGAGAACCAAGTCATTAACTTAAAAACTGGTAAATGAAGGGGAACAATTAAGCTTTACCCTGCCACTCCTACAGGCACTCAGGATAAACAACATTTCATGAGGAAAAGTTCTTTAGAGCAGTGGTCCCCCAAACTTTTTGGCACTTAATTTTAACACACAGAAAGGACCGGTTTTGTGGAAAACAATTTTTCCACAGATGGCGGGGGTAGTTTTGGGATGATTTGAGGACATTATATTTATTGTGCACTTTATTTCTATTATTATTAAATTGTAATATATAATGAAACAATTACATAACTCATCATAATGTAGAATCAGTGGGAGTCCTGAGCTTATTTTCCTGCAACTTAGATGGTCCCATTGGGGGGTGATGGGAGACAGTGACAGATCATCAGGCACAAGATTCTCACAAAGAGCACACAACCTAGATCCCTCTCATGTGCAGTTCACAACAGGGATTGTGCTCCTAAGACAATCTAATGCCACCACTGATCTGAGAGGAGGCAGAGCTCAGGCAGTAATGTGAGCAATGGGGAGGGGCTATAAATTCGGCTCAGTACAGTTACTTACAGGCCACAGCAGATTAACAGTACGTGGCCTGGGAGATGGAGACCCCTACTTTAGAGATTCCCACCAAATAAGCAGAGTAAAATGTTTAAGTATCACCATTTTGGAATCCCTAGCGATGTAAAATGGCTACTAATATCATCAAGAAGTAAGACATTATGCATCTCCTGATGACAGTATATAGTACCACTTATTGCACAGTCTTCAGAAAGCAAAACTTTATGTGCTTAATAATGGTAACAAAATATTGTGTGAGACAAATACGAACACTTTGAGCTTACAAAAACTATGTTCACTTTTCAATCTCCTGTGGAACACACATAAAAACTTGTTGGCCAGGAGCAGTGGCTCACTTGAGGTCAGGAGTTCGAGACCAGCCTGACCAACACAGAGAAACCCTGTCTCTACTAAAAATACAAAAATTAGCTGGGCATGGTGGCACACGCCTGTAGTCCCAGCTACTCAGGAGGCTGGGCCAGGAGAATTGCTTGAACTAGGGAGGCAGAGGTTGCAGTGAGGCAAGATCGCGCCACTGCACTCCAGCCTGGGCGACAGAGAAAGACTCTGTCAAAAAAAAAAAAAAAAAAAAAAATTAGCCGGGCATGGTGGCGTGCACCTGTAATCCCAGCTACTCGGGAGGCTGAGGTGGGAGAACTGCTTAAACCCAGGAGGTGGAGATTGCAGTGAGCTGAGATAGCACCGCTACACTCCAGGCTGGGCCACAGAGTGAGACTCCATCTCAAAAAAAACAAAAAAACAAAAAAACAAAAACTTGTCATAAACTAAGCCACAAAAAAAACCTCACTTATTTTTAACACATAGACATCATTCTGTCCAATCTGATTATGATACAGTGTAAATCAGAAAATACTAATGGGATTATAACCAAGAGAAACCAAATCCATTTGAAAACACACACGAGTCTTAATTAAACAGTCAATATCAGACTTTAAGGCATTCCTCTCCCAAGAGGCGCTTCCTTTAAAGTCAGATTCAGGACAATAATGACTATTCTTACCATTATGATTCAGCATTATTCTGAATCTAGATCAAAAGAATAGGTAACAAAAATTAGGGTAATTATTTCAGGTAAGGTGGAACTAAAAGTATGGTGTCAATGCTATGATTATACCTAAAACATCTGAAACAACTTAAAAAAAAAACACTTTTAGACTAAACTTTAAAATCTACTGAATACATATTTAAAAAAAAAAAAAAAGTCAGGAGCCTTCCTGTATAGCATCCAGATAAAAAGTAACAGTGTTGACGGAAGATTGTTCCATTCAAATTACCAACAAAAAAATTAATTGAAAATTTCTCAAAGAGAAATATGCAGGAATTACATGTTAAAACTTTACTAAAATGTAAAATATTTAAACAAATGGCGAGAAATAAGGACTTTTTAAAATGCCACTTAAGAGCTGGGCGTGGTGGCTCACACCTTATAATCCTAGCACTTTGGGAAGCCAGGGCAGGTGGACTGCTTGAGCCCAGGAGTTTGAAGCTAGCCTGGGCAACATGGCAAAACCCTATCTTGACTAAAAATACAAAAATTATTTTGTATTTTTTACTGATTATTGTATTTTTTATTTATTAATTATTTTGTATGTACAGGTGGTGTGCACCTGTAGTCCCAGCTATTTGGGAGGCTGAGGCAGGAGAATCGCTGGAACCCAGGAGGCAGAGGTTGCAGTGAGCTGAGACCATGCCACTGTACTACAGCCTAAGTGACAGAGCGAGACTCTGTCTCAAAAAAAAGAGGGGGGAAAAAAAGCTGCTTAATCCCTGACAGCTAGGGCTAAATGACAAATATTTTACAGCAAGGAAAACTACCATGACCCATGAGATCTCTGAACGACCCCCTCAATTAATTTCAGGCAGTAACTTCAACTCCTGCCCACCCAAAATAAACACTTCACCATAGCTATATCAGTTCCAGTCTTTTCCTTCTCTTTCCAAGGTTTCACCATATAGAAATAACAAAAAAGAGAGGTAAAAGTAGCAGAGAAAACTAAGGGATCAGGAACAAATTACTGTGATTTTATTCCAAGACTAAGTCCTTCATCATTACATATAATATTAAAAATGTAGATAAAGCTTCTCACTGCCAGAAACACTGAGTGAACAAATAAGAGGAAAGGTTTTTTCATAAACTCACCTCCCCTATTTTCAATTACCTGTATATTCAAAAAGCATTTCTAGAGCAAACAACACATACAAGACAATAATGACTCAAACAGTTCCTTTGGGCCAACAACTCGCAATCAAATAAGACAGTCAGATATGACATTCCAAGTACCTGGAAGACGAAACATGTAAAAGTGAAATAAAATAAAGCATTAACAGATTTTTGTGGATTGATTTTTTTAGCCCAATTTTCATCATATATTAAGTGGTCATTGACTTTGAAAGTTTAGAAAGCTGTCATCACTTAAGTTATACCCTGAAGAGGCAACCTGAGGTCAAAATAATCTGACCATCTGCAGAATTAAGAGTCATAGGAGGCCAGGCATGGTGGCTCACGCCCGTAATCTCAGCACTTTGGGAGGCTGAGGCAGGTGGATCACTTGAAGTCAGGAGATCCAGACCAGCCTGGCCAACATGGCGAAACCCATCTCTACTAAAAATACAAAAATCAGCCAGGCATGGTGGCGGGCGCCTGTAATCCTAGCTTCTTGGGAGGCTGAGGTGGGAGGATCACTTGAACCTGGGAGGCGGAGGTTGCAGTGAGCCAACATCAGGCCGCTGTACTCCAGCCTGGGCAACAGAGCGAGACTCCATCTCAAAAAAAAAAAAAAAAAAGGCACAGGAGACAGCTCTAGCTAGAGGAGCAGATTAAGAATGCATATTTCGGTGGCAAGGAGAAATAACAGAATAAAATGTTGTAAGTTTCTATTCTAGTTTGCTTTGCAACTAACATAATCAACTCTGGATATAACATTTATTGATTTCAACCAGTAGCCAAGTAAGCAGGAACAGCATGGTTCTACAACTCTGTTAAGAACTCAAACTGCTCTGTCAGTCCCTTGGGGAAGTCATTTAATCTCCATAAAATCTGGCTTTCTTCACAAGGCTATGGTGACAGACTGATAAACGTACATGAAAGATGCTATAACTTAACGGTTCTTCAGTGGGGCTCTGGGTACCAGTTGCTTTTGAATTTTTTTTTATGTTCCACAGATGTATCACCTGGTTTGAAAACCACTGGACTGGCCAGGCGCGGTGGCTCATACCTGTAATCCCAGCACTCTGGGAGGCCAAGGCAGGCGGATCACGTGAGGTGAGGAGTTCGAGACCAGCCTGACCAACATGGAGAAACCCAGTCTCTACTAAAAGTACAAAACTAGCTGGGCATGGTGGCGCATGCCTGTAATCCTAGCTACCCAGGAGGCTGAGGCAGGAGAATCGCTTGAACCTGGGAGGCAGAGGTTGCAGTGAGGCAAGATGGTACAATTGCACTCCAGCCTGGGTGACAGAGCAAGACTCAGTCTCAAAGAAAGAGAGAGAAGAAATGTTAAGTGTAAACCAAATACAGAAGTAGTCAACCTCAAGGTTCCAAATGGGAATATTTATAGTATGTGCTGCTTTTAACATTCCAATAGAGGTCTCAATGAATGTAGAGGTTTTCTGTTGCTGTTGTTGTTTGCTTACCGTTTTTACTACCATGCTCTCAGTTTGGTGTTCATATAGAATGAGATTTTGATCTAATTTTCTACAAAGGTTAGACAGAAACATAGATTAGGATTTTTGTATTTGAAAAGGAGGGAAGAGGCGCTAGGTGCAGTGGCTTATGCCTGTAATCCCAGCACTTTGGGAGGGCGAGGCAGGAAGATTTGAGCCCAGGAGTTTGCGACCAGCCGTGGCAACATAGTGAGACCCTGTCTCTACAAAAATAAAAATAAAATAATAAAAACCTAGCTGGGTGTGCTGATACATGCCCGTGGTCCCAGCTACTCCAGAGGCTGAGATGGGAAGATCGCTTGAGCCTGGGAGGTTGAGTTTGCAGTGAGCTGTGACAGCGCCACTGCACTCCAACCTGGGCGACAGAGCAAGACTGTCTAAAAATAAGGGGGGGAAGGGGGATGTTTGAAATGCTCATTCCCCATTGCTGTAAAGAAACAGCACTTCAACATAAATTTAATTTCCTCAGCAAGGCCATTTTTATACTTTCTGCAGAAAAGGTACACTCGCCAGCAGTTTTGCCAGGAGAGTACACCCAACAAAGGAGACAGGGTCATTTATAACCCGAAGCGTCCACCCTACTGTTGTGTCCGGTTTCCACTTGCTAGAACGGGACCTCACATTCTGTATTTGTCCCGATTGGCTAGCAACTTAGAACTTTTTAAAAGAGGCAAAGGCAGAGAACAAAGGAAGGAGGAAGTAACTTGTGGAATGCTGAGAAAGATAAAAACACCTTCAAATAAGGAAGAGGAACAGGCTATGACCTAATGCTTGCTTGGACCAGTATAAGCATGCCAGGGCAAATATTTAGGCTAAATTGTGGGAGCTAAGAACATAAAGTACATTGATTTCTTCATTATGGCTAGCAGATATTTAAGAATGTTTGCAAGGGTCTTTGAATAAATTTTGCTTGTAAGAGAAGTTACTATTTATTCCTAATTAGATGGGGAGGAAAGTCTTTGAAGAGGAACCTCTACTTTTTACAGGGGCGAAAGGGATTCTCTAAAAATAAGTCTCATTTAGCAGAAAAAAGTTAATTCCCAGGTTCCATAAGAAAAACAGTTCTTAGAAGTTATATAGTTATATGCTTATTTACAAGCTTGCCAAAAAAAAAAAAACAGTAAAAATTTGCCTCCACTTCAATTAACAACAGGTATTTCAAATACAATTTTATTTTACAACACTGCAGAAAGAACACTTGGGAAAACCATTCTTAAGTGACATTCAGATCTCAGAACATCAAACGGTACATTTCTTTTTTCTAACTGCCTTTCTTAGTGCCTCAAAGTAAGGCATTAAAACACAGTGGTCAGAATGAGATTTTCTTTTCAAATAATACATTCAGAATTCCTATTTTCTTCAATGTTTTTGATGAAGTTACCACCTGGCCTAGTCTGTCCTAAATGAACAAAAATGTGCACTGAATAAAGCACACAGCTGGGCACGGTGGCTCACGCCTGTAATCCCAGCACTTTGGGAGGCTGAGGCAGGCGGATCATGAGGTCTGGAGATCGAGACCATCCTGGCCAATAAGGTGAAACCCCATCTCTATTAAAAACAGAAAAATTCGCCAGGCATGGTGGCTGCACCTGTAGTCCCAGCTACGCAGGAGGCTGAAACAGGAAAATCACTTGAACCCAGGAAGTGGAGGCTGCAGTGAGCCGAGATCGCGCCACTGCACTCCAGCCTGGGTAACAGAGCGAGACTCAGTGTCAAAAAAAAAAAAAAAAGGACACATACCATATGCAGTGGCTCACGCATGTAATCCCAACACTTTCCCAACACTTTCAGGAGGCAAAGGTGGAGGATCACTTGAGCCCAAGAGTTCAAGGCCAGCCTGAGCAACATAGTGAGACTTTGTCTCAAGAAAAACTTTAAAAATTAGCTTGGCGTGGTGGTATATGTCTGTAGTCCAAGCTAACCAGGAGCCTGAGATGGGAGGATCGCTCGAGGCCAGGAGCTCAAGGTTAAAACAGGGGGGTATGATTGCACTCCCTATGATTCCAGCCTGGGTAAGAGACCAAGACCATCTCTTCAAAAAAAAACACACAAAAAAGAAAGAGCGCACTGAAACTTCCAGAGGGCAGAAAACTTGCGCTGATACATCCCAAACGCCAAAACCAGTGCCCAGCCCACGCATTGCACTCAAAAAATTGTGTTCAAAGAAGATTGATGTCTGCCTCTACTACACTGTATTAACCCATGACTGTACACTAACCTATGAGCCTCTTGTGTCTTCATTTTTTAAATGAAGGTAACTTAAGAGAATACTTGTTACCCCAGGATTGAGTCTAAGTCTTCAAAGGTAAAAGGCAGAAATGAAAGATGTCATAATGTGAAAATGTTCATTAATGAGCTATTTTCTTGATCTCTGTCCATGAGATTTGATTACAGTAAACCTTAGGCAAAAAAATGCAAATGAAATGGAAACTCAGAAGTAAAATCACAAATTTGGCAAAGAAGCAGAACCTTATGAGATTGATCAAAGTGATAATAGATGTTAATTTTTTTAGGTTTTATAATAGTATTGGTATTGCTTTTTTTAAAAAATTCCTTTTCCTTTGAAGATATATACTGGAAACATTCATGAATAAATAATATACTTCAAAAACAATGGGGAAAGGGGATGATGAAAAGAACATAACTGGCCATGAGTTAATTAAGTGAAGATAGGTGATGAGGTTCATTATATTGTCTTTTGAATATTTGATATTTTTCATAATAAAAAATATGTAATGAAAAGAGTTTAAATATTAGAAAACTTCAAATCAGAAACACACATATGCTCATTGGCCAGTGATGTTCAGGAAGAAATAGCCAATTAACTAGTGAAAAGAAAACGACAAGCTGTTTTCAAGAAATTACTGAGAGATCTCTGGAAAACAGTAAGGGCCTCAAATATTTTTGAAAAAAAAGTATATGTGTGACATCATCATGAAAAATCAAATGTATGCATGTGTAGAGACAGAGGGTATACAGGAACTCTATACTTTCCATTCAATTTTGCTGTGAACCTAAAATTGCTCTCAGAAATAAAATTTTTGAAAAAATCAAATATGAAATATGTCTTATTGTGCTATTACATTATACAACTTTATCAAAGAAATTCATGTTCTCCAAAATCAGTTCCTTTTTTTTCCCCTTATGGAAAATCAACTTTCTCACTACAAAGAAATTTTGGTTCCCATTTTGAATGATCACTTAACAACAAAGTAAAACCTCTTCTATCACTCTCTCTAACTGGTTCTCACTGATGAGTTTGGTAACTTGTCAAGATTTCAAGATTCATTTACAAATAAAACCACTTGCATTTATTGTGTACTTCAATTTCAATACTCAAACATTAGATACTCTTAGGTGCCTCATACCAGACAATGCAGATTCAGCAGTTAGCATTTCCTTTCTTTCCCAACACGGGGATGATATGAATGTGGGTGCTCCTGTGGCCACTTATTACTTTCCACAAGAGAAGGTTTGTGTATTTGATAACTCATACCTTGACTACACCTAAGTTTCTGGTGGTTACATAATCTAATCAAATACATTATGTGGTTTCAACTGGGATAATCAATCCACGAAGGCTGCATAATATTTGTAATAATAAAACAACTGTACTTTCAATTCTAAAGGGTGCCACAGTTTTAATTAGCAATTAAAATGACTTCACATTATAATATAGTCACTTAATCATAAAACAATACAAAACATGTCACTGTAGCAAACAGGGAATCTAAATTTGCTTCATCTTACACCAAACCCACATACTTCACTAAAATCAAAATTCTGTTTAAACACACACACACACAGACACACACACACACACACGAATCATGGATGGGATAAGTTGTAGGAAACAGTAATCCATTCGCTTATTCTCCATCCTTTTCCCGCCCTTTCCTCCAGACCAGTTTACCAGTTTAAAAGGAACAAAGAACTAGAAAGGCCAAGTGATTTTTTTTTTTTTTTTTGTAAGACAAGAGTCTCCCTCTGTCGCCTAGCCTGGAGTGCAGTGGCGCCATCTCGGCTCACTGTAGCCTCTGCCTCCCAGGTTCAAGCGATTCTTCTGCCTCAGTCTATAGGCGAGTGCCACCATACCAGCCTAAATTTTGTATTTTTAGTAGAGACAGGGTTTCACCATGTTGGCCAAGGAACTCCTGACCTCAAGTAATCTCAGCCTCCCAAAGTGCAGGGATTACAGGCGTGAGCCGCCACACCCAGCGCATCCAAGTGATTTTTCCAGCAGTATGTTGTGGAGCCCTGAGGAGGTTTCAAGAGTTCTACTATCAAGGAAGTATTTTTTTTTTTAATGAGTGGGGTTTTAATTTGCCTGAGGAATCCAATTTCAAGTTTAAAATTTTGGTTGTGTGTTTTTTTGTTTTTTTTTTTTTGAGTCAGAGTCTCGCTCTGTCGCCCAGGCTGGAGTGCAATGGTGCAATCGCAGCTCACTGCAGCCAGCCTCTGCCTTCCGGGTTCAAGCAATTCTTCTGCCTCAGCCCCCCGAGTAGCTGGGACTACAGGCACCCGCCATCATGCCCGGCTAACTTTTTTTTGTATTTTCAGCAGAGACGGGGTTTCACCATGTTGGTGAGGCTGGTCTCGAACTCCTGACCTTGTGATCCACCTGCTTCAGCCTCCCAAAGTACTGGGATTACAGGCGTGAGCCGCCACGCCCAGCCAAAATTTGGTTTTTTAACACTCCACTACTGGCACTACATGGTGACTCACGCCTGTAATCCCAGCACCTTGGGAGGCCGAGATCTTGGGCGGATCATTTGGGGCCAGGAGTTTGAGACAGCCTGGGCAACATGGCAAAACCCCCTCTCTAATAAAAATACAAATATTGGTCAAGTGTGGTGGTACTCACCTGTAATCCCAGCTACTTGGAGGCAGAGACATGAGGGTTGCTTGAACCTGGGAGGCAGAGGCTGCAGTGAGCCGACATTGTGCCACTGCACTCCAGCCTGGATGACAGAGCGAGACTCTGTCTCAAAAAATATAAAAATAAAAAATAAAACACTCCACTACTTAATTTAAAGTTTGAAAAACCACTAATAATCTAAAATCTTGCCAGGATAATAATGTTAGGCAGGCCACGGTGGCTCACGCCCATAATCCGAACACTTTGGGAGGCCGGGGTGGCCAGATCATTTGAGATCAAGAGTTTGAGACTGGCCTGGCCAACATGGGGAAACCCTGTCTCTACTAAAAATACAAAAAAATTAGCCAGGCGTCGTGGCACATGCCTATAATCCCAGCTACTCTGTCTCCAAAAAAAAAAAAAGATAATAATGTTGGAGGCAAGGCCAGATACACCTCACGTACAGATAACCTGAGGTGTTCTAACGAGCACCCGCAGCCCCTCATGAAAGGTCCAGAAAGGCAAGAGGGCAAAATCAAGTTTTTTGGGGTTTTTTTCTTTGTTGTTGTTTTTAAGATGGAGTCTCGCTCTTTTGCCGAGGCTGGAGTGGCGCTTGGCTCACTGCAACCTCCACCTCCCAGATTCAAGCGATTCTCCTGCCTCAGCCTCCTGAGTAGCTGGGATTAAAGGCGTGCACCACCATGCCAGGCTAATTTTCTTAATTTTAGTAGAGATGGGGTTTCACCATGTTGGTCAGGCTGGTCTCGAACTCCTGACCTCGTGATCCGTCTGCCTCGGCCTCCCAAAGTGCTGGGATTACAGGCATAACAAAATCAAGTTTTAAGAATACCTTTCTTCAACTCCCTTCATTCTCTACATGGGCCATACAAGTTATCTACCAATATTTCACTCACAGTGTCCATGAGCTGTCTGCCATTGTCCAAAGACCATTAATTTGTTCCTACTTTCTCTAATTTGTTTCAACTTCTCTGATTTGTTTCTTCCCTTATTAAAAATTTCCCTTGTGATGTGTTACATCACACAACCTCTCTTGACCAGACAGTTCTAGTACTTTAAATTGTCTGTACAGGAAAGCCTCTATCACATGGCCAAGTATTTAAAAATATAGAAATAACCTTTCTTCAGAGATGTTAAACAGACCTGCAAGTTTCTAAATGGACTGAACTACTAAAAATGAAGAAAAAAGTCAAAAAGAAGGCTGGGGCGGTGGCTCAGCCTGTAATCCCGCACTTTGGGAGGCCGAGGCACACAGATCACCTGGGTTCGAGACCAGCCTTGCCAAAATGGTGAAACCCCGTCTCTACTAAAAATACAAAAATTAGCCAGGCGTGGCAGCGCACAACTGTAATCCCAGCTACTCAGGAGGCTGAGGCAGGAGAATCGTTTGAACCAGGGAGGTGGAGGTGGAGGTTGCAGTGAGCCACGATAGTGCCACTACACTATCTTGTGTCTGGGCAACAGAGTGAGATTGTCTCAAAAAAAAAAAAAAAAAAAAAAAAAAAAAAGTCAAAAAGAGGGACCAAATGTAAAGCCTGAGAACCTTCCAAACCAGAACTTGGTCCCAAACACACCTCTGATGTCCAGATTACGGGTGCACATTTCTGATCAGCAAGATAGTCCCACTAACTCTCAACTGCATTTACACTTTGGTCTTTAGGAATGTACTTGATCTATGCAACTGTTTCCAGTATTTTACAAATTATTCAAACAGTTCTTGTAGAAAGATACACACAATGACTGATGTGAAGCTTGACAGGATTAAAAAAATAAAACTGCAGAATACCAGAGTAGAAATGCTTCTCAAGAATTTAGTCCAGGCCGGGTGCGGTGGCTCACACATGTAATCCCAGCACCTTGGGAGGCCGAGGTGGGCAGATTGCTTGAGGTCAGGAGTTCAAGACCAGCCTGACCAACATGGTGAAACCCTGTCTCTACTAAAAATACAAAAAAAGTAGCCAGGCATGGTGGCACTCGCCTATAATCCTACCTACTTGGGAGGCTGAGGCAGGAGAATCGCTTGAACCCGAAAGGCAGGGATTGCAGTGGGCCAAGATCCTGCCACTGCACTCCAGCCTGGGCAACAAAGCAAGACTCCACCTCAAAAAAAAAAAAAAAAAGAATTATTTAGTCCAATCCCCTCATTTCACGCACAAGCATACTGAAACACATGATTAAGTAACTTTCCCACAGTCTCAGAGCTAGTGGGAGAAACTAGATTTTCTTTTCATTACCACTTTCTATTCTACAAAGTACTAAATATGATCACCACTCAGCTTTCGTCACACGTTTTGGCATTATTCAGATGTTCACTTATGCAACACAGAAGGCTTAAAAAACAACAAGCACAACTATGAACAGGTCACCTTAACATGACTTAGGAAAAAAACACACCCAAGATCACAACATGTCCCACCGCATTCAAAATGTCTCATAGTGCAATATCAAGAATCAGTTTCCAGCATCTAACCACTATTCCAAAATAAAATTCTACCCAGTAGCATTTCTTGCTGGTTATTTAGCTATAAATGGTTATGGGTTCATGGGTATTAAGCCATCAGCTATCTGCAATCCAGCCCTAAACACCAAACATTAGCTCCATTGTTATTTTTAGCCCTTTCTAGGTACAAACTTTTATCTAATAAGCCAAAACAATAACAAAACTCGGAGTGCTAATTTACCAAACTTGTTAACAATAAATACTTTAGAAAACAATGCTTAACTATGCCTTGGTAGATTCTAGGTTTATAAATCCAAAGCAGATATGCCTTCACACCATGGCATATTTATATAATGTACACTAAAAAAAGCTGTTTGCGTCCCCAAAAATGGTAGGTATTCTCTGGCAAGTCTAATCCAAGTGATTAAAATGGGGAATTACTGTAACAAAGTGACTATTTTTACTGTGCCTGAGCAACACAAAAACCTAGGAGTCTCACTTGAAAAAGCATTTGGATTTTAACTATTTATAAAATATTCTTTTTTGACTAAACGTGGTTCTCCCTGTTGCATTCCTGCTTCTGCCGCCCCTCACCTCCATTCTCCTAAGGATCCTAACACGAAAAACTTCATTATACTCTAGTCAAGGGGAGAGCTGTTAACCTTGACATTTTATGATCACTCTCTGAAGAGGGCAAATTACATGTTTTAGTTTTGCTTCTTTTTAATTAAAAAGGTCCCACCCACCCCTCAAGTGGAAATGAGAAATTTGTCAGAGGCCCCTTAATAATTGGCAGATGAGAATCATCCAGTGAATATACACAAAACTATTACAAAACCCTGAGTCATCACTCAGTTCAATCAGCAGCTTTGGGTAAACACTGAATGAGTGAGTTATGTCTTGTGTGTTCACCCGTCCATACCCACATGCGTGAACATACCATGTTACTAGATTTTATGTACAGTTAACCAAACAAGATACAGCAAAATTCTTTCTTAAAAAGCTCTTCGGACACAGTAAAGATGCCCATCCAGCAAGTAAATGTAACCTTTTTTCCCCCACTGTATTTTCACTCGTTTTTTTTTTTTTTTTCCTAATTTCAGTGACACTATAGTTTGAAGCTAGTTTACAAACAGAACTCCTGAAACTGATTTAGGTAATCTCTTAATCTGAGTAACTCAAAAAATTAACACAAGCCTGATACTAATATCGCCCTGGACATCCTGACAGTGCTCTTCCCTACTTTCCTCAGTATCTTAAATGTCTCTCCAAAAGAAATGTCACAACAGGAGCAACACACAATCCAAAACAACACTGTCCACATAAGACGTTAAGCTCAAGAATGAGGTCTGACTTTAAACGACCCTTTTCGATCAACTCCGCCAGGTCTGAGAGGGCCCCCAAAAAGCAAAACCCTTAAGTTTCCCTATGGTCTTCTCTCCATTCAGAAAGTTACTAGACGCCAACGGAGATGCGAAGAGGCGGGGATCGTAGGGGAAGGAAGAACCGGAGGAAGCAAGGAGACAAGTCAAGGAACTCCCCCAAAGACAAATTCTCTTTGCCCCGCCTCTCCCATGCGCAAAAGTCCACGGAGGACCCTTGAGAAAGGCTCACCTCTCTCCCTCGGGGCCGGGGCCCTTGGGCTACCCAGGGCCCCCCAGGTGGGAAGACAACAACCCGAACACTTCGGGAGAAGCAGATGCGGAGGACGTAGAGGGATGGTAAAGACCCGGGAAGTCCCGTAGGAAAGTGGCAGGGAGGACGGCTTGAGTACTTCACAGGCTCTGTCACGACCCTGGGATCACCGCTCGGGGACAGCTCCAGCGAGGACAGAGCTAAGGGTCCAGCCCTCTGGACAAAGAGCAACCATCCCCGACACCTCTCACTGAGCCTTTCCCCCCGGCCCGGCCCGCAGGCCCGGGCACACTTACGTGGAGAGTTTCCTGGTCCAGAAGAGGCCCCCGGGCCACAGCTCTTGGAGCTGCACGGCCCGGCCCAGGTTGCATTTGATCTGGGCCAGCTGCAAGTCGGACTCGGCGTCTAGCCGCTCCGCGTAGGGCAGCAGCTTGTTGTAGACGATCTCCTTCTGCGGGACGAAGCCCCGCGGGCCCGGCTCGGGACGCCCGCCCGGCTCCGGGGGCTCTCCGACTCCCGCCCGCTCGGCCGGCTCCATGAGCCCAGGGACACCCCCCCCACCCCCTCCCACCCGAACCCTCCCCGGCCCCCACCCCTCTCCGGGCTCCGCCTCCTCCGCGTCTTCGTCGCCCTGCGGCCGCTGGCGGCCCGTCGCCCTCGGACCGATCGCTAGGCCCCCTTCCCTGGCCGGCGTGCTGCTGGGCCCCACGCGGCTCTCAGTTCGTTGGCGGCGGCAGCGGCCGCTCTGCCCGCCCCGCACCGGCTCTGCTGGTGACGCTGCAGCCGCCGGGCCCAGAGGTTCCGGACCGGCCTCAAGTCACTTCCGGGGCGGGGCGGGGCGGAGCGACGGCGTCGGGGGAGGCGGTGGTGGCGGCAGCTGGAGCCCAACGGGCTGCGCCTTCTTCGCCGTGGGCCCGGCTCGGAGCCCCCACCCCAGGCCTCACCGGCCCAGCGCGAGGCTGCCTCACCGGAAACACGAGGCCGAATTCCAAGCTATTGTCCTGCTTCGCCGGGGGTCGCGCACTCCAAGCGGCAGCCCACTGGAGTCCCAGTCGCCACGACAGGCGGCAGCCAGGTCGGCCTGGTCCCCCTAGCCGAGCAGCCCCGGCTTCTGGGTTAGAGGGGTTTATGGAAAAGCCTACGTACCCACTTGCTCCTTATAGATTTATTTACTCCATCCCGCTTGTTCCTTATAGATTTAATTTTTCTGTCCCCTTTAAGTCCCCATCTTTCTGGTATTCTGGCCGCCATCATTCCAAAGAAGAAAATAGTTACTCGCTGAACAAATGCTATTTGAACAGCTGTTTTGTGTGTAAGGCGCTCAGTTTAGGCTATTGAGATAGAAAGTTTAACCTGGTTTCCGCCCTCCCAAGGACTTAGTCTAGCAGAGATAAAGACGTGAATTACAAGATAATGCTCTTAATTGCTAGATAAGTACAAGAATCCTTAGGAACTCTACAAAGAAGTTGAAACTAGGGGGTTTGAGAGGGTGTCATTTTCCTAGAAGTGATACTTAATTTAAGCTATGAAGGTTGAGTGCAAAGTTGGTTAGAAAAAGGAGGGAGGAGGACACGTATTTCAGCTGAGAGAACAGCTTTGACGCTGCAAGCATGTATTCTAAAAATTCAAAGTTCAAAATAGCGTAAGAGAGGGGACGGAGAAATGAGACTGAGAAGGCAATCCTAAGGAATTCAGAGCTTTATCCTAGAGACAAACTTCCAAAAGATTTTAAGCATAGCAGTGGGATGATATAATTTACATTTTTTAAGAATTACTCTGGCGGCCGGGCGCAGTGGCTCACGCCTGTAATCCCAGCACTTTGGGAGGCCGAGGCGGGCGGATCACGAGGTCAGGAGTTCGAGACCAGTCTGGCCAACATGGTGAAACCCCGTCTCTACTAAAAATACAAAAAAGTTAGCCGGGCGTGGTGGCGGACGCCTGTAATCCCAGCTACTCGGGAGGCTGAGGCAGGAGAATCGCTTGAAACCGGAAGGCGGAGGTTGCAGTGAGCCAAGATCGCGCCAGGGCACTCCAGCCTGGGCAACAAGAGCGAAACTCCGTCTCAAAAAATAAAAGGGCCAGGCGCGTGGTGGCTCACGCCTGTAATCCCAGCACTTTGGGAGGCCGAGGCGGGTGGATCACGGGGTCAGGAGATGGAGACCATCCTGGCTAACATGGTGAAACCCCGTCTCTACTAAAAATACAAAAAAATTAGCCGGGCATGGTGGCGGGCGCCTGTAGTCCCAGCTACTCGGGAGGCTGAGGCAGGAGAATGGCGTGAATCCGGGAGATGGAGCTTGCAGTGAGCCGAGATCGTGCCACAGCACTCCAGCCTGGGTGGCAGAGCGAGACTCCGTCTCAAAAAAAAAAAAGAGTCACTCTGGCTTCGTCTGGAAAATGGGTTGGAACTGACAAGATTGGGAACTGGAGGACCCTTTAAGGTGTGACATAATCATGGCCTGGATGTCAGTTGAAATTGAGAGCTACTTCAGCAGAATGGCTTGGGCTTAGTAGTTGACTGAAAGTGAAAAATTAAAAAGGAAAGAGACAAGACGACGCTGGGTAGATAGGTGAAGTCCTTCACTGAGATAAAGAACACAGCAGAAACAGCTTGGGAGGCAGAATGCCTATGGGATGGGTATGTTGACATATGTATCAGGAGGGTGATCTAAACTGAGATGCAGATTAGCGTGTAGATGGACGACAGGAGGGAAGGAAATATACAGTATGAAAAAATAGGGCCCTTCACAAATCTCTGAGGAGCCCCACATTTAAGGACAGACAGAGAAAAGGAAGGTAGGCCACAAAGAATATTCACAAAAAGCAGAGAGAGGAGGAGTTCTAGGAAACTGGGTGTCTCATGGAGAAGCGAACAATCCTACCTTAGGTAGCTAACAGGTCAAATGAAGTGAAACCTGAAAGGGTTTATTGGATAGTTTATTGATAAAGCGCATAAGAACAGTGTCGTTGGAGTGTAGAATAGAAATCTGATTATGGTGACAAAGGACAAATGGGAAGTGAATAAATAGAGGCAGCAAATATGGACAACCTTTTAAAAAATAATGGGGTAGGGAGAGCCGGAAAGAGATGAGTGTCAGGCCTCTGAGCCCAAGCTAAGCCATCATATCCCCAGTGACCTGCATGTATACATCCAGATGGCCTGAAGCAACTGAAGATCCACAAAAAAAGTGAAAATAGCCTTAACTGATAACATTTCACCATTGTGATTTGTTTCTGCCCCACCCTAACAGATGAATGTACTTTGTAATCTCCCCCACCCTTAGGAAGTTTCTTTATAATCTCCCCAACCCTTAAGAAGGTTCTTTGTATTTCTCCCCACCCTTGAGAATGTACTTTGTGAGATCCACCCCCTGCCCCCAAAACATTGCACTTAACTCCACCACCTATTCCAAAACCTATAAGAACTAATGGTAATCCCAACACCCTTTGCTGACTCCTTTTTCAGACTCAGCCTGCCTGCACCCAGGTGAAATAAACAGCCATGTTGCTCACACAAAGCCTGTTTGGTGGTCTCTTCCCACGGACGCGCGAGACAATGAGGAGGTACTTGGAATAAAAGGAGGGATTTTTGAATGTGGGATATATATATGTGTGTGTGTGTGTGTGTGTGTGTGTGTGTGTGTGTGTGTGTGTGTATATATTTTTTTTTTTTTTTTTTTTTTTGAGTCTCACTCTGTAGCCCAGTCTGGAGTGCAATGGATCCATCTCGGCTCACTGCAATCTCCGCCTCCGGGGTTCAAGTGATTCTTCTGCCTCAGCGCCTCGAGTAGCTGGGACCACAGGTGCGCACCACCACATCCAGATAATTTTTTTTTTTTCGGTATTTTTAGTAGAGACAGGCTTTCACCATATTGGCCAGGCTGGTCTCGAACTCCTGACCTCGTGATCCGCCCGCCTTGGACTCCCAAAGTGTTGGGATTACAGGCTTGAGCCACTGAGCCCGGCCATATTTAGATATATTTAAATATGGATGAAAAGGAGCCAGTGGAGAGAGAAGTTAAAGATATTGGGTGAGGACGACAAAGAGCGGAAGAGAATGTGGAGTCATTGACCTTTAGAAGCAAATCAAACTGTGCTTCCATTGTCAGAGGAGGAAAGCAGGGAAGGAAGCATAGGTGCAGATGCTGGAATGTTTGGTACTGGAAGTTGGAGAAGTTCTTTCTATAGTTTCTATTTTTTCCTATGAAACAAGACAATGAGAATTATAGGGAAGTGGTAGGTAGATTTGAGGAAATTGAAGAAGCCTTAGAGTAGTCTCAGAATTCAGAAAATTGATTTAAAAAGTTAGAATTGTTTGGCAGGTAAGGCTGGAAGCTTGAATTTACTATTATCTATCTGCACAATTTAATGATTTTTTCCCTAATACTGTTTAGTGGCCCAGGATTGTGTGACATACAGTATATACTAGTGACATACTAGTATAATAGAATGACAAAAGATCAAGATAATGTTTTTTATGTTGCCAGTAGTGATGGTAGTGTTAGCTATCATTCATTGAGCATTTCTGTCTGCCAGTGCTTTACCTACATTATCTCACTGAATTCTCTAGAGATAATTGAGTTGAGAATATTTGAAAGAGAGTGGTTAAAGTCTAAGTTTGGTTGACGTGTAAGTGAAGAGAGTAGAGAGCTAATAGGGAAGGAGAAGAGAGATGTCAAGACACTTACATGCTGATGAGCTATAAGGGAAAGATGAAAGGATTCGCCTGAGCAAGGGATCTAGAAGAATAGAAATGTTTGGATTTAAGATTTCGAAGAGACCAGCCTGGCCAATATGGTGACACCCCGTCTCTACTAAAAATACAAAAATTAGCCTGGCATGGTGGCGTGCGCCTGTAGTCCCAGCAACTCAGGAGGCTGAGGCAGAAGAATTGCTTGAACCCGGGAGGCAGAGGTTGCAGTGAGCTGAGATCACACCACTGCATTCCAACCTGGCGACAGAGCGAGACTCTGTCTCAAAAAAAAAAAAAAAAATTCAGAGAAGCAGTTCCAGATGACAATGAGCTCCCTAGAAACAAACATCTGAACTGGAAAAGTTGAAGAATTTACGGGAGCAAGCAAAATAAGGTCTCTTCCTCTTATTCTAAATAAAGTTTCATGGAGAACACTATTGAAATGCTTCCCAGTGAGAAAGTTAGAAGACCTTTCTTTCGGGGAGCTGGTCTGCTCATTAGTGGAGACAGTAACCCAAAGTCTGGGGTGGATTTTCTCTTCTCAGTCCAACTTGTTATCTCTTGAAGGTCAGGAGACACTGCCAAAGGATAACAGCACGTTATCCTTTTGAGGCTGGGCTGGGTGGCTCACGCCTGCAATCCCAGCACTTTGGAGAGACAAGGCAGGCGGATCACAAGGTCAGGAGATCAAGAGCATCCTGGCTACCACACTGAAACCCCGTCTCTACTAAAAATACAAAAAATTAGCTGGGTGTGGTGGCATGCACCTGTAGTCCCAGCTACTTGGGAGGCTGAGGCAGGAGAATCGCTTAAACCCGGGAGGCAGAGGTTGCAGTGAGCCAAGATCGCGCCACTGCACTCCAGCCTGGGTGACAGAGCGAGACTCTCAAACAAACAAACAAAAAAAACAGGATGTTATCCTTTTAACCAGACCTGGAGGGAGACACTGACTTCTTATCAGACCCTCAAGGAAACAGACTATAATCACTCTTCTTGCAAGACCCAGAAAATGCAGTGGCCCTTCAAAGAAAATATTCTAAAGAGAGAGGTTCCTTCTCCAGCTGGAGGGATTAGCAGAGACAATTTTCAATCAAATATTTATGTCTTTGATGTGCTTATTGGAACACTAATTAATCACTTATTAGCAGTGAACAAAAAATGACAGGTTATTAGTGTCACATCTTGCCCATCTTAGTTTTCTCTGTATATATGATATACTTGGGGCTAGAGATATATTGGCAAGTGAATGAATCTCTGTTGCCAGAAACATAATCTTTTTTTTCTTTTTTAGTCAGGGTTTCACTCTCTTACAGGCTGGAGTACAATGGCACAATCACAGCTCACTGCAGCCTCCACCTCCTGGGCTCAAGTGATTCTCCCACTTTGGCCTCCCAAGTAGCTGGGACTACAGGTGCATGCTACCATGTCCGGCTAATTTTTAATTTCTTGTAGAGATAGAGTCTCAATGTGTTGCCCGGGCAGGTCTTGAACTCCTGGACTCAAGCAATCTGCCCGCCTCAGCCTCCCAAAGTGCTGGGATTACAGGGGTTAGCCACCACACCTGGCCAGAAACGTAATCTTTAGAAGTATTTGAATTAGAATGATTCATTGCAATGTAATTAAATATCCAGACTTCTGCTGAATTGCAGTTATTAGAGGAACAAGAATATTAGATCTGGTCTGAAGATTTGGGAGGAAAAAAAGAATATTAGATCTGAGAAATGTTGAGTTTTTTCTAGTTCCTGTAGGATTTTTAAGTTTTGAATTTTTCCTTCAAAAATCATTTTCATCCAGCCATTGTATCTACTTCACTTCATTTGAACTAGAGTATATGTGGAGTTCAGTTTCTCATAAGGAAAATCACAGCTAAAGGAATGAATTTTTCTCTCATTATTTTAGGCATTTGTTAGGCATTCTGTCATTTCACTAAAATGTAGCCAGATGTGGGCTTCTTTTTGTTTATTTTTGGGGGGATTTGTATTTCTTGAATCAAAAGATTCATCTTCATCAATTATGCAAAATTTTCACTATTTTTTTGTAATTTCTTTGTACTCCTTGTAGAATTCCTATTAGACATTTGTTTTACCTTCTCATTCTAATATCCATATTTCTTTTCTTTTCTTTTTCAGATGGAGTCCTGCTCTGTTGCCCAGGCTGGTGTGCAGTGGCATGATCTGGGCTCACTGCAACCTCCACCTTCTGGGTTCAAGCAATTCTTCTGCCTCAGTTTCCCGAGTAGCTGGGACTACAGGCACCCGCCATCACGCCCAGCTAATTTTTTATATTTTTAGTAGAGACGGGGTTTCACATTTAGCCAGGATGGTCTCCATCTCCTGACCTCATGATCCGCCTGCCTCAGCCTCCCAAAGCGCTGGAATTACAGGCGTGAGCCGCCGCGCCTGGCCAGGCCTGGGAATTTAACCTGTGGAGAGTTCTGTTTTTATGCAGTATTTTACTTCCAACTCCCTTAGGTCTCAGCCTTCAACTTCTATCCCTGGGTAGATATTAAAACCCAAGTCACTGCCAGGCTCACACCTGTAATCCCAGCACTTTGGGAGGCTGAGGTGGGCAGATCACGAGGTCAAGAGTTTGAGACCAGCCTGACCAACATGGTGAAACCCCATGTCTACTAAAAATACAAAAAAATTAGCTGGGTGTGGTGGCATGCGCCTGTAATCCCAGCTACTCAGGAGGCTGCGGCAGGAGAATCGCTTGAACCTGGGAGAGGGAGGTTGCAGTGAGCTGAGATTGTGCCACTGCACTCCAGCCTGGGTGGCAGAGCAAGACTCCATCTCAAAAAAAAAAAAAAAAAGCCCAAGTCACTTGCTGTTTCTGGATCCAGTAACGCTGCCTCAAATTTGATTCAGTCACCTCACATACTTAACATTCTGGCTTTCCTTTCCTCTGTTTCTGGCATCTGGAGATTTCCTTTTTTTGTGTGTGAGCTCATTTATGGTTATCTGTTGTTATGTTTAATACAACCATTCCTGGCTGAGGCTGCCACATCTAGAGCTGGAAAACCATTAAGAAATAAACTTCTGGCTGGGCATGGTGGCTCACGCCTGTAATCCCAGCACTTTGGGAGGCTGAGGCAGGTGGATCACTTGAGGTCAGGAGTTCGAGATCAGCCTGGCCAACGTGAAGAAACCCCATCTCTACTAAAAATACAAAAATGAGCCGGGCATGGTGGCACACACCTGTAATCCCAACTATTTTGGAGGCTGAGACAGGAGAATTGCTTGAACTCAGGAGGCAGAGATTGCAGTGAGCTGAGATCGTGCCACTGCACTCCAGCCTGGGTGACAGAGTGAGACTCCATCTCAAAAAAAAAAAAAAAAAGAACTTCTAATTCTAAAATATTATAGAAATTATTGGGAGCAAAATGGAGTGACTGTGGATGATTAAGAGCTTTCTTAGAGTCCTCATCAAATCATGCAGGTGATTAATGATACCTGTCCACCAAGTTATATAGTCATGTACAGCATAATGATGTTTTGGTCAAGTAAGGACCACATAGACAGTGGTCCCACAAGATTATAATGGAGCTGAAAAGTTCCTATAACCGAGTGTGGGTAGCCTAGCACAAGGCAGTACTCACATGTTTGTGGTGATGCTGATGTGAACGAACCTACTACACTTCCAGTTTGTATAAGAGTATAGCACAGGCTGGGGGTAGTGGCTCACACCTGTAATTCCAGCACTTTGAGAGACCGAGGTGGGCAGATGGCTTGAGCTCAGGAGTTCACAACCAGCCTGGACAACATGACAAAACTCAAATATTCAAAAATATATATTTGCAACATGGCAAAACCTTCTACCAAAAATACAAAAACATTAGCCAGGTATGGTGGCACATTCCTGTGGTCCCAGCTACTCAGGAGTCTGAGGTGGGAGGATGGCCTAAGCCTGGGAGGCAGAGGTTGCACTGAGCTGAGATCGTGCCACTGCACTCCAGCCTGGATGACAGAGTAAGACCTCATCTCAAACTTAAAAAAAAGAGTATAGCATATACACTCATACAGCACGTGATACCTGATAATAATAAACGACTGTTACTAGTTTATGTATTTGCTATACTATACCTTGTATTGTTATTTTAAATTGTACTCCTTCTACTTATTAAAAAAAAAAAGGTAACTGTAAAACAGCCTCAGGCAGGTCCTTCAGTAGGGATTCGAGAAGGCATTATTATTATAGAAGATGAAAGCTCCATGCGTGTTATTGCCCTTGAAGACCTTCCAGTGCAACAAGATGTGGGGGTAGAACAGAGTGATATTAATGATCCTGACCCTGTGTAGGCCTAGGCTAATGTGTGTGTTTGTGTCTTCATTTTTAACAAAAAATACTTAAAAAGAAAAAATATATAAAAGTTTTAAAATAGAAAAGCACATAAAAAATTAGGATACAAGCTGGGTCTGGTGGCTCACGCTTGTAATCCCAGCACTTTGGGAGGCCGAGGAGGGCAGATCAAGAGATCAAGAAATTGAGACCATCCTAGCCAACATGATGAAATCCCATCTCTACTAAAAATAAAAAAATTAGCCAGGCATGGGGGTATGCACCTGTAGTCCCAGCTACTGTGGAGGCTGAGGCAGGAGAATCACTTGAACTCGGGAGGTGGAGGTTGCAGTGAGCCGAGATTGTGCCACTGCACTCCAGCCTGGCAACAGAGTGAGACTCTGTCTCAAAAATAAAAAAAAAAATTAAAAAAAAAGGATATGAAAATATTTCTGTACAGCAGTACAATGTGTGTGTGTTTTTTTGTTTTTGTTTTTGTTTTTAGATGGAGTCTCACTCTGTGGCTCAGGCTAGAGTGCAGTGGCGTGATCTTGGCTCCCTGCTACCTCCACCTCAAGGGATCCTCCCACCTCAGCCTCCCTAGTAGCTGGGATTAGAGGCTTGTGCCACCCTGCCTGGCTGTTTTGTATTTTTAGTAGAGACAAGGTTTCACCATGTTGGCCAGGCTGGTCTGGAGCTTCTGACCTCAAGTGATCCACCCGCCTTGGCCTCCCAAAGTGCTGGGATTATAGGCGTGAGCCACCACACCTGGCCGAATGTGTTTGTTTTTTTAAGCTAAGTATTATTACAAAAGAGTCAAAAAGTTAAAATTTAAAAGTTCATAGCTGGGCACCATGGCTCACATCTCTAATCCCAGCAGTTTGTGAGGCCAAGGCAGGAGGATCACTTGAGCCCAGGAATTCAAGACCAGCTATGTTACCAAGAGGCAACATAGCAAGACTCCATCTCTACAAAAAATTTAAAAATTAGCCAGGCGTTATGGAATGTGCCTGTAGTCCCAGCTACCTGGGAGGCTGAAGTGGGAGGACTGCTTAAACCTGGGAGGTGGAAGCTGTAGTGAGCCAGGATCTCACCACTGTGTTCCAGCCTGGGAGATAGAGTGAGACCCTGTCTCAAAAAAAAAATTTTTTTTTTTTATAAAAAGAAAAAGTTACAGTAAGCTAAATTTAATTTATTATTGAAGAAAGAAAATATTGAGTCCAGGAGCTGTGGTTCACACCTGTAATCCCAGCACTGTGGGAGGCCAAGGCAAGAGGATTGCTTGAGCTAGGAGTTCAAGATCAGGCTGGGCAACGTGGTGAGACCTCATCTCTATAAAAAATAAAAAAATAAAGAAAATACCATTTATAAATTTAGTGTAGCCTAAGCATACAGTGTTTATAAAGTCTACAGTGGTGTATAGTGACATCCTAGGCCTTCACATTCACCCACCACATACTCAGTCACTGACATAACCTAGAGCAAGTTCTAGTCCTACAGACTCCATTCATGGTAAGCGCCCTGTATAGGTGTACTTTTTTTTTTTTCTTTTTAGATAGGCTTTCACTCTGTTGCCCAGGTTGGAGTGCAATGGTGCAATCACAGCTCACTGCAGGGTTAACCTCCCTAGGCTCAGGTGATCCTCCCACCTCAGCCTCCCGAGTAGCTGTGACTACAGGTGTGTGCCACCATGTCCTGCTAATTTTCTATTTTTTGTAGAAATGGGGTTTTGCCGTGTTGCCCAACGTGGTCTCGAACTCCTGGGCTCATACCATTCACCCACCTCCACCTCATAAAATGCTTGGATTACAGGTGTGAGCCACCACACCGGAACAGATGTACCATTTTTTATCTTTTATACTGTATTTTTACTGCACCTCTTCTATGTTTAGATACACAACTACTTACCATTGTGTTACAATTGCCTGTAGTATTCAGTACGGACATGCTGTACAGATTTGTTGCCTAGAAGTGTTACACAGCCTAGAAGTGTTACCAGTGGAGGGTGTCCAGGTTTTTGGAATTTGAACAATGATTTGGACAAAGCACACAAAGCAAGGAAAGAATGAAGCAACAAAAGCAGAGATTTATTGAAAATGAAAGTACACTCCACAGGGTGGGAGTGGGCTGAGCATAGGGGCTCAATAATTTTCCTATTACAGAATTTTCTGGTTTCCCATTGTCCACTTGGTGTACCCCCTATGTAAGTGAAGTAGTGGCCCACAATCAGTCTGATTGGTTGTGGAAAGCAACCAATCAGAGGCTGAAGTGAAGTTACAAAGTTAAACTCCTAAGCAAAAGAAGACTTGGCTTGCAATCAGTCTGACTGGTTGCGGAAAGAAACCAGTCAGAGATACTTTCAATTTTCCATTTGCCACGCATAAAAAGGGGAGGGGGGTTGCAAAGGGAGTGGCCTCTGGTCCTTTTGTTACTTAGTTTTGGAAAGTTGGGGTTTTCCTTTAGATTTAGTTCTAGGAAGTCAGTGTGAATCAGCCTTAGGTTACCTGCCACCAGACCCTATTCTCCTGCCTCAGAAACAATAGGCTACACCATATAGCCAAGGTGTATAATAGGACACATAATCCAGGTTTGTGTAAGTACACTCTGATGTTTGTACAATGATGAAATCGCCTAACAATACATTTCTCAAACATATCTCCGTCATTAAGTGATGTATTTATTTAATGATAAAAAATTTATTAAAACGTTTATTTGATATTTAAATACTAAAAGAATTTTTCAGCACCACCAAAGCTTTTCGTGTTTCTTCTTTTTGTCAAGCTATGAATAATGTAGGAGGTGACAGCTTCCCTCATAATCAAATATAGTAAAGAGATGTATTTTTTAATGGTAATTGAAAAGATTCACAATAGAGTCAGTGAAGAGATAATAACTAATGCACAAAGAGGACGTACACTCTTTCCACCTACCCCCCAGTTTTTATATGTATAAATAGGACAGGCTTTGCTCACAGGCAGACAATGGGATTATCTGCATGCATAATTTGAATAGCCAGCAAGACATTCACACTTGATCACATCTGATATTTGAAATGCTACTATTTCCAATCTATTTCTTTGTACTAAGCAGAATACCTTTTGAAATTTACAGACACATAAAAGGTATAATATATCAAATCCCTAGTTCTCCAGTGTGTATTATATATTCATTAATTCAGTAAACATTTATTTATGTCCCCAGAGTGCCAAGTCAGAGATCGTTAGATGAATGACACAGTACCTGTCCTCAAGCAGTTCACTTTCTAGTAGACTGACAGATATGAAAACAGACAAAACTATAACCAAATGTCAGCTGGGGTTTACCTATATCTTAAGATCTCTAGATAAAACTAATTCAAACTCCCTTCCACCCACTGCCTAGAATTCAATCGCTCATCCAATAAGTTTTATCAATTTTGAAAGGTGCGACTTATATTTTTATGGTCACTCTCATCTCTAACCTTTGACTCTTGCTAAACTACCCCTGTTGAGTGATTGTCTTAGCATGAGACTTCTGTTGTCCCAGTTTGGCACTGCTTCGACTCAAATGTTAAGCCTGGCTGTTTTCCTTGATTTTCACAACTTCCATACAACAAATCCTTCACACAAGACTGTGTGTGTGTGTGTGTGTGTGTGTGTGTGTGTGTGTGTGTGTGTGATATAAATAGGTTCAGGGAGAACCAGGGATTTATATGCTGGAAATGTGAACAACCTATAAGTTAGCATGAAATATTCCTTTTCGTAAAGATCCATTTCTGCATGGGTCCTATTATCATGGAGCTCACTGGTTAGAGAGGGGCAGCCAGACAGTAAACAACTCACTTCACAGGTACTTAGTTATAATTTTATTAGATGCTTTAATAGGATAAATGTTGTTCTGGTTATGTAGAACAGGGGTACCTGGACTAGGATGCAAGGCCTAGACCAAATTCTTTGAGGAAGCAACATTTGATGAATGAAGACTTGTGGAGAAGGATGATTAGAAATGATTCAGCTAAGAAAATAGGCCAGGCACAGTGTGGCTCACGTCTGTAATCCCAGCACTTTGGTAGACCAAGGTAGGAGGATCACTTGAGTCCAGGAGTTCAAGACCAACCTGGACAACATGACGAAACCCCATCTCTACAAAATATACAAAAATTAGCTGGGTGTGGTGGCATGTGCCTGTAGTCCGAGCTACTTGGGAGGCTGAGGTGGAAGAATCACTTGAACCCAGGAGATTGAGGCTGCAGCGAGATGTGATTGCACCACTGCCCTCCAGCCTAGGCAACAGAGCAAGACCCTGTCTCAAAAAAGAAAAGAAAACAGTACGAATGGAAGCTTGAGGTAGAGGAAGAATTTGGCTTGTATGAGAAATTTAAAAAACACCCATATGCTTAGGGAGCGAGATTAAGAATAGTATATACGGCTGAAGCAGAGTTAGATCACGTAGTACCTTGTAAATTGGGTTAAGAATTTTGGATTTTTTCCGAAAAGCTGCTTCAGATATATCAATACAGTGCTATGGGTAGTAACCAAATACTTGGAGGAAGTTGAAGGGGTGACAGCTGGCTCATCAAGTCTTGCAAGCAAGTTAATAAGCATATCCCCAGCAGAAGCATCGGTTTGTAGAAAGACCAAGAGTTTTCAATGGGCCCAGTTAGGCCAGGAAACAATGAGTACAATGTGATAGGAACACAGAAAATGTATATCATGGCAAGAAAAGAGACAAGAAGGTAAACTGAGGCCAGATTACAAGCAGTCATGGATGCCTTCCTAAGGTGCTGGATGCTGGGGGTTTATCCTGTAAGCATTGAGGTAGGGGCATGACACAAGGAGGCTTGTGGTTTAGAAAGATGACTCTGGGCATTTTCATCATCATCACCATCATCATCATCATAACAAAGGTACCCAGCACATTGAAGAGGCAACCAGTGGTGGACAGTGAGGTGCTTTAGAGGTAAATGATGAAGGCTAATAAATGCCTTAGTAGCTAGCAATTAGGAACAAGAGCTAATTTAAACTTCACACCAAAACTAGGTGAGGAAATTATAGCCCAGTCCCACCTGAACATAGATGGAGAAACTCAACAAAAATTCTGGCCAGGCGAGGCAGCTTATGTCTGTAATCCCAGCACTTTGGGAGGCCGAGGCAGGTGCATCACCTGAGGTCAGAAGTTTGAGACTAGCCTGGCCAGCATGGTGAAACTCCATCTCTACTCAAAATACAAAATTAGCTGGGTGTGGTGGTGCATGCCTGTAATCCCAGATAATTGGGAGGCTGAGGCAGGATAATCTCTTGAACCGGGGGGGTGGGGGTTGCAGCGAGCCGAGATCGCACCACTGTACTCCAGCCTGGGCAACAAGAGCAAAACTTAAAAAGAAATTCAAGTGAATTGAATCCAGAAAAGTGTGTGTATGCATATATTATATATTATATATATAGCATATATATAAAATATATGTAGTATGTATATAAAATACATTGGGACCAAGCAAGGTTTATTGCAGGTACACAGGGCTAGTTCAATGTCAGAAAATCTACCAATAAAATTCACCACCTTCATGCAAGACAAACCAAAACAAAACAAAACAAAACCCAACATCTTAACAAATGTTGTAGGATGAATGCAGAAAAAGCATTTATTAGTCCATGATAACAATTTTTATCAAATAAGAAAATAAAAGTGAACTTCTTAAAACCTGTTAAAATGTTTATCAAGCTCTGTACCTAACAATGAAACTTTGGAAGCCAACACATTAAACTCAAGAACAAAACAAGGATGTTAATTTTATGAATAGATTGGTCCAGGTTACACAGCATTAATAAACAATCCCAAAATCTCAGTGGCTTAGGATTTAGCATTTTTTCTTTCTTTTTTTTTTTTTTTTTGAGATGGAGTCTCGCTCTGTTGCCCAGGCTGGAGCACAGTGGCGCAATTTCCGCTCACTGCAAGCTCTGCCTCCCTGGTTCCCACCATTCTCCTGCCTCAGCCTCCCGAGTAGCTGGAACTACAGGCGCCTGCCGCCACGCCCAGTTAACTTTTTGTATTTTTAATAGAGACAGGGTTTCACATTTAGGCAGGATGGTCTCGATCTTCTGACCTTGTGATCCGCCTGCCTCAGCCTCCCAAAGTGCTGGGATTACAGGTGTGAGCCGCTGCACCTGGCCAGGATTTAGCATTTTTTTCATACTATATTCCATCTCAGGTCAAAAGGGGATCCTGCTTCATGTTCTCACTTCAGGACCCAGGCTGATGGCTATCTGGAAAATACCCAACAGAAATGTGTGTACGTATATACATATATGTTCTCCAAAAGATATCTACTTAAATGTTCATAGCAGCACTACCCCAAAGAGTCTAAAATACAGAACTATCCAAATACCTATCAACATATCAACAGTATAATGGATAAACTGTGTTTATGTTTGCACAATGAAATACCACTGCTTTAGTTGGGATATTTGACCCTCCAAACCTCATGTTGCAATTTAATCCTCAGTGTTGGAGTTGGGGCCTGATGGAAGGTGTTTGGGTCATGGGGGAGGATCCCTCATGAATGGCTTGATGATCTTCCCATAATGATGAGTGAGTTCAGGCTCTATTTGTTCCCATGAGATTTCACCTGAAAGCGAGCTGTTTAAAATAGCCTGGTTGACCAGTGCTCAGTGGCTCATGCCTGTAATCCCAGCACTTCAGGAAGCCGAGGTGGGAGGAGTACTTGAGGTCAGGAATTTGAGACCAGCCTGGCCAACATGGTGAAACCCCATCTCTAGTAAAATACAAAAAATTAGCTGGGCATGGTGGCGTTCACCTGTAATCCCAGCTCCTCGCAAGGCTGAGGCAGGAGAATCCTGGAGGCAGAGGTTGCTGTGAGCCGAGATAATGCCACTGCACTCCAGTCTGAGCAACAGAGTGAGACTCCATCTCAAAAATAATAATAATAATAAAAATAAATAAATAAAATAAAATAGCCTGGCACCTTCCCTCTTTCTGTTGCCTCCTCTCTCACCATGTGCTCTCTGCATATGCTGTCTCTTCTTCCCCTTCCACCATGAGTGGAAACAGCCTGAAGCTCTCACCGGAAGCAGATTCCCGCACTATGCTTCCTGTACAGCCTGCAGAACCTTGAGCCAAGTAAACCTCTTTTTTTTTTTTTTGATGGAGTCTCACTCTGTTGCCAAGGCTGGAGTGCAGTGGCATGATCTCAGCTCACTGCAACTTCTGCCTCCTGGGTTCAAGCGATTCTCCTGCCTCAGTCTCCTGAGTAGCTGGGATTACAGACACACAGCACCACACTCAGCTAATTTGTGTATTTTTAGTAGAGATGGGATTTCACCATGTTGGCCAGGCTGGTCTGGAACTCCTGACCTCAAGTGATCCTCGGCCTCCCAAAGTGCTGGAATTACAGGCGTGAGCCACCAAACCCGGCCTTTTTTTTTTTTTTAGATGAAGTTTCACTCTGTTGCCCAGGATGGAGTGCAGTGGTGTGATCTTGGGTCACTGCAACCTCTGCCTCCTGGGTTCAAGTGATTCTCCTGCCTCAGCCTCCTGAGTAGCTGGGATCACAGATATGCACCACCATGCCCAGGTAATTTTTGTGTTTTTAGTGAGAGACCGGTTTCACCATCTTGGCCAGGCTGGTCTTGAACTCCTGACCTCAGGTGATCCACCTGCCTTGGCCTCCCAAAGTGCTAAGATTATAGGTGTGAGCCACCGCACCCGACCAAACCTCTTTTCTTTATAAATTATCCAGTCTCTGATATTCCTTTGTAACAACACAAATGGACTAGGACAACTACACAGTAATGAGAATGAAAAATGCACAAATACATGCAACAATATGGATGAATCTTGAAAACAGAATGTTGAAGCAAAATCAGACACACAAGAGCATGTTCTGTATGATTCCATTTCTGTGTTATAACAAGCAAAACTAATTTGTGATATGAGAGGTTCACAAAGTGGTCACACCTGAGGGTAGGGTACAGAATGGAAGAGGACATGAAAAGGCCTTCTGGAGTTCTGGTTATGTCCTGTTTCTCCATCTGGGAGATGGTTACATGAGGGTGGTTAGTATGTTAAAATTCATTGAGCTGTACATTTATGATACATATCTTTTTATAGATGTGGATTATGCTTTTATGTATGTATACAAAGTTAAAAAAAAAAAAAAAGGAAGCAGTTCCAGACTTCTTTACAAAGTGTAGGCTCCTAATTCCCATTTAGCAAAGAGAACAAAGTAGTTCATCTACAGGTTTTTGTGTAAACAGAAGTTTTAGTTTCTCTTGGATAAATGCCCAGGGGTGCAATTTCTGGGTCAAATGGTAGTTGTGTGTTTCATTTTGTAAAGAAAAAACTGTCAAACAGTTTTCTAGAGTGGCTGTATCATTTTACATTCTCATCAGCATTGTAAGAGCAATCCGGTTTCTCTGCCAATACCTGATGTTGTCACTGCTTTTTATTTTAGCCTTTCTGATAAGCATGCCATGATCTCATTGTGGATTTAATTTGCATTCTTCTAATGAGTAATGATGTTGAACAGGAACATGCTTTTATGTGCTTATTTACCATTTTTATATCCTCTTTGGTGAAATATCTGCTCATGTTTTTTGCATGTTTTCTAATTGGATTGCTTGTGGGTTTTTTTGTTTGTTTTTTGGTTTTTGGATTGCTTGGTTTTTAACTGTTGAGTTTTGGGAGTTCTTTATATAGTCCAGATACTACTCTTTTGTCAGATATGTGGTTTGCAAATATTTTATTTCTGTAGTTTGTCTCTTAAAGGGATCTTTTACAGAGCAAAAGTTTTTAATATTGATGAGGTCCAGTTTATCAGTTTTTCCTTTAACGTGTCAAACTTTTATTTAGTGTGAGATCTAAGAACTAGGTTGGGCATGGTGTTGCGCACCTGTAATCCCAGTGACTCGAGAGGCTGAGGCAGGAGGATTACTTGAGTCCAGGAGTTCAAGACCAGCCTGTGCAACATATCAAGACTTCATGTCATATTAAAAGAATAATAATAATAATAATCAAAAACACTTTGCCTAGTCCTAGATTCCAAAGTTCTTTTTCTAAAAGTTTTATAGTTTTCTGTTTTACATTTAAGTCCATGATTCATCATTAGTTAGTTTTTATATGTGGCATGACATTTAGGTCAAGGTTTATGTTTTGCCTATGAATGTCCCAAGTAATTCACTTTTATTTTTTATTTATTATTATTTTTAGACAGGGTCTTGCTCTGTCACCCAGGCTGGAGTGCAGTGGCACGATCTCAGCTTATTGCAACCTCCACCTCCCAGGTTCAAGTGATCCTCTTGCCTCAGCCTCCCGAGAAGCTGGGACCACAGGCATGTGCCACCATGCCTGGCTATATATATGTATATGTATATAAATATATATGTGTGTATTTTGTAGAGACAGGGTTTTGCCATGTTGCCCAGGCTGGCATTGAGCTCCTGGGCTCAAGCAATCTGCCTGTCTCAGCCTCCCATGGTGCTGGGATTACAGGTGTAAGCCACCATGCCTGGCCCATAATTCAATTTTTGTTTTGTTTTGTTTTGTTTTTTTGAGACAGAGTCTCACTCTGTCACCTGGGCTGGAGTGCAGTGGCATGATCTTGGGTCACTGCAACCTCTGCCTCCCGGGTTCATGCGATTTTCCCTGCCTTAGGCTCCTTAGCAGCTGGGATTACAGGTGCGCGCTACCATGCCCACCTATTTTTATTGCATTTTTAGTAGAGACGGGTTTTTGCCATGTTGGCCAGGCTGGTCTTCAACTCCTGACCTCAGGTGAACTTCTGCCTCGGCCTCCCAAAGTGCTGGGATTACAGGCGTGAGCCACCACGCCCGGCCTGTAATTCAGTTTTAAATAACACCATCTGAAGGCCACCAAGAGTCCAGTCCCAGTAGGAATATTCCAAACCCAGTCATTTCTTCTCATCGTTACTCTAACATGCAGTGGAAAGGCTATCAGGCCAGCATGTGCCTGCTGGCACCATCGACTATTGTGATCTACTGTGAGCCAATACTTAAATAAGAAGACATATCTTTCAATAACAAAAAGTCAGATTGGTAGACAATTCTTTTTTTTTTTTTTTTTTTTTTTCACAGACAAGGATTCCCAGGCTCAAGCAATCTTCCTGCCTCGGCCTTCCAAAGTGCTAGGATTATAGGCATGAGCCACCATGCCCTGCCTGACAAATCTTGAGTCAGATATTAGTAAAACAAAGAATATATTTGCCCAGTTCTTTTAGGGCATAGTCCTGCTAAAATGCACCTAATGTGTGTATTTAGGGTACTTATCATAATGGACATCTGTAATTGCTTTTGGCTGCCCAGCATCTGAACCCACTTGCTAGATTCGGGACATCTCCCATTATCTAGGTCTTGGTGGGAAGTAGGCTCTGACCTCTAACTTTAGAAGCCTAAGGGATGAGATTCACCCTCTACTAACTCCCCTGACAGCCTTGTGACCCAGATTTAGCCACTATGTACTTTGTGTCTTGAGTAAGCAATGCCAAGATGAAGGGATGATAAGTGATATTGGATCTGTGGTAGCTCTAGTATTAGCAGTTTGGCATTGAGGCTGTGTTTATTGTGAGTAGTGGCTGCCTACAGTGGCCATTATGTCAAATACTAGAGATGTCCTATGTTGGTGGTGGCAGCAGCATCTCCACCAGACTGTTCCTGCCACTCCTACTCCCTTGGTCCCAGCCAATTGTTTGAGAATGTTTTCATCATTTCTCATCACTTCTGTGAGTTACATAAACCCTTTTCTTTTCTTTTCTTTTTTTTTTTTTTTTGAGATGGAGTCTTGCTCTGTTGCCCAGGCTGAGTGCAATGGTGTGATCTCGGCTCACTGCAACCTCTACCTCCTGGGTTCAAGCAATTCTCCTGCCTCAGCCTCCGGAGTAGCTGGGTCTACAGGCATGCACCACTACACCTGGCTAATTTTTGTATTTTTAGTAGAGGCAAGGTTTCACCATGTTGGTCAGGCTGGTTTTGAACTCCTGACCTCAAGTGACTTACCCGCCTCGGCCTCTCAAAGTGTTGTGATTACAGGCATGAGCCACCACTCCTGGCATATAACACTTTTCAGTAAATTCATCTTCTATTTAATTTAGCCAGAGTTCACTTCTAACAAGCAAGATAGTTGATATATCAAGAATCCTAGCTGGGAGCTGTGGCTCATGCCTGTAATCCCACCACCTTGGGAGGCTGAGGCAGGTGGATCACCTGAGGTCAGGAATTTGAGACCAGCCTGGCCAACATGGTGAAACCCCAAATATACTAAATATACAAAAATTAGCTGGGCGTGGTGGCGGCCACCTGTAATCCCAGCTACTTGGGAGGCTGAGGCAGGAGAATCTGTTGAACCCGGGAGGTGCAGTTTGCAGCGAGCCGAGATGGCACCATTGCACTCCAGCCTGGGAGACAAGAGCAAAACTCCGTCTTACCAAAAAAAAAAAAAAAGAAAAAAAAAGAAAAAGAATCCTCACTTTCAGCAAATTAGCATAAAGCAGTGGTTGAGAGAGCTTCTACTGTCAGAGTTTCTGATTCAGTAGGTCTGCAGATGACCTAAGAATTTGCGTTTTTTTTTTGTTTTGTTTTTTGTTTTTTAAGGCAGAGTCTCGCTCTGTCGCCCAGGCTGGAGTGCGGTGGCGCGATCTCGGCTCACTGCCAGCTCCGCTTCCTGGGTTCACGCCATTCTCCTGCCTCAGCCTCCCGAGTAGCTGTGATTACAGGTGCCCGCCACCACGCCCGGCTAATTTTTTATATTTTCAGTAGAGACGGGGTTTCACTGTGTTAGCCAGGATAGTCTAGATCTCCTGACCTTGTGATCCGCCCGCCTGGGACTCCCAAAGTGCTGGGATTACAGGCGTGAGCCACCGTGCCCTGTCGAGAATTTGTGTTTCTAACAAGCTTCCAGGTGATGCTGCTGGTCAAGTGTTCAAAGGTATGCTGCTGGTCATCATCAGATGTTGTGATTTTATAATTTTCTCTCAAATGTTGCTGAGTAGCATTCTATGAACATACCATAGTTTGCTTATCCATTCATCTGTTAATGGACGTTTTGGTTGTTCCCAGTTTCTGGGTATTACAAATAAAGCTTCAATAAATATTCATGTATAAGTCATTGTATGGACATATAACTACTTTTCTCTTGGATACATACCTAGGCATAGAATGGCTGGTGTATGTGTAACTTTTTTTTCTTTTTTTTTTTTTGAGATGGAATTTCACTCTTTCGCCCAGGTTGGAGTGCAGTGGTGCGATCTTGGCTCACTGCAACCTCTGCCTCCTAGGTTCAAGTGATTCTCCTGCTTCAGCCTCCTGAGTAGCTGGGATTACAGGCATGCGCCACCACACCTGGATAATTTTGTATTTTTAGTAGAGACAGGGTTTCTCCATGTTGGTCAGGTTGGTGTCGAACTCCCGACCTCAGGTGATCCACCTGCCTCAGTCTCCCAAAGTGTTGGGGTTACAGGTGTGAGCCACTGTGCCTGGCCGTATTTCATCTCATATATTGATTTTACCTCATTCACCCTGCTCCAGGCACTCCGACCTTCTCTCAATTTTTTTTAAGTTTTTTATATTTATTTATTTTTATTTAGCGATGAGGGCTAAGTATGTTGTACAAGATGGAGTGTAGTGGCTATTCACAAGTGCGCTCATAGGGTACTGCAGACTCGAGCTCTTGGCCTAAAGCAATCCTCCTGCCAAGCCTCCCAAGTAGCTAAGACTACAGGCACATGACACCACACCCAGCTTCTTTCAATTTCTTGATCAAGCCAAGCTTTTTCACAATGTAAGAGCTCTTGCCCCTCTTTCCCTCCTTCCTTCCTCCCTCCTTCCCTCCCTCTTTCCTTCCTTTTTTCCCCTTCCTTCCTTCCTTCCTTCCTCCTTCCCTCCCTCCCTCTCTCCCTTTCTTCCTTCTTTCTTCCTTCCTTTCTTTCTTTCCTTCCTTCCTACTTTTTTTCTTCCTTCCTTCTTTCTCCTTCCTTCCTTCCTTTCTTCTTTCTCCTTCCTTCCTTCCTTCTTTTCACCAGTGTCATAGTAAGCACTTACTTTTAATTTTAACCTAGTGAGTGAACCAAGCACTTAAATTTACTCTAAGTGCAATGGAAACCTATAGACAAGTTTTTAATCAGGAAAATGATATAAATTGATTTAAACTTTCAAAAGATCTCTCCTGACTCTGAATGGACTATAGATTATAAGGGGATAAGAATGAAAGTACTGTGACTAATTAGGAGGCGTTTTCAGCAATTCAATGAGAGATGACAATGGCTTGTATCACGGTAGAAGTAGTGCCAACGGTGAGAAGTACTCAGAGATGAGAAATATTTTGGAGGTCGGGTGCGGTGGCTCACGCCTGTAATCCCAGCACTTTGGGAGGCTAAGGTGGGCAGATCACCTGAGGTCAGGAGTTTGAGAACAGCCTGGCCAACATGGTGAAACCCCGTCTCTACTAAAAATACAAAAATTAGCTGGGCATGGTGGTGTGCACCTGTAGTCCGAGCTACTTGGGAGGCTGTGGCAGGATAATCACTTCAAACCAGGAGGCTGAGGTTGCAGCGAGCTGAGACCACACCACTGTACTCCAGCCTAGGCGACATAGTGAAACTCCATCTCAAAAAAAAAAAAAAAAAGTTTTCCAGTGACGGGAAGCAAAAGAAGGAGAAGTAACTTAAAGAGAATACGCATCAGAAAAAAGGTTTTATGGCCAGCCATGGTGGCTCACTCACACCTGTAATCCCAGCACTTTGGGAGGTCAAGGCAGACGGATCACTTGAATCCAGGAGTTCGAGACCAGCCTGACCAACATGGTGAAACCCTGTTTCTACCCAAAATACAAAAATTAGCCAGGTGTGGTGGCACATGCTTATAGTCCCAGATACTTGGCAGGCTGAGGCACGAGAATCGCTTGAACCCAGGAGGCAGAGGTTGCGGTGAGCCGAGATGGCACCACTGCACTTCAGCATGGGCGACAGAGGTTGACAAGAAAAGGTTTTTGCTTTGTTTCGCTTTCTCAGATGAGAGATGCTAGCCCATCTTTGGGATCAGAAATCAGAAGTTATTAGAAAGAGAGAGATGATGGTGTGGAGAAGGAAGGATTAGATCCAAAGGGCAGGAGTGAAATGAAGGAAGGAGGGACACTCCCACTGTTGAAACTGGAAGGAAGAAAAAAAAAGTACAGGTGCAGATTGAATCATAGATTTGGGAATCAGGCCGGGCGTGGTGGTTCAAGCCTGTAATCCCAGCGCTCTGGTGGGCAGATCACCTGAGGTCAGGAGTTCCAGACCAACCTAGCCAACGTGGCGAAACCCCATCTCTACTAAAAATACAAAATTAGCTGGGTGTGGTGGTGGGCATCTGTAGTCTCAGCTCCTCGGGAGGCTGAGGCACAAGAATCGCTTGAACCTGGGAGGCAGAGGATGCAGTAAGCCAAGATCATGCCACTGCACTCCAGCCTGAGCGACAGAGTGAGGGAAAAAAAAGGATGAAAAAAAAAAAGATTTGGGAATCAAAAGATAAGCTATTTCTGGTAGTCTCTATTTTCCCGGAGAAGTAGGCAACACCCTCAGTTGGGAGTAGAGGGTTGTGGAAAAGACGTGGAAGTTCAGAGAAAAAAAGTAGAAAGTTGAGAATTTGTAAAGTAAGGAAGAAAATAATTTGGGAAAGAGGATGTATAATATAGGAAACTGGGCCAGGCACGGTGGTTCACGCCTGTAATCCCAGCGCTTTGGGAGGCCGAGGAGGGTGGATCACCAGGTCAAGAAGTTGAGACCATCCTGGCTAACACAGTGAAACCCCGTCTCTACTAAAAATCGTACAAAATATTAGCCAGGCGGCTGGGCGTAGTGGCTCACGCCTGTAATCCCAGCACTTTGGGAGTCCAAGGCGGGCGGATCCCGAGGTCAGGAGATCGAGACCATCCTGGCTAACACGGTGAAAACCCTTCTCTACTAAAAATACAAAAAATTAGCTGGGCGTGGTGGCAGGCGCCTGTAGCCCCAGCTACTCGGAAGGCTGAGGCAGGAGAATGGCCTGAACCCAGGAGGCGGAGCTTGCAGTGAGCAGAGATCGCGCCCCTGCACTCTAGCCTGGGTAACAGAGCAAGACTCCGTCTCAAAAAAAAAAAAAAAAAAAAAAACGAAAAAAAACAAAATATTAGCCAGGCATGGTGGCACGTGCCTGTAGTCCCAGCTACTCGGGAGGCTGAGGCAGGAGAATCACTTGAACCCAGGAGGTGGAGGTTGCAGAGAACCAAGATTGCACCACTGCCCTCCAGCCTGGGTGACAGAGTAAGACTCAGAAAAAAAAAAAAAAAAAAGAGGAAACTGGCAGGAAAGAGGTCATGCTGGGGTGGACTATGAGAGGCAATAATTCGAAATTATATCGTGGAAATGCTTCAACCTCTACCAAGACCTACTTCAAAAGGAAAATCTTGTGTTGAGTAGCAGTTAAAAATGGAATAAGATATCAGACCTTCAACCAAATAGTTCTTAATAGCTCAAAACTACTATAGGATAGCAATTTTATTCCCAAATTATTCTAGAACTGAATATCTGAAACTCAGTGACCAAAAGCCAGTCAACCAATCTTCCACAGCCTAATACACACACATAAAATATACCTCTGGCATTACATTATAACTTCCCCCATCAAACAAAACAGGAAGAGTGGTTATGTTGGGCTGATAGTGTAAGATGGTCTGTCATGTAGCGTTTCCGTTATATTCTGAATTTGAGTTGGTATACCATGTGACAGTTCTTTATATATATGTTTTCAACACCGCTATGACAAGAGTGTCTTTCTGTTTTTGCGTCAGTGTCTCATGAAAAGAAGACATAAAGAATATTCAAAAGAAATTTTAAGAATCTTTGTTATCTGAAGGTCGTATCTTTAGTGCATGTTCTGTCTCTCATAGTTGCTAAACTCTAGCTGCAGCTCTTCTCTCAGAGAACTGCTCTGTCCTGCCCATCTATCCCATTATGACTTTCAGTTGTGAGATGAAGATATCTGTTTGAGAAAAAAAATTGGTTCCTCTAAATAGAGAAATGTCCAAATAGCTACTTTAGTCTCTTCTTTAATCTCAAGTTACATCAGAGAAAAGATTTCAGCATGTATAAAACATCCATATCTACAGTGACCTTGGTGTTTTTCTCAATGCATAAATCATCACATTTCTTCATTTTCTAGTGCATGAAATAATTAAACTTAAAATATCTTCTTTAATTCTAGACACAATTAATTCAATGCTATTATTTTTTATTTATTTATTTATTTTTTATTTATTTATTTATTTATTTATTTATTTTTGAGACAGAGTCTCTTTCTGTTGCCCAGGCTGGAATGTAGTGGCATGATCTCAGCTCACTGCAACCTCCGCCTCCTGGGTTCCAGGGATTTCCAGCTAATTTTTTTATTTTTAGTAGAGACAAGGTTTCATCATGTTGGCCAGGCTGGTCTCAAACTCCTGACCTCAAGTGATCTGTCTGCCTCGGCCTCCCAAAGTGCTAAGATTACAGGTGTGAGCCAGCTCGCCTGGCCTCAATACTATTAATTTTTTACTTATGTAAATTTTGTAGGGTGTAACTTCCCACATATTTCCAAAGCGTTTTTATATTTAACACTAAAGACCCACAATGGGCTGGGCACGGTCGTTCACGCCTATAATCCCAGCACGTGGGGAGGCCGAGGCGGGCGGATCACCTGAAATCAGGAGTTTGACACCAGCCTGGCCAACGTGGTGAAACCCTGTGTCTACCAAAATTACAAAAAATTAGCTGGGCTTGGTGGTGGATGTCTGTAATCCCAGCTACATGGGAGGCTGAGGCAGGAGAATTGCTTGAACCTGGGAGGTGGAGATGGCAGTCAGCCTAGATTGTGCCACTGCACTCCAGCCCGGGCAACAAGAGCGAAACTCTGTCCCCACCACCCAAAAAAAAAAAGACTCACAATGTACAAACGGCTATTCTAGGCATAGTTGGTTCTAAGAGAATAAGATTCCTTGATAGATACATCCAGCTTTTCTATTTAGAGTTGTGTAGTTTTGGGTCCTTCAGGAAGCAGACACTGAAATAAAGTTGGAAGTGCAAGAAGTGTAGGGGGTGGAATGGTGATGGGGATGTACACCTATGAGAGATAAAAAAGGAGGATGGAGGATTGGGTAAAGAAAGCCTTCAGATCTGGATGCTGATCTGATATCTGTGAAAGGAAAGAGGGGAGTAAAGAGGATTGGGCCAGGAGAGCCTGAGACTTTGATATATATTGAGCAAAGTCTCAGCCTACTTAATGGGGAGATGAAGAGCAAAGATTGCCTGTTAAGAGAAGTTTTGCAATGGGTAGAACTGGTCCTGTTAATGCTGCCATGATCAGCCACTGGTATGGGCTGCCTGGGAAGATCATAACCTCAGCTTGCTGTGGTAGATTCCAAAGGTGCTGCAGCTGATGGCCATTAGCTAAGTGTATTCTTTCAGCTAAAAGGAGATCCAAGCAATGTACTTTCATGCCTGCTACATCAGCTGTGCCCCTTTTGCTAATATTGCTCTCCTCATGCATTTCAGATCTATGCTTCACAAGTACAGAGCACAGACTGTTGCACTGTCTCCTAATTCTTCTTCTTTGACCATTCCCTCATCTCTGTATTAAATACTTTTAGCAGATTAATCTTTCTAAAAGATCATTTTTACCTTGTCAGTCTTTTGCTCAAAAATGTTGCGTCTCCCTATTATGTACAAAATAAAGCCCAGACTATTTAGGCTGATACTCAAGGCTGACACACGACTAGCCCCAATCTACCATTCTGTTTTTATATAACTTTGTGTCCTCTGTGGTCAACATATGTGGAACCTATTCACTATCTCCCCAATATTCGTTTGTATTTACAGATCTCTTGTTGCTCACATAATACCTTCTACCCCATTTGACAAACCATTCTCTCTTCTATCTACCTATCAAAACCAAACCTATCTTTGAAGGATTACATTTACTCTCCTATAGAAAGTATGGTAGGTATACTATAGTACAGTATAGTATTGACCCTTCCTCAGAAGTATATCAATATGTCTCGCCCTTGTTCATATTTTTCCTTCTTTTTAAAATTATTATTATTGTTTTTTGAGACAGAGTTTTGTTCTGCTGCCCAGGCTGGAGTGCAGTGGTGCAATCTCAGCTCACTACAACCTCTGCCTTCCGGCTTCAAGTGATTCTCATGCCTCAGCCTACTGAGTAGCTGGGACTATAGGCATGCACCACCAAGCCCGGCTAATTTTTGTATTTTTAGTAGAGAGAGGGTTTCACCATGTTGGTCAGGCTGATCTCGAACTCCTGACCTCAGGTGATCCACTCTCCTCGGCCTCCCAAAGTGCTGAGACTATAGGTATGAGCCACCGCACCCGGCCATATTTTTCCTTCTTTTAGTACTCAAGTTTTAATGAGGACATATCTCTTTTTCAGCTCTATGTCATTTCCTTTGGTGTAATAGGAGCACAGTGTTTATACTTAGCAACTACTCCATGACTGAATTAAGAGATAGATGGGGAATAGATTAAGAAGCCACTACAGAATTGCAAAAAATAAAATAAAATAAAGTGAGTTAAAATGTCAGGGTAATATAGGAAAATACATTGGGAAATGAAAAAACACTCCATGTGACTGTTTCACGGAAATGAATGACCCTCTTCCTCTTCTGTTTCTTTCTTAGGTAAAGACTAGGGCAGAATTCTATACCCAAGGTTCAGACCTATTGAGGCTATTTATGAATAGACTTTGGTGGTGTTTGCTGATCAAAAACTCTTTGAAATGTATAAAAAAACTTGTATACACGTGTATTTGCATTTTTTCTAGGAATAGGATCTGTCTCTTTTATCTGAGTTTCAAGGGGTCTGTGATCATAAAAGGATTTAAAACAACTTGACCAGAATTTGGGGCCTTAGAAGAGAGGTCAAGTAGTGTTGAACAAGATTTGGCAAGTAGTAGGTCACTGGTAATCTTAAAGAAAATAGATTCTGAAGAATGAAGAAAGCAGAAGCCCATGTCCCCAGGAATTGAAGAGTGAGTGGGTGGTGAGGATGTGGAGGTAGCCGATACAGACTTTTCCTCCCAGAAATGTATCAGTGAATGAGAATAAATCTGTATGATAACTTAAGCAACTATAGGATCAGGGGAAGGGTTTTGTTTGGATGGGAGATACTTGAGCATATTAACAGAAAAAGTGAAAGAGGATGATTAATAAACGAATTGGTTGGGAAAGTGTCTGGGTAGTCTGGATTTATGCTGTGGCAACAGACCCAAAATATTAGTGACTTAACACATAAAAGTTTATTTCCAGCTGGGCACAGTGGCTCATGCCTGTAATCCCAGCACTTTGGGAGGCTGAGAGGGGTGGATCGTTTGAGCCCAGGGGTTCAAGACCAGCCTGGGCAACATAGGAAGACCCCCAGTGCTACTAAAAATACAAAAATTAGCTGGGCATGGTGGCCTCCACCTGTATTCCCAGCTGCTTGAGAGGCTGAGGATGGAGGATGGCTTGAGCCTAGGAGGCAGAGGTTGCAGTGAGCCAAAATTGCACCACTGTACTCCAGCCTGGAGGACTGGGTTTAAAAAAAAAGAAAAGAAAAAAATTTCCCTTCTAATGCAAACTCAAGTAGAGACTGCTGCCCTCCATGCTGAGATTCACGAATCCAGGCTGTTTCATTCTTTGGGCTCTCTGTTCATGACTGAAGGGGAAGAGACTAGAGTCATGTGGAGGGATCCCACGGCCACTGTTCTGAAGTGACACCTGTTACTTCCATGCAAGTTTCATTAGTGAGAACTTGTCACATGGCCATGCTTAATTGTTGGGGAAGGGTAGGCAACTGTAAAGGAAATACAAAAAAGGATGTGGGAGGATATAATTATCTCTGCTACATAAAGGGATTAAGAAAAAAAGTAAAAGGAATTCTGGGCAGTTGGCAGTGGCACAGTTTTTTAATAGCCCCAAAACTTGCCACAAACACAGATACAGTAACTTGGATCGCAAAACCTAAAACCTGCAAACAACATCAATAGCAAGTTTATGAGCCCTCAAATATACACATACAGGGAGATGTCATGAGAGCAACAAGATTCACAGGTGGGAGGAGGCAGAGGGAGCTAAATAAAACAAAGCCAAAAGCCAAGTTACCAAAACATGCCCAGGAAGGAAGGAGTCCCACTTAGTGAGTGAAATCTTAGAGGGCCCATCTGAGGATAGCAGTCAAAATCAGAGAGGAACTTCATGGGCTCTATTTTGCAGGTGAAACCAAGGGAATTGTGGGAAGATTGGATGGTGCTGGAATGTTCTAGCCCCTTTGGGTCAGTGCTGAAAACCAACCTAGCACCCTTCCAGGATGAAGCCCTGCATAGGAGAGACGCTGCTAGGACAAGACATAAAACAGGCCCTGTTTTATAACCACCACAAATAGTACCTTAATTAAAGAAACTTCAAATCTGAAAATTAATCCCCTGGTCTATTTTCCATAACAATGATTTTCAGTAGCATTGTCCAATCTCACATTTCAGAGAGCTTGCAATGAGACGACCTGGCACCATTAAAATACTTTAATAATAAAATACAGTAAACACAAAGACCCTCTCTCCCATGATCAAATTCCCAGGGAAAATTAAAGTGCAAAGATTAAAACCCCATGCAAATTAAGTCCAAAGCAGTTAGTGTCTGAAGTCAAATCCACTTGCCCTTGAGATTTAAACTTCAAAGAAATTAATGTTCAGAATTCATCATCTCTGTGTTTTACCCAATCTTAATTAGAGGGGTTCTTAAACCTTAAATAGGGTTGGGATTTTTTTTAAGCAGTTGCAGCTTGGACAGAAATTATATTAATTTACTATCTGTTATTTCAATATAATAGAAATTTCTATATACTTATTTCTATATAATAGAAATTATATTATTTTACTAAGAAGCTCATTGAGCTTCTTAGGGGTCCAAAAAGTAAATAACACCCAAAATTATTATAGTTTTGTCCCCACACCCATCAAATTTAGAAAAAGCTATTCCCCAGACTCTTGTGTAGTTATTCCAAGAAAAAGTATGTCCCCAGAGCCTGTTAATTGGTGTTGCCAAATACCAGGTCAAAGGCTGATGTCAGAGGTGTGAGGAAGAGAAATTCTGAGTTTTAGCTTTACCAAGGTAGTTGATCTGACATAAGGTTTCTGGAATCCATGATCTGTAAACATAAACTTAATTACAAGACGTTAAATTTGGCACTTTGAATTCTCCATTTCTAAGGGGGAAGCTTTTCCTTTTCATTTAGAAAAACCTGTGTCAGTCAGGATAGGCTGGGTTATGCTGTGATAACGCAGAACCTCAAATTCTTAGAGACTTGAAACAACAAATTAATTTTTCACTCATACTGCACATTAATTGAGAAGTGACAGAGATCTGATCACACTACATTCATTTAAGGAACTAGAAGTTGGAGTTGCAACAGGTTTTTTTCATGATAACCCCAGCAGGGGCAAGGGAATGTGATAAGATGTTCCCTGGCTCTGAAAATTTCTGCCCATAAGTAGAACACATCTTTTCCACTTACGTCACTTCCATTCCCATTCCTTTGGCCAAACCACGTCATATGGTCTTCTAACTTCAAAGGGGATATGGAAGGGCAACCTTGCCTTTGAGCTTTAAGTTATTTCCCCTTCAGTGGTACATTTAGAGTGAGTTTTGTCCACTAATGCTGCTGTGAAATGTCTTGTGAGCTGACAATTTTAGTCCTTGGCCACAGGCTGCTGTGACTGCTTTCAACTATAGCATAGCTTAAACCAATGTTCCCCAAACTAGTAGGATCAAAAGAATCTCCCGGATGCTTATTAAAAATTTTGATTCCTTGGCTTAGTGTGGTGCCTTGTGCCTATAATTTTAGCCCTTTGGGAGGCTGAGGCAGGAGGATTGATTGAGGTCAAGACTTCAAGACCAGCCTGGACAACATAGTGAGACCTCTGTCTCTCCAGAAAATTTAAGAATTAGCTGGGCATGGTGGCACACACTACCATAGTAGTCCTAGCCACTTGAGAGGCTAAGGTGGGAGGAATACTTGGGTCTGGGTGTTTGAAGCTGCAGTCACATGTTTGGTGCCTTTGAATAGCCGCTGCACCCCAGCCTGAACATAGTGAGACCTCGTCTCTAAAAAAAAATAACAAATTTAAAAATATGTATTTTTTATTTTTGAGATGGAGTTTTGCTCTTGTCGCCCAGGTTGAAGTGCAGTGGTGTGATCTCAGCTCTCTGCAACCTCCGCCTTCTGAGTTCAAGTGATTCTCCTGCCTCAGCCTCCCAAGTAGCTGGGATTACAGGTGCATGCCACCAAGCCCAGCTGATTTTTGTATTTTTAGTAGAGATAGGGTTTCACTATGTTGGCTTCACTGGTCTCGAACTTCTGACCTCAGGTGATCCACTCACCTCGGCCTTCCAAAGTGCTGGGATTACAAGAGTGAGCCACTGTGTCTAGCCAAAAATACTTATTTCTGCGTCCTATTCCTGCAGAAATGATTCAGTAGATTTGGGGTAAGGCCCAAGTATCTGACTTCTGAAAATACCCTCTGTTAGGCCAAGGAAGTCTTCCTCCTGCCATGGCTTGGTTGTTGCTGTTGTTTTCAATAGACTTAATAGTTTAGAGCTGTTTTAGGTTCACAGAAAAATTGCGTGAAAAGTACAGAGAGTTCCCATATTTCCCCTGTCCCCACACATGCACAACCTCTTCCACTATCAACATACCCCACAACAGTCATACATTTGTTACTATTAATGAACCTACATTGACCCATCATTATCACCCAAAGTCCATAGTTTACATTAGGGTTCACCATTGGTGGTGTACATTCTATGGGTTTTGACAAATGTACAATAATATGTTTCCACTATTATAATATCATACAGAATAATTTCAATGTTCTAAATATCCTCCATGTCCTGCCTATTCATTCCTACTCTCCCTTAACACCTGGCAACCTCTGATCTTTTTACTGTCTCCACAGTTTAGACTTTTCCAGAATGTTATACAGCAGGAGTCATACAGTATGTAGTGTTTTCCAATTGTCATCTTTCACTTAGTAGTGTGTATTTACATTTCCTCTATGTCTTTTCATTACTTCATAGCTCATTTCTTTCTTTTTTTTTTTTTGAGACGGAGTCTTGCTCTGTTGCCCAGGCTGGAGTGCGGTGGCACAATCTTGGCTCACTGCAACCTCCACTTCTTGGGTTTAAATAATTCTCCTGCCTCAGCCTCCCTAGTAGCTGGGATTATAAGTGCACACCACCATGCCCGGCTAATTTTTGTATTTTTAGTAGAGACGAGGGACAGGGTTTCACCATGTTGGCCAGGCTGGTCTTGCACTCAACTGATTCACCTGCCTCGGCCTCCCAAAGTGCTAGGATTATAGGCATGAGCTACCATGCCTGGCCATTTTATTTTATTTTATTTTTTTTGAGACGGAGTTTCGCTCTTGCTGCCCAGGCTGGAGTGCAATGGTGCGATTTCGGCTCACCACAACCTGTGCCTCCCAGGTTCAAGCAATTCTCCTGCCTCAGCCTCCTGAGTAGCTGGGATTACAGGCATGCACCACCACACCTGGCTAATTTAGTATTTTTAGTAGAGACGGGGTTTCTCCATGTTGAGGCTGGTCTTGAACTCCTCACCTCAGGTGATCCGCCCGCCTCGGCCTCCCAAAGTGCTGGGATTACAGGCGTGAGCCACCATGCCTGGCCTTTTATTTTTTATTTTTTGAGACAGAGTCTCACTCTGTCAACCAGGCTGGAGTGCAGTGGCATGATCTAGGCTCAATGCAACCTCCACCTCCTGGGTTCAAGTGAATACTTGTGCCTCAGCCTCCCAAGTAGCTGGGATTACAGGCATGCGCCATCATGCACAGCTAATTTTTTTATTTTTAATAAGGACAGGCTCTCACCATGTTGGCAGGCTGGTCTCGAACCCCTGGCCTCAAGTGATCCTCTTGCATCAGCCTCCCAAAGTGATGGGATTACAGGTGTGAGCCAGTGCGCCCAGCCGAGCTCGCTTATTTATTTATTTATTTATTGAGACAGAGTTTCACTCTTGTTGCCCAGGCTGGGGTGCAATGGCGTGATCTTGGCTCACCGCAACCTCCGCCTCCCAAGTTCAAGCGATTCTCCTGCCTCAGCCTCCTGAGTAGCTGGGATTACAGGCATCTGCCACCACATCCGGCTAATTTTTGTATTTTTAGTATAGATGGGGTTTCTCCATGTTGGTCAGGCTTGTCTTGAACTCCTGACCTCCAGTGATCCGCCCACCTCGGCCTCCCAAAGTGCTGGGATTACAGGCGTGAGCCACTGTGCCTGGCCCAGAGCTCATTTCTTTTTAACACTGAATAATGTTCAGTTGTCTGGATGTACCACAGTTTATATATCCATTTACCTATTGTAAGGTATCTTGTTTTTTTCCCCCAGTTTTGGCAATTATGAATAAAACTGCTATTAATATCTATGTGTAGGGTTTTGTGTGAACATGTTTCAACTCATTTGGGTAAATACTGATACCAAATGTGACTGCTGGATTGTATGGTAAGAGTATGTATAGTTTTATAAAAAACTGTCAAACCATCTTCCAAAGCGCCTATGCCATTTTGCATTCCTACTAGCAACAATGAGAGTTTCTGTTGATCTAGCTCCTCGCTAGCATTTATTGTTGTCAATGTTTAGGGTTTTGGCCATTCTCATAGATGCGTAGTGGTACCTCTTTGTTTTTGTTTTGTGTTTTGTTGTTTTGTTTTTTGTTTTTTTTTCTGAGATGGAGTCTTGCTTTGTCACCTAGGCTGGAATGCAATGGCGCGATCTCAGCTTACTGTAACCTCTGCCTCCCAGGTTGAAACGATTCTCCTGACTCAGCCTCCCGAGCAGCTGGGACCACAGACATGCGCCGCCATGCCCAGCTAATTTTTTTTGTATTTTTAATGGAGATGGGCTTTCACCATGTTGGCCAGGCTGGTCTTGAACTCTGGACCTCAGGTGATCCGCCCACCTCGGCCTCCCAAAGTGCTGGGATTACAGGCATGAGCCACTGCACCCAGCCTACCTCATCATTTTAATTTGCAATTCCCTAATGACATATTCTGTTCAGCATCTTTTCATATCCTTACCTGCCATCTGTGTATCTTCTTTGGTGAGGTGTCTGTTCAGGTAGTTTAGCCTTTTTTTTTTTTTTTTTTTTTTTTGAGACAGAGTCTCGCTCTATCGCCCAGGCTGGAGTGCAGTGGCACGATCTTGGCTCACTGCAAGTTCTGTCTTCCGGGTTCACACCATTCTCCTGCCTCAGCCTTCCAAGTAGCTGAGACTACAGGCGCCTGCAACCATGCCTGGCTAATTTTTTTGTATTTTTAGTAGAGACGGGTTTCACAGTGTTAGCCAGGATGGTCTTGATCTCCTGACCTTGTGATCGGCCCGCCTTGGCCTCCCAAAGTGCTGGGATTACAGGTGTGAGCCACCGCGCTCAGCCAGTTTACCCATTTTTTTAAAGCAGATTGTTCATTTTCTTATTATTGAGCTTTAAGAGTTCTTTGTCTCAGCCGTGTGTGGGAGGCTGAGGCAGGAGAATCACTTGAACCTGGAAGGCAGAGGTTGCAGTGAGCCGAGATCTCACCACTGCACTCCAGCCTGGGCAACAGTGCAAGACTCTGTCTCAAAAAAAAAAAAAAAAAAAAACAAAAGAAAGAAAAGAAAAGAGCTCTTTGTATATTTTTGATAACAGTCTAACAGTCTTCTATCAGACATGTCTTTTGCAAGTATTTTCTCCAGTGTGTGGCTTGTCTTCTCACTCTCTGTATAGTGTCTCTCTGGTGTTGTATCTAAAGAGTTAGCTTTAAAAAAATAAAAATAAAAAGCCTTAAATTTAAGGTCATCTATATTTTCTTCAATATTATTTTATAGTTTTATCATTTTACAGGTAGCCTGTGATACATTTTGAGTAAATTTTTGTGAAGTATGTAATGTCTATATCTAGATTTGTGTGTGCATGTATGTGTGTATATCCAGTTACTCTAGCACCATTTGTTGAAAAGACTATATTTTCTCCATTGTGTTGTCTTTGTTGCTTTGCCAAAGATCAGTTGACTCTGTTTATGAAAGTCTATTTTTTTTTTTTTTTGAGACGGAGTCTTATTCTGTTTCCCAGGCTGGAGTGTAAGGGCACAATCTTGGCTCACTGCCACTTCCACCTGCCAGGTTCAAGCGATCTTCCTGCCTGTGCCTCCCAAGTAGTTGGGAGTACAGGCGTGTGCCACCAAACCTGGCTAATTTTTGTATTTTTAGTAGAGACGGGTTTTGCCATGTTGGCCAGGCTGGTCTCGATCTCCTGACCTCAGGTGATCCACCTGCCTCAGCCTCCCAAAGTGCTGGGATTACAGGTGTCAGCCACTGCGCCCAGCCTGAAGGCCTATGGTTTCTCTTTTCTGTTCCATTGACCAAGATCAATTCATTTATTCATTTGACACATTTATACATCTTTATCACTGTAGCTTTACAGTAAAGTCTTGAAATCAGGTAGTGTCAGTCCTCTGACCTTGTCCTTCTCCTTCAATATTGTGTTGGCTATCCTAGGTCTTTTGCCTTTCCATATAAACTTTAGAATCAGTTGGTTAAAAATCACCAAATAACTTGCTAGAATTTTGATTGGAATTGCATTAAATCTATAGATCAAGTTGGAAAGAACTGACATCCTGATAATATTGAGTTTTCGTAATCATAAACATGGTGTATTTGTCTTTAAAAAACATATAGGCCGGGCGTGGTGAGACTTCATCTCACTCTGTCACCCAGGTTGCAGTGCAGTGGCTTGATCACAGCTCACTGCAGGCTCAGTCTCCTGGGATCAAGTGTTCCTCCCACCTGAGCTTTCTGAGTAGCTGGGACTACAGGTATGCACCATGTCCAGCTAATTTTCTAATTTTTTTTTGAGACGAAGTCTCACTCTTGTCCCCCAGGCTGGAGTGCAATGGTACGATCTCGGCTCACTGCAACCTCTGCCTCCTGGGTTCAAGCGATTCTCCTGCCTCGGCCCCCCAAGTAGCTGGGATTACAGGGTCCTGCTACCACGCCCGGCTAATTTTTGTATTTTTAGTAGAGAGGGGTTTCACCATATTGGCCAGGCTGGTCTAGAACTCCTGACCTCAGGTGATCCACCCGCCTCGGCCTCCCAAAGTGCTGGGATTACAGGCATGAGCCACCGCGCCCGGCCTCTAGTTTTTTGATTTTTTGTAGAGATGGTGTCTTGCTGTGCTGCCCAGAACTTCTGGGCTTGAACTTCTGGGCTTAAGTGATCCTCCTGCTTCGGCCCTCCAAAGTGCTGAGATTACAAGTGTGAGCCGCTGTGCCCAGTCAGTATCTCTCTCTATTTATTTAGTTCTTCTTAGATTTGTTTATTTATTTACTTTTTGTTTTCCCAGACAGGGTCTTGCTTTGTCACCCAGGCTAGAGTGCAGTGGGCAATAACAGCTGACTGCAGCCTTGATCTCTTGGGCTCAAACTATCTATAGGAGATGTTATCTGTAGAAACAATTGGGGAAGCCACAGATATTGTGACTTCTGGCACATGACTCCTAAGCAGTAAGGGTTATAGAAACTGCCTACATTTGGCTGGGTGTGGTGGCTCACACCTGTAATCCCATCACTTTGGGAGACCGAGGCGGATGGATCACTTGAGATCAGGTGTTCAAGACCAGCCTGGCCAATATGGAGAAACCCCATCTCTACTAAAAATACAAAAATTAGCCAGGCTTGGTGGCATGTGCCTGTAATCCCAGCTACTCGGTAGGCTGAGGCAGGAGAATCACTTGAACCAAGGAGGCGGAACCTAGGAGGTGGAGGTTGCAGTGAGCTGAGATTGTACCACTGCACTCCAGCCTGGGCAACAGAGAGAGACTCTGTGTCAAAAAAAAAAAAAAAAAAAAAAAAAAGAAAGAAAGAAAGAAAGAAAAAGAAAAGAAACTACGCCTACATTTTAGCGGAGTTCAGGCCCCTCCCATCATCCTAATTTCATGGTTTTTCTTTTTTTTTTTTTTTTTGAGACGGAGTCTCGCTCTGTCACCAGACTGGAGTGCAATGGCACAATCTCGGCTCACCGCAACCTCTGCCTCCCGGGTCCAAGTGATTCTTCTGCCTCAGCCTCCCAAGTAGCTGGGACTACAGGCATGTGCCACCATGCCTGGCTAATTTTTTGTATTTTTAGCAGAGATGGAGTTTCACCATGTTGGCCAGGATGGTCTTGATCTGTTGACCTTGTGATCCACCCACCTTGGCCTCCCAAAGTCCTGGGATTACAGGCGTGAGCCACCGTGCCAGCCTTTCATGGTTTTTCATTAGGTTTACAAAGGTTGGCCGGATGTGGTGGCTCACACCTGTAATCCCAGCACTTTGGGATACTGAGGCAGGCAGATCACCTGAGGTCAGTAGTTTGAGACCATCTGGCCAACATGCGGAAACCCTGTCTCTACTAAAAGTATAAAAATTAGTTGGGTGTGGTAGTGTGTGCCTGTAATCCCAGCTACTCAGGAGGCTGAGGCAGGGGAATCGCATGAACCTAGGAGGTGGAGGTTGCAGTGAGCTGAGATCGTGCCACTGCAGTCCAGCCTGGGTGACAGAGTGAGACTCTGACTGAAAAAAAACAAACAAAAACAAACAAATGAAAAAAAAAAGGTGGTTTAGTTTTGGGAAGGGCTACTATCATCCTTGCTTTAAGGTTAAACTGTAAACTAAATTCTTCCCAAAGTTAGCTCGGCCTATGCCCAGGAATGACCAGGGACACCTCAGAGGTTAGAAGCAACATGGAGTCAGCTATGTTAGAATTTCTCTTACTGTCGTAATTTTGCAAACGCAGTTTCACTCACTCACCTGTAGACCAGGCCACCATAAACTGCAGTCCCTCCCTATGGTTAGACTACCATGTGCTCTGAGGCTTAATGCCTCTTTCCTAGACTGCAGCTATTCAAAGACCATGCAGCTGCCAAGCTTAAAACATTCTGCCTACACACTAAAGTCCACTAACACCTCTAAATTTATATAGCTCCTCTAAGTTCCGAGTTTTGGTTTTGATTTCTCAGTATTCCTCAACATTCATCCAATTGGAAGTCTTCAGACTTCAGAGCTATACTTCCTTTCCAAACTGCAGGTTTCTCTTGTCCTGCAGGGACAGAGGTTGCCTCATGTGCACCTTATGGCCAGGAAAAGAGCAAATAAGTCCAGACTATGTGAATAGTCTGAAGGCTAATTAGAAAATGTTGGTTTATTCTACACAAATTTACCAATCAAGTGAATCACTCCACTTCTGCTAAGACAGAGTGACTATAGAGGCACAGAGGCAAAGAATTACATTCTTTGGCCAGGTTCAAGTGATTCTCCCACCTCAGACTCCCAAGTAGCTGGGACTATAGGGCACATTCCACCACGCCTGGTTAATTATTATTACTATTAGTTTTTGTAAATATGGGGTTTTGCCATGTTGCCCAGGCTGATCTTGTGAACTCCTGTGTTCTATCCACTGAGAAATGTTCCTTCTACATGGGATGACGGAAGAGTACAGGAGAAGCATTCTCTGCTAGCAAGGTAGCCTCTGTCTTCTCAGTGAAGTAGGAGACAAAGTTGTGTCAAAAAAATATTTCAGGCAGGCTGGGCATGGTGGCTCATGCCTGTAATCCCAGCACTTTCCGAGGCTGAGGCAGGCAGATCACCTGAGGTCAAGAGTTCGAGACCAGCCTGGCCAACATGGTGAAACCCCGTCTATACTAAAAATACAAAAATTAGCCGGGAGTGGTGGCGGGCACCTGTAATCCTAGCTACTCAGGAGGCTGAGGCAGGAGAATTGCTTGAATCTGGGAGGCAGAGGTTGCAGTGAGCCAAGACTGTGCCACTGCACTCCAGTCTGGGCAACAGAGCAAGACTCCATCTCAAAAAAAAAAAAAATTCAGACAGCAAAAGATTTGAGGACTCGAGGAAAGTAGGGGTGGTTTTGAATACTATTGTGGGGAATGAAATAAGGAGCCAAACAGAGATTAATTATTTGAAAAATTCCTGGCTGGATGCAGTGGCTCACACCTGTAATCCCAGCGCTTTTGGAGGCCAAGGTTGACAGATCACCTTAGGTCAGGAGTTTGAGCCCAGCCTGGCCAACATGATGAAACCCTGTCTCTACTTAAAAACACAAACAAACAAACAAACAAATTAGCTGGGCATGGTGGCACACACCTGTAATCCCAGCTACTTGGGAGGCTGAGGCAAGAGAAGCACTTGTACCCAGGAGGTGGAGGTTGCAGTGAGCCAAGATTGCATCACTGCACGCCAGCCTGGGGGACACGAGTGAAACTCTGTCTCAAAAATAATAATAATAATAAATTCCTGAGTGTCCCTGATGATTTAGAGTTAGAGTGCAGTTAGAGTCAGGAAGAAATCAAGGCATGAAGTAATACAGGAGCTGGGATGAAAAACATGAACAATGGAAGGGTCTTGTTTCAACTGGAATGGAAGAGAGCCAAGCTGAGCACAGTAACCAGGCTACAAGGAGGACAAATGAATCTAAATGGAATACTGATACTAACTGGCTAACACTTATCATGTACTTAATTTGTGCTAGGTTTATATGAATTATCTATTTAAACCTTCACAGGAAGTCTTTGAGAAATTTAAGGGAAAGAGGAATTCAGTAACCTGTCCCTGGCCACTCAGCTAGTGAAGGGCAGTGTGAGTTTAAACCCAGGCAGTTTGACCCTAAAATCTGCAGCTTTAACCTCAGTCCTACTGGTTGAATTCAAATTACTCTTAGAACAAATACCAGGTTCAGTAGAATGGGAAAAATGATAAAACAAGAGGTTATGGGTAGGAATGGGCATTTACATTTAAAATCTTGGAGGTTGAGCAGATTTGATATCCTAGGAAGGTGGATGGTAACAAGTCAATAAAGCTGAAAAAATGTGAGATCAGCCTGTCAAAAAGTCATGAACTGGCCAGGCGCAGTGGCTCACACCTGTAATCCCAGCACTTTGGGAGGCCAAGGCAGGTGGATCACCTGAAGTCAGGAGGTCAAGACCATCCTGGCCAACATGGTGAAACCCTGTCTCTACTAAAAATACAAAAATTAGTTGGGTGTGGTGGTGGGCACCTGTAATCCCAGCTACTCGGGAGGCCGAGATAGGAGAATTGCTTGAACCCAGGAGGTGGAGGTTGCAGTGAGCTGAGTTTGTGCCATTGCACTCCAGTCTGGGCAACAAGAGTTAAACTCTGTCTCAAAAAAAAAAAAAAGTCATGAACCATTTACCCTGATGGGATTATTGTACATTGTATGCCTGTATCAAAATATTTCATGTGTCCCATAAATATGTACACCTACCATGTCCCCATAAAAATTTTTTTTAATTAAAAATTTTGATAGGAAAGAGAAGAGAGTGGTGTTAGTGTTTGGATTAAATTTCAAAGGAAACTATGTAATCCATTATAATCTCTCTCCTTCCTCCACTTCGGTTTCTCTTTTTCTTTCTTTCTTTTTTTTTTTTTTTTTTTTTTTTTTTTGAGGCAGCAGAGTTCACCTCAGCCTCCTGAGTAGCTGGGATTACTGTCATGCGCCACTACACCTGGCTAATTTTTGTATTTTCAGTAGAGACCAGGTTTCACCATGTTGCCCAGGCTGGTCTCGAACTCCTGATCTCAGGTGATCTGCCTACCTTGGCTTCCCAAAGTGCTAGGATTACAGACCTGAACTACCACACGCGGCCCCTCCCTCCACTTTGGACTGCACATGCCTCCTTTATTCACTTAAGAGAAAGGTGAGGAACAAAGAAAGGCTAAAAGACACGTCACATTATTAATAATCTTGGCTAGTTGTAACAAAGTAAAATAAAATGTCTCAATAAATTTTTAAATCTTTGTTGCTTGGCTTGTCTCATTTTAGCATTGAGAATCAAGCTTAAATATCCAAGTAATCAGTTATAAGAATACACAGGAAATAATATAACACTTTTATTCCCAGAATAAAAATAGAATGCTTTCAGTCCCGGGAGCTCCTTTTCTGTTTTTCATTAAATTTTTTTGATGTTGCTGACACATCCCATTTAAACGTAATTTTTATTTCCTTAGATATTTTTGAATAAAACGTTCTCTCTCCTGCTGTTCTGTAGCAGAAATAATATTCATTGGCACTGTTTGATGACATTTCAAAAGTGTCTCTTGCTTCCATTCTTAGATTTGTGTTACATTTTCCTCCATGAATACACAGCATCTTTTTGTAGTTCTCTCTCATAATAATAGGGAGAAGATGACTCTGATATGCATTTATTAATCTCTTTTAAAGTTACAGATATTTAATGTTGTATCTTGCATTTTGGGGAACCTTTTTATTTCTACTGATTGCCCTTTCCCTAGTGGAAAATGGTCTGTGTCATTTAGCAATAAGCTTTTCTATTAGAAACAACAAAAGATATTCTGACAAATTGGGACACATCAGTGTATTTTCAGCCATTTTATATTCAAATCTTTTTTGGTGTATTTTTTTTTTTAATCTAATCTTTGTTTCTCCATTCTAGAGCATTTTCTTCTTGAGTAGCTCAGTAAGTTATCTTGTCACATTCATAAATGCTTTCAGAGAATTTTATTTGAGTTTTAAATGGTTTCAAGTCTCTTCTAGCTTTTAGGTTGTCTACCTTGGAAAGTTTTTTAACTTGAACTGTACCTATGAACATTTCTGATTTAAAATACTCCTGGGGCCAGGTGAAGTGGCTCACACTTGTAATCCTAGCACTTTGAGAGGCCGAGGTTGGTGAATCACTTGAGGTCAGGAGTTTGAGACCAGCTTGGCCAACATGGTGAAACCGCATCTCTACTAAAAAAACAAAAATTAGCCAGGCGTGGTGGCGTGTGCCTGTAGTCCCAGCTACTCAGGTGGCTGAGGAAGGAGAAACACTTGAACCTGGGAAGTTGAGGTTGCAGTGAGCTGAGACTTTGCCACTGCATTCCAACCTGGGCAACAGAGCGAGACTCCGTCTCAAAAAAAAAAAAAAAATACTCCCAGGCTGGACATGGTGGCTCACACGATCACTTAAGTTTAGGAGTTCAAGACCAGTCTGAGAAACATAGCAAGACCTCGCTCCTATCTACTAAATAAATAAATAATAAACATTAGCCAGGCATGGTGGCACATGCTTGTAGTTCAGCTACTCAGGAGGCTGAAGCCGGAGGATCACTTGAGCCCAGGAGGTTGAGGCTGCAGTGAGCCATGACTGTGCCACTGCACTCTAGCCTAGGCATGAGCAAGACCCTGTCTCAATCAATCAATCAATCAATAAAGCATTTTGTATTTGTCTCTCTGCTCTCCCTATGCTGACTAGAAGCATGACACTCTCCCTCTTGGTACAGCACTGAGGCCGTCAGTCACCAGAATCTGGTGACTCCTCTATCCTCAGCTCCTCTGTTACTCGTCTGATCTACAGTCCTTTAATCCATCATCTCTGTCTGGCGCGGGTTGTTTCCCAAGCCTCCCAGTTGCTTGGCCAGCTTTGGCACTCCTACCCCTATCCTCTTTCTCAACTAGCAGCCAGAGTTTTCCTATTAAAAGCTAAGCCAGGTCAAGTCACTCTTGGCGCTGGAGTGGCTTCCCATCTCGTTCAGAGTGAAAGCTGGTGTTCACAGTAGCCTACAAGGCCCTGAGTGCTCTGACCTGTCTTCTTCTCTGATCTCACCTCCCACTCTCCCTCTCCCTCTGCTCTAGTTACGCCAGCTCTTAGCTGTTCCTTGAATATGCCAAGATGCTCTTACCTCAAGACGTGCACTGTCGTTGCAGGAAACACATTTCGCAGATATATCTATCTGCATGCATGACACGGTCCCTCACCCCTTCAAGGTTTTGCTCAAAATGTCACTTTCTCAGGGAGGCTTTCTCTGAGCTCCTTTTAAATTCAACTCTCCCCACCTGCCCCCACCCCCCGCCCCAGCTTCCACATCCTCAGCAATTTCTGTTCCCTTCCCCTGCCATGTTTTGGTCAATATAACATTTACCACCATCTAATATGTGTGTGTGTGTGTGTGTGTGTGTGTGTGTGTGTGTGTGTGTGTGTGTGTGTGTGTGTGTTTTGAGACAGAGTCTTGCTCTGTTGCCCGGCTGGGGTGCAATGTCACAATCTCGGCTCACTGCAACCTGTGCCTGCCAGGTCCAACCGATTCTTCTGCCTCAGCCTCCCAAGTAGCTGGGATTAGAGGCATGCACTACCATGCCCAGCTAATTTTGTATTTTTAGTAGAGACGCGGTTTCATCATGTTGGCCAGGCTGGTCTTGAACTCCTGACCTCAGGTGATCCACCCACCTCGTCCTTCCAAAGTGCTGGGATTACAGGCATGAGCCACTGCGCACGGCCACCATCTAATAAACTTTAACCGATGTATTATTTATTGCCTGCACTTCTATACAAATCCTTGACTGTAAGTTCTATGACGAGTTTATTTAACAGTTCCAGACACAGAGAAGCACTACAAGAGAGAAAAAAGAAAAAAAAAAAAAAGAGAGAGAGAGGTGAGTGAATTCAGTTAGTAGTTAGCCTGAGAAATGAGAAATTGTACTAAATGAAGTGACACACTGGGAACACTGGATAACAATTTGTGGTTACAATGGAAGGCTTAAGAAACTCAGTGGAGGCTGGGTGTGGTGGCTCACACCTGTAATTCCACCACTTTGGGAGGCTGAGGTGGGCAGATCACTTGAGGTCAGGAGTTCGAGACCAGCCTGGCCAACGTGGTGAAGCCCCTTCTCCACTAAAAATACAAACATTAGCCGGGAGTGGTGGCAGGCACTTGTAATCCCAGATACCCAGGAGGCTGAGGCAGGGGAATCGCTTGAACCTGGGAGGCGGAAATTGCAGTGAGCTGAGATCGCACTGTTGCACTCCAGCCTGGCAGACAAGAGCAAAAAAACTCCGTCTGAAAAAAAAAAAGAAAGAAACTCAGTAAAATTAAGGCAGGCAGGGCAGGTTGGGGAATGCAAACCTTTCAGTTTCTGTGGTTTTCCTTCCTCTTCATCTCCTGCAGTGAAGATGAGGGTGGGGCTAGGGTCAGGATTATCTTCACTTTATTTCTTTTTTTACCTTTCTTTCTTTCTTTTTTTGAGATGAAGTCTCACTTTGTCACCCAGGCTGCAGTGGCACGAACTTGGCTCACTGCAACCTCCACCTCCCCATTTCAGGCAATTCTCCTGCCTCATCCTCCCGAGTAGCTGAGATTACAGGTACCCACCACCAGGCCTGGCTAATTTTTTGTATTTTTAGTAGAGACAGGGTTTCACCACGTTGGCCAGGCTGGTCTCAAACTCCTGACCTTAAGTGATCCGCCCACCTTGGCCTCCCAAAGTGCTGGGATTACAGGCTTGAGCCACCGCTCCCAGCCGTCCCCTATGCCTTTTTTAAATAAGCTCTTTTTATTTCAGCTGGTTGAGTGAGAAATGCTTGTTCCTTGCAAATAAATGAGCAAACTATAATAATAAATTTGTAAAAAAAAAATTTTTTTTCTTTTTTGTTTCTTTTTATTTATTTATTTATCTTTCAAGACAGGGTCTTGCTCTGTCCCCTGGGCTGGAGTACAGTGGTGCAATCATGGCTTACAGCAATCTCGGACTCTTGGCCTCAAGCAGTCCTCCCACCTCAGCCTCTCAAAGTGCTGAGATTACTGGTGTGAGCCACTGTATCTGGCCCCCCATGTTTTTGGTGTATTTTCTCTTTCTACTTCAATATTATATTGTAGTAGATGCCTTGAATTTAGGACAATATCCTAATCTTTGGCTACTCAAAGTGGGGTCTGGGGAGCAGCAGTATACTAGCTATCACTGGGAGTGAGTTAGAAAGTCAGAGTCTTGCTGGGCGTGGTAGCTCATGCCTGTAATCCCAGCACTTTGGGAGGCTGAGGCGGGCAGATCACTTGAGGTCAGGTATTTGAGATCAGCCTGGGCAACATGGTGAAAACCTGTCTCTGATAAAAAAGATAAGTAAATAAATTACAGGCGGGTGTGGTGGCTCACGCCTGTAATCCCAAGCACTCTGGGAGGCCGAGGCGAGCAGATCATGTGAGGACGGGAGTTCAAGACCAGCCTGATCATGGAGAAACCCTGTCTCTACTAAAAATACAAAATTAGCCAGGTGTGGTGGTGCATGCCTGTAATCCCAGCTACGTGGGAGGCTGAGGCAGGAGACTCGCTTGAACCTGGGAGACAGAGGTTGCGGTGAGTCGAGATTGTGCCATTGTTCTCCAGGGAAAAAAAAAATACAAAAAGTCAGCCAGGTATGGTGGTGTGTGCCTGTAGTCCCAGCTACTCCTGAGGCTGAGGTAAGGATCACCTGAGCCTGGGGAGGTGGAGGATTCAGCGAGCCATGATTGTGCCACTGCACTCCAGCCTGGGCAACAGAGTGAGACCCCGTCACACACACACACACACACACACACACACACACACACACACACGGCAGAATCTCAGCCTGTGCCCCAAACCTGCTGAATTAGAATCTGCATTTTAACAAGATCCCAGGTGATTTCAGATGCATGTGACAGTTTGAGAGGCCCAGCTGTAATCTACTCTGTAATCTAGAGTAGATTACACTGAGTTGTCATTATATTTTTGGAGAGATGGGGTTTTGTTATGTTGACCAGGCTGATCTCCAAACTCCTGGCATCAAGTGATTTTCCCACCTCAGCCTCCCAAAGTGCTGGGATTATGGCTGGGAGATACCACACCCAGCTAACTAGAATTTTAAATGTTTCTCATTGCTGTCAGAACAAGCCATAAGCCCCAGCCTGACCTTTATGGCCACAGTAAGATGGACCTTACCTACTTCTCCAGTCTTTCCTATATTAATATCCTGTTCCACCTAAATTGCTTGACTTAATTATTCTCCAAATATGCTAAGCATATTTGGGATGTATGCTCATGGTCTTTGCTTTGTCTGTCTGCTCAGTTTCCACATCTGTTTGGAGGCCACTGCTGCCTGGCTTAGCTCACAGTGCTGTCTCATTCTGTAAACATCTGTAGCCCTCCCAGTGCCATAAAAAAAATATGTAGCCTTGCCTACTCATGAATGCCTAACACAATACAGTGCATATATTAGTTTTTTGATTCATTAGTTACATTCTTATTAATTTTTTTTTTAATTCAGAAGAGGCTTGCTAATTTATAAGGCTCAAATTTCTCTGACCAAGCAGGAGTTAAGGCCAAACAGGGAGAAACTGGAAGCAATGTGCTCACGTGTCTTTGTTTGGATTTTCATCACACCCTAATGAGGGTGCAGTTATTTCAGTGACATTTGACTATGCATCATTACCCAAAGAAGAGTTTTATATAAGTGAGTGTTCTAGAAATGAAGGTTCTAATAGATCTCTGTCTTAGTCTGTTTGTGCTGCTATTTAAAAACACCACAGACTGGGTCATTTATAAACAATAGAAATTTATGTCTCACAGTCCTGAAGGCTGAGAAGTCAAGGTCAAGGCACCTGCCTTCAGTGTCTTTTTTTTTTTTTTTTTTGAGTTGGGGTCTTGCTGTGTCGCTCAGGCTGGAGTGCAGTGGCACGATCTCGGCTCACTGCAAGCTCCGCCTCCTGGGTTCACGCCATTCTCCTGCCTCAGCCTCCCGAGTAGCTGGGACTACAGGCGCCCGCCACCACGCCCGGCTAATTTTTTGTATTTTTAGTAGAGATGGGGTTTCACCGTGTTAGCCAGGATGGTCTCCATCTCCTGACCTCATGATCCACCCATCTCGGCCTCCCAAAGTGCTGAGATTACAGGCGTGAGCCTCCGCGCCCGGCCCTTCAGTGTCTTTTGAGGACCTTCTTGCTGATTCTCACATGGCAGAAGGGTTGAAAAGGGCAAAAGGGAACAAGGACTGTCCTCACGTAGCAGAGGAGCAAAAGCAAATGGACCCACTCCCTCAAGCCCTTCTGTAAGGGCCCTTATCACATCCATGAGGGATCAGCTCTCAGGTCTTAATTACCTCCTAAAGGCCCCCTCTCTTTATACAATCATATTGGCCGTTAAGTTTCTTTTCTTTTCTTTTCTTTTTTTTTTTTTTTTGAGACAGAGTCTCAGTCTGTGCAGTGGCACCATCTCAGTTTACTGCAGCCTCTGCCACCCGGGTTCAGTGATTCTCCTGCCTCAGCCTCCCAGGTAGGTGGGATTATAGGTGTGAACCACCACGCCTGGCTAATTTTTGTATCTTTAGTAGAGATGGGGTTTCACCATGTTGGCCAGGCTGATCTCGAGCTCCTGACCTCAAGTGATCTGCCCACCTCAGCCTCCCAAAGTGCTGGGATTATAGGCATGAGCCACTGTGCCTGGCCAGGCCATTAAGTTTCAACATATGAATTTTGGAAAACACATTCAGCCCATAGAAATTTCTTTAAAATATATTTCTGATACTATTGCATTCAATCTTATAGATAGACGTAGTTCAGGAGTCAGTGGCTCTGTAATTCTTATGAAAAATAGTATTCCTTTATCCCCATCTTGTATTATTGGTCCTTGATCTTTTGCTGAGTGAGTAAGTACAGGCATCTCACAGGCTACTGTATTACGTGTGTGTGGGTTTGGTAGTCAGGGGTGAGTGGAAGGAGTGGCAGTTATCAGTGAGCGTGTGTTACTATTTGTTGTATTTAAAAATTTTTTTTTCAAAACAGGGTCTCACTTTGTTGTCTTGGATGGTCTTGAACTCCTGGCCTCATGTGATCCTGCCTCCTTGGCCTCCCAAACTACTGGGATTACAGGTGTGAGCCACTGCACCTGGCCAGTGCTCCTATTTGAAAGCACATCTTCACTCTCCCCTCCATTAGATCTGAGCTCCCCTCCTTTAGATCTACTGAACGTGGGGAGACGATGGACCTGTGTTGTAACCTAGCAACCCAGAGCACGTTTTCTTCTGTATTGCAATAGCTAGGTAGCCATCTGCCTAGATGTAGACCAGTAGTTCTCAAACCTAAGTAAGCATCAGTATCACCTAGAGGGTTTCACTGAGCCCCTCCCCCAGAGTTGCTGATCAGGAGGTCTGAAGTGGGTGAGGCCCAAGAATTTGTATTTCCATTAGATTCCCATGTTACACTGATGTTGCTGATTCAGGGACCATACTTGAGAGCCGCTGGTATAGTGGGAAAGAAAACATCAAAAGGGAAAAAAAGAACCCAATGAACACAAAACTTTAAATCAGGTGCTTTCTGATGTCTTTTTTGTTTTGACAGTGTGAACATTGTAGTAATTAATTCAATTAATTGTTGCCAGATGAACAGAATAAAAGGCACAGGTTAAAAAAAAAAGGGAGTGGGGAGCTAGGTGTGGTGGCTCATGCTTGTAATCCCAGCACTTTGGGAGGCTGAGGTGGGAGAATCAGTTGAGGTTAAGAGTTTGAGAACAATCTGGACAACATAGCGGGACCCCTTCTTTACAAAAATAAATAAGTAGAAATAAAATACAAAATAGAACTTCTTATGGCTTTTGCTCTTTATATTAAGCATTTGCAAAATCAATCGCTATCTGGGTACTTTTAATTTATTTCCTTTTTTAGACAGAGTCTTACTCTGTCGCCCAAGCTGGAGTGCAATGGCTCCATCTCGGCTCACTACAACGTCCGCCTCCCAGGTTCAAGTGATTCTCCTGCCTCAGCCTCCTGAGTAGCTGGGATTACAGGTGTGCACCACCACACCTGGCTAATTTTTGTATTTTTCGAAGAGATGGGGTTTCACTAAGGCCAAGCTGGTCTCAAACTCCTGATCTCAAGTGATCCACCTGCCTTGGCCTCCCAAAGTGCTGAGATTACAGGCGTGTGCCACCATGCTTGGCCTATTTTTTTATTATTATTATTATTATGTTTTTTTTTTTTGGCAACAAGGCCTTGCTCTGTCACCCAAGTTGGAGTGCGGTGGCACAATCATGGCTCACTGCAGCTTCAACCTCCTGGGCTCAAGCAATCCTTCCACCTCAGCCTCCTTAGTAGCTGGGCCTGTAGGTGCATGCCACCACACTTGGCTAATTTTTAAAAATATTTTTTGTGGAGATGTGTGTCTCCCTATGTCACCCAGGCTGGTCTTGAGCTGCTATCTTCAAGTTATCCTCCTGCCTCAGCTTCCTGAAGTGCTAGGATTACAGGGATGAGCCACTGAGCTTGGCCTTTATTTTAATTTTATTTTTTTTGACACACAGTCTCACTCTGTCACTTAGGCTGGAATGCAGTGGTGCAATCATGGTTCATTGCAACCTCGACCTCCTGGGCTCAAGCAATCCTCCAGCCTCGTTTTGCATACTGCCCAGGCTAATCTCAAACTCCTGGGCTCAAGCAATTCACCTACCTCAGCCTCCCCAAGTGCTGAGATTACAGGCATGAGCCACCATTCCTGGCCCCTGTGCTTTTATTATTATTATTATTATTATTATTTTGAGACGGAGTCTCACTCCGTCACCCAGGCTAGAGTGCAGTGGCGTGATCTCAGCTCACTGCAGCCTCTGCCTCCCGGGTTCAAGCGATTCTCCTGCCTCAGCCTCCCGAGTAGCTGGGATTACAAGCATGAGCCACCATGCCTGGCTAATTTTTGTATTTATGGTAGAGATGGGGTTTTACCATGTTGATCAGGTTGGTCTCGAACTCCTGGCCTCAGGTGATCCACCTGCCTCGGCCTTCCAAAGTGCTGGGATTACAAGCATGAGCCACTGCACCTGGCCTTTTCTTTTGAATGATGCTTCTTTTTTGTTTGTTTGTTTTTGAGACGGAATCTCACTCTTTTGCCAATGCTGGAGTACAATGGTGCAATCTCGGCTCACTGCAACCTCCTGGGTTCAAGGGATTCTCCTGCCTCAGCCTCCTGAGTAGCTAGGATTATAGGTGCCCACCACCATGCCTGGCTAATTTTTGTATTTTTAGTAGAGATGGGGTTTAGCCATGTTGGTCAGGCTGGTCTCGAATTCCTGATCTCAGGTGATTCACCAGTCTCAGCCTCCCAAAGTGCTGCGATTACAGGCGTGAGCCACCGTGCCTGGCCTTAATGATGCTTCTTAATCAGAATACAGTTCCTGCTGATTGAATTAATAAAACTGTAATTGTGTTGTAATTGTTTTCCCTCTGGGAGAGGAAGTATCAGTACAATACTTTCTTTAAATGCTATTAAAAAATAATGCTCCTAAACAAGATTTTAAAATGTCCTACCAGAGACTATAAAACAGTGGGTCAAATGTTTGCTTAAAAGAAAAAAAGCCAAAAATTACATAGCTCAGTAATTGCTGTCACATTGGAAGGCTATAAAGTTAGTGCAATTATCCTGTCATTACCTAAAAAAAGGATAGGCAAACTGCAGACTGTGGGCCAAATACCCACAAACTGCTCCTGTAAATAAAATTATTGGAACACATCTAAACTCACTCATTTAAGTATTGTCTACAGCTGCTTTCTTGTGACAGCAGTGTTGATTAGTTGTGCGAGAATCCATATGATCCACAAAGCCTAAAATATTTATCATCTAAATATATACAGAAAAAGTTTACCAATCCCTGGCCTAAAATAGTTTTGGAGCTCTTATTTTGTTTCTTGTTTAATTTTAGAAACATGGGAAGTTTTTTGAATAGCATCTATGTTGCAAATTTTAATTTGTTAAGGTAGACTTGATTTTTCAGAAATACCAAAGGTCATTTGTGTTAAAGAATGGTAAATGTTAAAATAAATTTTCAGTGCCACAAAGAAATAGCACTGGAACATAAATTTAATTTTCTCAGCAAGGCAATTTTTACTTCTATAGAAGGGTACAACTCACAGATGGAGCAATGGCGAGAGCACATTTGAACAAGGGAGGGGAAGGGGTTTTATTCCTGATGCAGGTAGCCCCTACTGCTGTGTTGTTCCTCTCTTGGCTAGGGTTGAACCGCACAGTCTAAGCTAATTCTGATTGGCTGTTTTAAGGAGCAGGCATACGAGCCGGAGTGGTAGGGTGAGTAGTTTGGCACGAAGGGTGGTTACAGAACAGGTAACTCGGGATGATTCAGGTCAGAGCAGCTGACCATGGGTGACTCAGGATGGAGCAGGTGACCAGGGGAATAGATGTGAACTACTAATTAGAACTGGTGGAAAAGATTGTTTACTGAAACTAGGGGCAAGGAGAACGAGGAAGTTAAACTTTAAAATGGAGAATGAAGAACAGGGGAGCTGAACATATTGATACCATTGGTTCTTTGGAGAGGATCTCAGAACTCATTGTACTTAACAATTTACAGTCTAAAATCTTTGAAGAGGAATTTATTATATCCTACAGTAAATAAGTTGGGTGATCACTTGTTCTGATCCTGTTTCATCCAAAATAAAATGTGCATGTATTTAAAATAACTACACTAATTTTATTATGAGGTTCTTAAAAGGCTCTGAAGCGCAAAAGTGGGGTTCCCAGAAATGTCCAAGCCACAGTAGCATTGTTGACATAAACATATTCATTGCCTCCTCTGCTTTCTTTTAAAATTGATCCTGAATACGAATGTCCACATAATCCAAAACAACTGGACAAATAAATTGAGCATTTTTTGGAGTCATGGAGTACAAAAGAAGTTATATGAGGGAGCTTTTTATTTTACAACTGGGTTGTACTGGTGTTAAACACATAATCCTAAATTTAGTTGAACCATCTGGGCAACTCTTAATAAATAGTGAGAACAGACTGTTCTGTGAAGACGGGCACATTTTAAGTGCTCGGGCAGCATAAATACTTTGGCCAACCTTGAGCCAGTGAGCCAAGTAAAAAAATAAAAAAATGACCCCTAGAGAAATCCCTATCATCTTACCAGTGGTATTACTGAGCTTGCTTTCCCCCACAACTTCCTATTCTGAAAATTTTCAAATCTATAGAAAAGTTGCAAGAATACAACTCATATATTTGTCATCTTGATTCACCAATTTTGAATGTCTTGCCACATTTGCTTTTTTCCCTCTCTCCTTCCCTCCTTCCCTTCTTTCCTTCCTTCCCTCCTTCCTTTTTTCTTTTGTTAAATTATTTGAGAAGTTGTAGATATCATGACATCTTACCCCTGACAGGGTTCAGGATTCGCTACCCCAAAATATGGTGACCTGTTGTATTTAATATTTTGGGCTTTTATTTTGTTTTGTTCTGTTTTGAGACAGGGTCTCACCCTGTCACCCATGCTAGAGTACAGTTTTGTTTTGTTTTGAGACAGGTTCTCACTCTGTCACCCATGCTAGAGTACAGTGGCCTGATAGCAGCTCACTGCAGCCTTGAACTTCTGGGCTCAAGTGGTCCTCCTCCCTCAGCCTTCTGAGTAGTTGGGAGTATAGGCAGGTGTCACCATGCTCAGCTAATTTTTTTTTTAAGTAGATGTGGGGTCTCCCTATGTTGCACAGGGTGGTCTTGAATTTCTGACCTCAAGCAACCCTCCCACCTCAGCCTCACAAAGTATTGGGATTACCCGGGCATGAGCCGCTGTGCCAGGCCCATATTTAAAATTTAAGCTGAAGGAATTTGAGAAGTGGTAGATGCAGAAAGGACTCTCTGACCATTCACTGAAGCAGGTTGTAGGAGTCTCAGGCAAGGGGTGCCCTCTCCATTCCCCTTGTCTCTGAAGATGGAGAGACGCCTCCCAAGAGGAATCCGAATGGACAGGCCTTGCTGTTTCCCCAGTTTATTTTCCTTAGCTCATACGCCTTTTGTCCTATCATATTTTTCACGACTTTCCAATCTTCATCAAACCTAGTGTTAAAACACACAGGTTTAACTGTTTCTTCAGCTCTGGTTTTCCTTATTAAGGCTCCCATATCATATAAGACTTACATTAAATAAGTTTGTATTCTTTTCTCTTGTTAATCTGTCTTTTGTTTTTGAGACCCAGCCTGACCAAAAAGGGTAAAAGAAAAAATATTTTTTCTTTCCTATACCCAGCGTGCATAGCCTCATAACCTTTCAAAGAATTGTTGTTAATTTCCAGGTGATTATGCTTTTTTGTTGTTGATCATTTCATTTTACATTTTATGTGTGTGTGGGTTGTGACCATATATTTTATTATTCTTGAATAATCACCCAGAAGTGGAATTGCTAGCTCTTATGGAAAGTATGTGTTTAACTTTATAAGAAATGTCACACTAATTTTTTTTAAGAGAGGGGTCTCCCTATGTTGTCTAGCCTGGTCTCAAACTCCTAGGCTCAAGTAGTCCTTTTGCCTCAGCCTCCTGAGTATCCGGGATGACAGCCTACCTGATTTTTAGAGCAACTTTATCATTTTGTTTTCCTGTAGTCAAAGTTTGAGAATTTCAGGTGCTTTATATCCACATGAACCCTTGAGTTTTCCAGTCTTTTACATTTTAACCATTTTAGTATATTGCTAATAGTATTGCATTGTGACTTGATTTGCATTTGTCTGTGACTAAAGGTGTTGAGTATCCTTTCATGGGCGTACTGCATTTATACACCATTTTTGGGTATTGTATGTATTTTTGCCAAATTTTTAAAAATAAACTTAAAGTTTTTTTCCTGGAAACATACAATCCTGCTAGATTAAACCAGGAAGAAATAGAAACTCTGAACAGACCAATAACAAGCAGCGAGATTGAAATGGTAATAAAAAAATTGCCAACAAAAAAATGTCCAGGACCAGATGGATTCACAGCTGAATTCTACCAGACATTCAAAGAAGAAGTGGTACCAATTCTGTTGACACTATTCCAGAAGATAAAGAGGGAATCCTTCCTAAATCATTCTAGGAAGCCAGTATCACACTAAAACCCAAACCAGGAAAGGACATAACAAAAAAAGAAAATACAGAGCAATATCCCTGATGAACATAGATGCAAAAATCCTCAACAAAATACTAGCTAACTGAATCTAACAGCATATCAAAAAGATAATCCAGGCTGAGTGCGGTGGCTCATGCCTGTAATCCCAGCACTTTGGGAGGCTAAAGTGGGTGGATTACCTGAGGTCAGGAGTCCTAGCTAACATGGCAAAACCCCATCTCTACTAAAAATACAAAAATATTAGCTGGGTGTTGTGGCTCGTGCCTGTAGTCCCACCTACTCAGGAGGCTGATGCAGGAGAATCACTTGAACCTGAGAGGCAGAGATTGCATTCAGCCGAGATCCCGTCACTGTACTCCAGCCTGGGCAACAGATCAAGACTCTGTCACACACACAAAAAAAGATAATCCACCATGATCAAGTGGGTTTCATACCAGGGATGCAGGGATGGTTTAACATACGCAAATCAATAAATGTGATACACCACATAAACAGAATTAAAAACAAAAACCACGTGATCATCTTAATAGATGCAGAAAAAGCATTTGACAAAATCCAGCATCCCTTTATGATTAAAACCCTTACAAAATTGGCATAGAAGGGACATATCTTAAGGTAATAAAAGCCATATATGACAAACCCACAGCCAACATTATACTGAGTGGGGAAAAGTTGAAAGCATTACCCCTGAAAACTGGAACAAAACAAGGATGCCCTCTTTCACCACTTCTATTCAACATAGTACTGGAAGTCCTAGCCAGCACAATCATACAAGAGAAAGAAATCAAGGGCATCCAATTGGTAAAAAGGAAATCAAACTGTCGCTGTTTCCTGACGATATGATCATATACCTAGAAAACTGTAAAGACTCATCCAAAAAGCCTCTAGAACTGATAAGTGAATTCAGTAAAGCTTCAGAATACAAAAATCAGTGTACACAAACCAGTAGTACTGCTATACAGCAACAGCAACCAAGCTGAGAATCAAATCAATAATTCAACCCATTTTACAACAGCTGCAAAACAAAACAAAACAAAAAAACTTAGGAATATACCTAACCATGGAGATGAAAGACCTCTACAAGGAAAACTACAAAACACTGCTGAAAGAAATCAGGGACTACATAAACAAACGGAAACACATCCCATGCTCCTGGATGGGTAGAATCAATATTGTGAAAATGACCATACTGTCAAAAGCAATCTACAAATTCAATGACATTCTCATCATTCTTCACATAACTAGAAAAAATGATCCTAAAATTCATATGGAACCAAAAAGAAACCATATAGCCAAAGCAAGACTAAGCAAAAAGAACACATCAGGAGCCATCACATTACCTGACTTTAAACTATACTATAAGGCTATAGTCACCAAAACAGCATGGTATTGGCATAAAAATAGGCACATAGACCAGCAGAACAGAATAGAGAACCTAGAAAGCCAAGTACTTACAGCCAACTGATCTTCAACACAGCAAACAAAAACATAAAGTGGGGAAAGGACATCCTATTCAACAAATGGTGCTGGGATAATTAGTAAGCTACATGTAAAACAATGAAACTGGATTCTCATCTCTTACCTTATAAAAAAATCAACTCAAGATGGATCAAAGACTTGAATATACAACCTGAAACCATAAAAATTCTGAAAGATAACATCAGAAAAACTCTTCTAGACATTGTCTTAGTCTGAGACATCGACTTAGTCTAAGACATCATGACTAAGAACCCAAATGCAAATGCAACAAAAACAAAGATAAATAGATGGGACTTAATTAAACTAAAAAGCTTCTGCACAGCAAAAGAAATAATCAGCAGAGTAAACAGACAACCCTGACTAGGCATGGTGGCTCATGCCTGTAATCCCAGCGCTTTGGGAGGCCGAGGCAGGAATTTGAGGCTGAGGTCAGGAATTTGAGACTGAGGTCAGGAATTTGAGAGCAGCCTGGCCAACATGGTGAAACCCCATCTCCATTAAAAATATAAAAATTAGCCAGGCGTGATGGCAGGCGCCTGTAGTCCCAGCTACTTGGGAGGGTGAGGCAGGAGAATCACTTGAATGCAGGAGGTGGAGGTTGCAGTGAGCTGAGATCGCACCACTGCACTCCAGTCTGGGTGGCAGAGCGAGACTCTGTCTCAACAAACAAACAAACAGATAGACAATCCACAGTGTGGGAGAAGATCTTTGCAAACTATGCATCTTACAAAGGACTAATGTCCAGAATCTACAAGGAACTCAAATTAGCAAGAAAAAAACAATCCCATTAAAAAGTGGGCTAAGGACATGAATAGACAGTTCTCAAAAGAAGATATATAAACGGCCAACAAACATGAAAAAATGCTCAACATCACTAATTATTGGTGAAATGCAAATCAAAACCACAATATGATACCAGCAACAATAACCATAATTAAAAAATAAAAAAAAAATAGATGTTGGCATGAATGTGGTGAAAAGGGAACACTTTTACACTGCTGGTGGGAATGTAAACTAGTACAACTACTATGGAAAACAGTATGGAGATTCCTTAAAGAACTAAAATTAGATCTACCATTTGATCCAGCAATCCCATTACTGGGTATCTACCCAGAGGAAAATAAGTCATTATATGAAAAAGACACTTGCACATGCTTGTTTATAGCAGCACAATTCGCAACTGCAAAAATATGGAACCAGCCCAAATGCCCATCAATCAATGACTGAATAAAAAGAGTCATGTATCTATACCATAGAATTCTACTCAGCCATAAAAGGAAATGAAATAATGGCATTTGCAGCAACCTGGATACAATTGAAGACCATTATTTTAAATTAAGTAGGTCAGGAAAGGAAAACCAAACATCGTATGTTCTCACTTAGAAATGGGAGCTAAGTTATAAGGATGCAAAGGCATAAGAATGATACAATGGACTTTAGGGACTTGGGGGGAAGGGTGGGAGGGGAGCGAGGGATAAAAGACTACACACTGGGTACAGTGTACACTGCTTAGGTGATGTGTGCGCCAAAACCTCAGAAATCACCACTAAAGAACTTACCATGTAACCAAACATTATCCGTTCTCCAATAACAGTTTTAGGTTTACTGAAAAATTGCCAAGATAGTAGAGTGAGTTCACATATATCCTGTAGCCAGTTTCCTCTATTATTAACATTAGCATTGTTGGGGCTCAGAACATAATGTCCAGAAATAGGGTAGTTTGAAAACTGAGAAGATAGCAGAAGCAGGAGGGTCTCTTTGACCTTCTCTTGTGCCTTTCTCCCCTAAAGCAAGCCATAAAAACTAGAATTGCCTTCACCCTTTTTCTCCTCTGAAGCAGACCATAAAAACTTGGAGGGTCACTCTCTGGCCTTTTCCCTCCTTTTCCCCCAGAAGGCTGTCATGTAACAGCTGTCCTGCCCTGTATCCCAGGGAAGAAATATCAAACAGGGATGCCAAGAAGAAACTGAACAAACGAGCCTAATTCCTCCCAGTTTGTTACCATTCCATCATACCTTTTGTCTTCCAATCATACTTCAGACTATCATAAAAATACACAGTTTTTCTGGGTCTTCTCGTTTCTGAAAGCTCTCATGTCACATAAAACTTATACTAAATAATTTTGTTATGCTTTTCTCTTGTTAATCTGTCTTTTATTATAGAGGTCTCAGCCATAAACCTTGCAATGGGTGAGGAAATCTGTTCTTCTCTACATCTTGGTATATTTGTTATAATTCAGGAACCAATATTGATACATTATTGTGAATAAAAGTCCATACTTTATTCAGATTTCTTCAGGTTTTACCTAATGTCTTTTTCTGTTTCAGAACCCCATCTAGGATATCAGATTATATTTAGTCATCATGTTTCTTTCTTTCTTTCTTTTTTTTTTTTTTTTTTTTGAGACAGAGTCTCACACTGTTGTCCAGGCTGGAGTGCAGTGTCACGATCTCAGCTCACTGCTGCAACCTCCACCTCCCGGGTTCAAGTGATTCTCCTGCCTCAGCCTCCCAAGTAGCTGGGGTTACAGGTGCCTGCCACCACACCCGGCTAATTTTTGTATTTTTAGTAGAGATAGGGTTTCACCATGTTGACCAGGCTGGTCTCGAACTCATGAGCTCAGGTGATCTGCGTACCTTGGCCTCCCAAAGTGCTGGGATTATAAGCATGTGCCACCGTGCCTGGCCTTAGTCATTATGTTTCTTTGGGCTACTCTTGGCTATGGCAATTTCTCAGACTTTTTTTGTTTTTAATGACCTTGATAGTTTTGAAGACTACTCATCAGATATTTTGTAGAATGTTCTTCAACTGGAATTTGTCTAATGTTTTTCTTATTATTAGACTGGGTTTATGGGTTAAGGGGACGAGAATGTTGGGACTCAGAAACCAATACTCCAAAATATGGCATTCTGACATGCTGAATTGAAGAAAAAGCCTCAAGGTCTCTCTGACTTTCCCGGCAATTCCCCTCAGCCTCCTGGCTCTCAATCTTATTTTTCTCTCTGTAAACATGGGATGATGTTCTCTGAAGTTCCCTCATCTACTTAAAGTCCAGACCCACCAAAGAAGAAAATAGTTATTTCTGGTACCTTCTCTGAGTTTTTATTAACTGAACTCAAATCACAGGAAGAAAGACTGAAGTCTGTCAACACACCTGGATGGACAGACTTTTGTCACAAACCATTGTTTTCTCAGCAGATCCAATAGACTTTGTCCCAGGCCATTGTATGTTCTTCGGTCCCATTGAATTCCCCTAAATACCATTTACTACTCTCCTAAAATCATCCACTCTTCCCCATCTCCCTTTCCCCTAAAAAGAAGGGCATATAACCATCTGTAGTTCATTGCATAGTTGGGAAACGCTCTGTGGTTCTTCCCTGCACACGTTAATAAATTTGCACACCATTTCCCCTATTAATCTTGCTCGGCACAGTGGTTTACTTCTGTAATCCCAGAATTTTGAGAACTGGTGGCTGGAGGATCATTGAGCTCAGCAGTTTGAGACCACTTTGGGTAAGATAGTGAGACCTCATCTCTACAAAATATATATATTTTAAAAATTAGCCAGGTATGGTGGTGTTGCCTGTGGTCCCCAGCTACTCAGGAGGCCGAGGTAGGAGCATGGCTTCAGCCTGGAAAGCTGAGGCTGCAGTAAGCCATGATGACACCACTGTACTCTAGCCTAGGTGACAGAGGGAAATCCTGTCTCAGGAAAAGAAAAAAAAATCTGCCCTTTGTCAGTTGATTTTTCAGTGAACCTTCAGAGGGTGAAGAGGAAGTTTTCCCTTCACTCCTACAAAAACTACAGCGGTGGAGTACCATTTTCATCACACATATCAAGGGTACATACTACCAGCATAACCTCTCACTGTTGATGTTTACCTTGATGACCTACCTGAGGTCATATTTACCAGGTTTCTTACATTTTATTACTTTTTTTTTCCGTCCAGAGGTCATATATATACATATATATACACACATATGTATATATGTATATGTACACACACATATATGTGTATATATGTATTATGCATGAATTCATAGGGAAGTGGTTCCAGCAACTCAGGCTCCTTCCCATTGGTTCTCTCACATTGTCTTCTCTGGGTGGAGCTGACTGGTGCTTCAGTTGAATCCAGGTAACTTTCTCTTTGGCTTCCTTCTTTTTCTGATCATTTTCCTTCATGCGTTTCAGGAAATTCTCTTAGCTTGTAGAGTGCTTAAAGTGCTTAATACCCACGTTAATTCTCTTGGCAGGAATCTTGCCCTTAACTTGTTTGTTTACAACAATGCCAACAGCATGCTGGGGAACATTGTAGGCTCTTCCAGTTTAGCCATGGTGACACTTGGGGGGCATTCCTATTTGAACAGTGCCCACTCCCTTGATGTCTACAATATCACCTTTCTTACAGATTTGTTCCCAGAACCAAGCCGGGTCCGGCTGTGTTTTCTCGAGGCCCGCCAATAATGAGAAGCAGACAAACTAGGAAAGAAGGGAATTTATTGCTGTAACCAGATACAGGGAGAAGGCCCGAGATAATTCCACCAGACCAATTCAAAGTGTTACAATTTTCTTAGTGCTTATGTAGGTTGAGGTTATGAGCCCAAGACCAGTCTAATATTCACCTAAGTCTATTGGTAGCTAATTTTGTTTCAATTAGAAGGTCGGAGGCAAAAAAATGCTTGCTAAGTCTGATTAAACTGTGGGGGCCCCAGGACCTTCAAGGCCTGTCTACTGTGATACTGGAGTGATTATTTCTATCTTATCTCCTTTACGGCTTGGCCTGGCGAGCTGCCTTAGACTCTCCAATGAATCTATTCAAACAGCTGCCTCTGTTACCTTGACTCGTCTCAGATTTCGTCGACTCCTGGCACAAGGAATGTATGACTGTCTCTATTATTTTGGTTTGCTCCAGGTTAGGGAGAAGCCCATGCAAGGCTCCTACTGACCATATGTTTCATTTCTAGCTTTGATGTCTGGGCACTGATTTCCCTAGGTTTAACTATTTGCTCAATGTTAAGGCAGTGCTATGGAAACCTGTCTGTCTAACTGGAGTGCTATGCAGGCCTGTCTGTGTGACTGTCATGCAGCCCCGTCTGTGCAATTGTCAGGGAGAGTTGGCCTGCCACAGATTCGCATATACATGGCCAAAGGAACAACTCCACGTTTTCTAAACGGCCTAGAGAATATCTACCCAGCGCCTCTCCTCTCTCCCTTTGTGTTCGTTATTTTGGCGAATTACTGGAAGACGGCGGTTCCAGCTGAAAGGCCATTTTAATACTTTCAAAATATGTGTATTTTTTTCATTTTTATACATTTGCAAAATAATGTCTCTAAAAAATAATAACTGACCTTTAGTACTCCTAACCTTATTGTTTTCCTTTCCCAAAGTTTCCTTCAGTAGAAATATAAACAAGTTCACCCAAATTAGTCACTGAAGCTCTCCAACTTCCTTTTCTTTTTCATTATGAAGGTCAGATCTGTGCCAATCATTGTGTGTGTGACAGTGACCACAGCATACTCTATGCCCTCAAGAAACTCATCCTCTAGGAGGAGGTGGCCAAAGCAGTAAGGGGCGCAGACACAATGTGACATGTGCTATAACAGAGGAAGTTCAGCAGGTTATGTCTCATTGGTGTCAGGGAAGGCTTCTTGGAGGAAAGCACTTCTTCTTCTTTTTTTATTATTATACTTTATGTTCTAGGGTACATGTGCACAATGCGCAGGTTTGTTACATATGTATACATGTGCCATGTTGGTGTGCTGCACCCATTAACTCATCATTTACATTAGGTATATCTCCTAATGCTATCCCTTCCCCCTCCCCCCACCCCACATCAGGCCCTGGTGTGTAATGTTCCCCACCCTGTGTGCAAGTGTTCTCATTGTTCAATTCCCACCTATGAGTGAGAACATGCAGTGTTTGGTTTTCTGTCCTTGCGATAGTTTGCTCAGAATGATGGTTTCCAGCTTCATCCATGTCCCTACAAAGAACATGAACTCATCCTTTTTTATGGCTGCATAGTATTCCATGGTGCATATGTGCGACATTTTCTTAATCCAGTCTATCATTGATGGACATTTGGGTTGGTTCCAAGTCTTTGCTATTGTGAATAGTGCCGCAATAAACATACATGTGCATGTGTCTTTATAGCAGCATGATTTATAGTCCTTTGAGTATATGCCCAGTAATGGGATTGTTGGGTCAAATGGTATTTCTAGTTCTAGATCCCTGAGGAATCGCCACACTGTCTTCCACAATGGTTGAACTAGTTTACAGTCCCACCAACAGTGTAAAAGCGTTCCTATTCCTCCACATCCTCTCCAGCACCTGTTATTTCCTGACTTTTTAATGATTGCCATTCCAACTGGTGTGAGATGGTTTCTCACTGTGGTTTTGATTTGCATTTATCTGATGGCCAGTGACGATGAGCATTTTTTCATGTGTCTTTTGGCCGCATAAATTTCTTCTTTTGAGAAGTGTCTGTTCATATCCTTCGCCCACTTTTTGATGGGGTTGTTTGATTTTTTCTTGTAAATTTCTTTAAGTTCTTTGTAGATTCTGGATATTAGCCCTTTGTCAGATGAGTAGATTGCAAAAATTTTCTCCCATTTTGTAGGTTGCCTGTTCACTCTGATGGTATTTTCTTTTGCTGTGCAGAAGCTCTTTAGTTTAATTAGATCCCATTTGTCTATTTTGGCTTTTGTTGCCATTGCTTTTGGTGTTTTAGTCATGAAGTCCTTGCCCATGCCTATGTCCTGAATGGTATTGCCTAGGTTTTCTTCTAGGGTTTTATGGTTTTAGGTCTAACATTTAAGTCTTTAATCCATCTTGAATTAATTTTTGTATAAAGTGTAAGGAAGGGATCCAGTTTCAGCTTTCTACTTATGGCTAGCCAGTTTTCCTAGCACCATTTGTTAAATAGGGAATCCTTCGCCCATGTCTTGTTTTCATCAGGTTTGTCAAAGATCAGATGGTTGTAGATGTGTGGTTTTATTTCTGAGGGCTCTTTTCTGTTCCATTGGTCTATATCTCTGTTTTGGTACCAGTACCATGCTGCTTTGGTTACTGTAGCTTTGTAGTATACTTTGAAGTCAGATAGCCTGATGCCTCCAGCTTTGTTCCTTTTGCTTAGGATTGTCTTGGCAATTCAGGCTCTTTTTTGGTTCCATATGAACTTTAAAGTAGTTTTTTCCAATTCTGTGAAGAAAGTCATTGGTAGCTTGATGGGGATGGCATTGAATCTATAAATTACTCCCATTCACAATTGCTTCAAAGAGAATAAAATACCTAGGAATCCAACTTATGAGGGATGTGATGGACCTCTTCAAGGAGAACTACAAACCACTGTTCGATGAAATAAAAGAGAACACAAACAAATGGAAGGAGATTCCATGCTCGTGGATAAAAAGAATCAATATTGTGAAAATGGCCATACTGCCCGAGGAAAGCATTTCTAAGGAGGGACCTGAATGAGAAGGAGTTAGTCAGATAAAGCTGGAAAGAAAGAGTTCCAGGCAGAGAAAGTGGCTTCTACAAAAACTATTGACAAAAACCATTGTATGTACAGTGTTGGGTATTTAGGCAGTTTATGAGGATTAAAGCCCAAGGCAAACTAATCAGGGTGAACAAAGAAAGGTGGCTCAGAGCAGTCTGAGCTTTGTGAGGTCTGCGAAATTAATGAGGCTCACAGAGATATGAGTGTGGGAGTGTGGTTAGGCCCCTCAGTCGTGCCTGTGGGCAATTTTTTTTTTTTTTTTTGAGACAGGGTCTTGCGTTGTTGTCCAGGCTGGAGCACAGTGGTCTAACCAAGGCTCACTGCAGCCTTGACCTCCCAGGCATGAGCTATCTTCCGACCTCACCCTTCCAAGTACTTGGGACCCCAGTTGTGTGCCACCATGCCTAGCTAATTTTTGTGTGTGTTTTGTTTTTTTTTTTGGTAGAGACAGGGTCCCACTGTGTTGCCCAGGCTGGTCTCGAACTCTTGGGCTCAAGCAAACTTCCTGTCTCAGCCTCCCAGTGAATTAAGATTACAGGTGTGAGCCACAATGCCTGGCCTATCCACACATTTCTATATGAATTTACTTTTAGGAGAGTGGGGGAATGATGAAAATTGTGTGTTATATAAGGTTTTGCCTAATGTGTGAGAAACACTGGTGTAGACCATGCTGAAGACAATCTGGAGCCCCTGAAAGCTTTCAGGCAGGGGAGTGACATGATCAGACCTGCATTTTGGGAAGATCATTCTGGCTGTAATGTGGAGAACAGACTGCAAGGAGCCAACCAAGGTAGCATGAAGACCAGCCGGATGGCTGTTGCCATAATCCAGGTGAGAAATGATGGTGGTCTGAAGTAAGGTGTTAGTAACAGAAATAAAGAAAGAACATAATGATTTTTTCTCCCTAGATTCTGAAAAGAGTTGGCTTCACTTTTCCCAGAAATACATGCTGTCAAGACCAAATGAATCATAATATTTCAGACATCCTGAAAGATAATGGGGAAATACAGTTATGTGTCACATAATGACATTTTGATCAATGATAGACCAAATATAATAGTGGTTCCATAAGACTGTAATAGCAGTGTTACAGCTCTTTTAGAAGCAGGCTTTTTGGTTTTTGCCAGAAAGCCCAAAATAAAAGAAAAGACTCCCAGCCCTTTGTGAGGCCAAGGTGGGTGGATCACTTGAGGTCAGGAGTTTGAGACCAGCCTGGCCAACATGGTGAAACCCTGTCTCTACTAAAAATACAAAAATTAGCCAGGCATGGTGGTGGGCACTTGTAATCCCAGCTACTCGGGAGGCTGAGGCAGGAGAATTGCTTGAACTCAGGAGGCGGAGGTTGCGGTGAGCCGGGATCATGCCACTGCACTGCAGCTTGGGCAGCAGAGTGAGACTCCAACCTCTACCCCCCAAAATAAGACTATAATACTGTATTTGTATTGTACCTTTTCTGTGTTTAGATACATCTAGATACACGAATACTTACCATTGTGTTACAGTTGCGTACAGTATTCAGTACAGTAACATGCTGTACAGGTTTGTAACCTAGGAGTGATAGTCTATCCCCTATCACCTGGATGTGTAGTAGGCTATACCATCTAGGTTTGCGTAAGTGCAGTCTAAGATGTTTGCACTACGATGAAATTGCTTAACAATGCATTTCTCAGAACATATTCTCAATGTTAAGTGACACATGACAGTATATTTACAACAGGGATATTTCCCATATTTCTTAAATCATATCAATAGTGTAATGGTTAAAAGATTAGACTCATCTGGGCACGGTGGCTCACGCCTGTAATCCCAGCACTTTGGGAGGCCGAGGCGGGTGGATCACGAGGTCAGGCATTCAAGACCAGCCTGGCCAACATAGTAAAACCCCGTCTCTACTAAAAATACAAAAAATTAGCTGGGCGTCGTGGCAGGCGACTATAATCCTAGCTACTCAGGAGGCTGAGGCAGGAGAATCGCTTGAACCTGGGAGGCGGAGGTTGCAGTGAGCTGAGATCATGCCACTGCACTCCAGCCCAGGCGACAGTGCGAGACTACATCTCAAAAAAAAAAAAAAAAAAAAAAAGCCTAGACTCTGGTTAAGAGGTTTAAGAGGTTTGAGTCCTCACACACTGACATTTAAGAGCCCCAGCCTTGGGCAAAATCACTTAACTTCTCTAGGCCCCAGTTTCTTTTTCGGCAAAAATGGGGATTTCAGCTGTTGCTACCATGTTGTGATTTCATGAGCAAAGGTATTCACTTCTCCTACTTTTTAGACCGGCCCTGACTCTAACTAGAGACAATTTCTTTTTCTTTTTCTTTTTTTTTTTTTTTTTTGAGACAGAGTCTCGCTCTGTCGCCCAGGCTGGAGGGCAGTGGTGCGATCTCGGCGCACTGCAAGCTCCGCCTCCCGGGTTCACGCCATTCTCCTGTCTCAGCCTTCCGAGTAGCTGGGAGTACAGGCGCCCGCCGTCATCCCTGGCTAATTTTTTGTGTTTTTAGTAGAGACGTGGTTTCACTGTGTTAGCCAGGATGGTCTCGATCTCCTAACCTTGTGATCCACCCGCCTCGGCCTCCCAAAGTGCTGGAATTACAGGTGCAAGCCACCGCTCCCGGCCTAGAGACAATTTCAAAAGCAAATTGTTCAGTTATCTTTTGAGTAGTGGTATTAAATTTATACTCAACCATCTACATGATCACAGTTTGACCCATTTGTGACAAATTTCAGACAATTCTAGGATTAGAATGGCTACCTATAATTTTCGGTTATAGAAGAGAGTGAAACTTACCTGTTGGCACCAGGCTTTTACCCAATGGTAGATGTTTCCTTCTTATAATTTGTTAACATTTTGGGTGATCATGGAGAAGTACCTTCTAAGGACTTGAGAATGAGGAAATAAGATTGCCCTTTGAGAATAAACTGTAGGATCAGAGCAGAAAAATATTAAATTTCCTGAAGGAGACAGGCTGAGTCTTAGGCCAGCTAAAATGTCAACAATATAATTAAATGTATATTAATATATCTAAAGATATCAGTCAAAAGACGATTGATTGGCCTAGGTAAACATATAGACAAAACTGGCAGTACCTCTCCAAGCTTAGAGTAGGGGAAAGAAAGTCTTAACCTTTAGCATACATATTTCTTTTTTTGTTTGTTTGTTTGTTTGAGGCAGGGTCTTGCTCTGTCACCCAGACTGGAGTGCGGTGGCATGATCTTGGCTCACTGTAGCCTCTGCCTGCCGGGTTCAAGCGATTCTCCTGCCTCAGCTCCACACGTAGCTGGGATTACAGCAGTATGCCACCACACCTGGCTAATTTTTGTATTTTTAGTAGAGACGGGGTTTCACCATGTTGGCAGGCTGGTGTGGAACTCGACCTCAGGTGATTTCTGCCCACCTTGGCCTACCAAAGTGTTGGGATTACAGGCGTGAGCCACCGCACCCAGCCCAAAGTCCCTTTTGCCATGTAAAGTAACACTCACAGTTTCTGTGGGCATCTTTGGGGGCCTTATTCAGTGTGCCACAGTGTCTTTTAGCCCACTTCCATATATTTGATTATCTATCTTCATTCTTACTACTGAGCAGGATTCAGATTATGATTTGACTTCTCATGTAGGCTGTCTGCAGGGAGAAAATGCACAGAGCATTCACACCTTGAAGTTTCTGTCCCCAAGATAGAGATTTCTCATGGTAAGTTAGTAAAGTGTCTTCTGATGGTGAATTGGCTTCTCTTTGCCTTGACTTCAAGGAGAAAATGCACAAATTAGGCAAGCAAGAAAATTCTGGTCCATGTGAGAGTTTAATTTCTCATTGTAAATGAATAAAGTGGCATTTGAATGTCTAGGATCTCTCAGGGCCTACACCCAGGACATTGGCGGGACTGTTTCTGGACCATATCCTGAAAACTGGACACCCAACTGTGGTGCTCTGTTACCTCCTGCGTGGCCCCTGCGGTCTTCCCTGGATGATGCCTTGACTGCTTCATGGTCAGGTCCCTCTCCTCTGATTTCTAGATCACTCATTTAAGAGGACTTAGAGTTGTGTGAAGTAATGTTGTCCCTAATTAATATGTATATAATTTTACATTGAGTTTCTGGCCAAAGGACCTAACTCCTATTTTTTAATGTAGAGAAAAACTCCTTTAGAAAATATTTCAATGGACGTTAGAATTTTGTTTTGTTTTTTAAGACAGAATCTCGCTCTGTCACCCAGGTTGGAGTGCAGTGGTGCAATCTTGGCTCACTAGAACCTCTGCCTCCCAGGCTCAAGTGATCCTCTGGCCTCGGCCTCCCAAATACCTGGGATTACAGGCGCCCACCACCATGCCTGTCTAATTTTTTTGTATTTTTGGTAGAGACGGAGTTTCACCATGTTCCCTGGGCTGGTCTCAAACTCCTGTTCTCAAGTGATCCACCTGTCTCAGCTTCCCAAATTGCTGGGATTACAGGCATAAGCCACCATACCAAGCTTGTTTTGTTTTTTTGAGACAGAGTCTTGCTCTGTCACCCAGGCTGAGGTGCAGTGGCACAATCACGGCCCACTGCAGCCTCAACCTCCTAGGCTCGAGCAATCCAACCACCTCTGCCTCCTGAGTAGTTAGGACCACAGTGAACCCCTATGCCTAGTTAACTTTTAAATTTTTTGTAGAGATGAGATCTCACAATGTTACCCAGGCTAATCTTGAACTCTTGGCCTCAAGTGATCCTCCCCCCTCACCCTCCCAAAGTGCTGGGATTACAGGGGTGAGCCATAATGCCCGGCCTAAAACATGCTTTTAATTAACTTTAAAAAAGTGAATAAAATATATAGTAAAATCGAAATCAGAGTGCTTTTGAAACAAATGAAATGTAAGACTTTTAATAAGCTAGGTGGTTATCAATGGTCATATCAGAAGATTGAAAATATCAACATTATAAATATCAATAAACTATGAGAAACTTGGAAATTCTTTCAGGAATGTGAAGGTGACTTAGAGCTAGCAGGTGCTTTTCACTGTGTGCATCATGCAGATTGGAATAAATATTTCCCCAGGGTGTAAAAATCTCCGAAGCTTTCTCTCCTACACAGTGAAATTACTACAATTTAATATTCAGTGTTACCAACACCTTCCCTTATATAATAAGGAAATTAAAGCATGAAGTAGGAAAAACAAGCTGGATATATTGAGACAACTCTGGATCAACACTTCCTGGAAGGTGGGAGGACAGATTTATTCTAACCTCTGAGCGTCCTGATTCAAACATTTGTTCGGTTGTCCTTGGCCTAGGATGCCCTTATTTTTGGCCTGGTAGACACCTCCTCATTCTCCAAGATTCACATTAAGTTCAGCTTCTCTGTGAAGGCTTCTTTCACCCTAAGGGTAAGTTGACCCTTTTCCCGTCTTCTTTGCTAACACTGCATACTCTTTGTTTTTTTTGCAAATATATCTTACTTTCCACTATATGTGAGCTTCTTGAGGGCAGGGATTTAAATATATATATGTATGTATTTTATTTACTTAACATAGTACTTACTAAGTGCGTGGTGCTATTCTAAGCACTACATAAGTTATTGATCATTTAATCCTTGTAATAGTCCCATGAGGCTTATTATTATCTCCATTTTGTAGATGAGGAACCTGAAGTGCAGAGTGTTCAGTAACTTTATTCCTCTCTGTTTCACCAGAACCTAAAGGTGATTCTTTGCATACAGTAGGCATTCATTCATTCAATAAATCTTTATTGAATACTATATATATATATATATATATATATATATATATATATATACTCTTCTAAGTGCTAAGATACAGCAATGAAAAAAGATGAAAAAACCCCCACCTTTTTGGAGCTCACATTTTGGTTGTCAGAATAGGTAAAAAAAAAAAAAAAAAGATAAATAAAATAAACATTTGTTCCATAGGTGGCAATAAATTCTGCAGGAAAAAAAAGTAAAGCCAGTAAGTGGGAAAAGGAGCTCTTGAAATTGCAATTTTAGATGGGTTAACAGGGAAGGGCTCACTGAGAAGGAGATATTTGAGGGAAGGAGTTGAGTGAGTGAATGAGTGAGTCATATCTGGGGGAAGAACATCCCAGGAACAGCTAGTACAAAGGTCCTGAGGTGTCTGGAATGTTCAAGGAACAGCAAAGGGTGGGGAGCGTGCTCCTATAATAGAACAGGGAAGTGGGAAAGAAGTAGAGGGTGAGGTTGGGAGAGAATGGGCAGTGAGCAGAGCATGTAGGGCTTTAAAATAATTTTTCAAGTTGAACTTTTACTAAAAATATCTTTGGAAGTTTTTTTTTTTTTTTTTTCCCCAGCCTACATCGTGCTTTAATTTTTTTTTTCTTTTCTTCTCTTTTTTTCTTTTTCCTTTTTTTTGGCGGGGGGGGACAGGGTCCCACTCTGTGGCCCAGGCTGGAGGGCAGTGGTGTGATCTTGGCTCAAGCAACCTCTGCCTCCCAGGCTCAAGCGATCCTCCCGCCTCAGCCTCCCTAGTAGCTGGGACTACAGGTGTGCACTATCATGCCTGGCTAATTTTTGTATTTTTTCTAGAGATGGGGTTTCATGATGCTGCCCAAGCTGATCTCGAACTCCTGAGCTCAAGCAATCCACTCACCTTGGCCTCCCTAGTAGCTGGGACTACACGTGTGCACTATCATACCTGGCTAATTTTTGTATTTTTGGTAGAGATGGGGTTTCATCATGTTGCCCAAGCTGGTCTCGAACTCCTCGATCCACCCACCTCAGCCTCCCAAAGCTCTGGGATTACAGGCATGAGCCAGCACATGCAGCCCTTTGGAGGGCTTGGAGGGTTTTTGAGCAGAAGAGTGATCTTCTTGAATTTATGTTTTTATCGGTGTCACTCAGGCTTCTGTGTTTTATATTTGTTTTCTTTTGTGTGTGTGTGTGTGTGTGTGTGTGTGTGTGTGTGTGTGTGTGTGTGTGTTTTGAGACAGGGTCTTGCTCTGTTGCCCAGGCTGGAGTGTGGTGGTACAATCATAGCTCACTGCAGCCCCAAACTCCTGGGCTTAAGAGATCTTTGTGCCTTGGCCTCCCAAAGTTCTGGGATTACAGTCATGAGCCACTGTGCCTGGCCCAGGCTTCTGTGTTGAGAAGAATCTCAACATGTCAAAGATGGAAGCTGGGAGACTAGTTTGGAGGTTCCCACAGTAATTTAGGTAAAAGACAGCAGTGGTAGTAGTGGAAGTGGTGAGAATTGGTCAGATTCTGGACATATGCTGAAGGTTAATCAGACAGATCTGCTGATAGGTCAGATGTGAGGTGTGAGAGGAAAAGAAGCATCCAGTATGACTTCAAGGCTTTGAACTCTGCAACTCGGGAAAAGAAGAAAAGGAACAGGATTTGGTGGTAGGGCAGTGACAAGCAGCAATCAGGAGTTCAGTTTAGGACTTGTTAAACTTGAGATGTCTTTTATTCAAGTGATAATATTAAGGAGGCAGCTGGATATGTGAATCTGGGGTATAGGGGAGACATGCAGACCGGACACTGTTAGCACATCCTAGATGATAGTTCAAGTCATGAGACTAGAGGAGATTGCCAAATGAGTCAGTGAAGATGGAAAGCAGAAGAGGTACAAGGGCTGAATCTTGGGATGCTCCAAGTTTTGGAGGTCAGAGAGATGAACAGGACCTAACATAGAAGACTGATAATGAGCAGCCAGAGAAATAGGGGAAAGATTAGGTAAGTGCCCTTCTAAAAACTATATGGAAAGTGGTTCAGGAGGAAAGAGTAATCACATTCTACTAACTGATCAAGTAAGATGAAAATTAAGGCTTGGCTGTTGGATATAGCAACAGGAAAGTGGAGGAGATCTTGATGAGAGTGATTTAACTGAAGTGGATTGGATAAATAACTGACTATATTAGGTTTTAGAGAGGTACTGGACATGGGGAATATAGACAACCCCTAGGAAAGAAAGAAATGGAGGTAGTAGCTGAAAGAGGAAGTGAGGTCAACAGAGGGTTTTTCAAAAATGGGAGAAATAGTGTTCATAGATAGGTGGAAAAGATCCAGGGGAAAGGGATGAGCTGATGCAGGTGATTGAGAGGAGAATTGCTGGAGTGATGTCCTTGAGTAGGTGGTGTCTGGTTCACAAGGAAAGCGGTGGCCTTTTCTTTTCTTTTTTTCTTTTCTTTTCCTCTCTCTCTCTTTCTTTCTTTCTTTCTTTTTTTTTGTATTTTTTGTAGAGACAGGGTTTCACCATGTTGCCCAGGCTGGTGTTGAACTCCTGGCATCATGCAATCTGCCTGCCTCAGCCTCCTAAAGTGCTGGGATTACAGGCATGAGCCATCACGCCCGGCCAGCGGTGGCCTTTTCTAGGGGCACAGAGTGTTCCTCTACAGTCACAGGAAGGAAGCCCAGAATATGGGCATGATGCAGCGGTGGGTGTTTGTGGGAGCTCTCTTCTGATTCATTCTATTTTCTCAGTGAAATAGGAAGCAAGGGCATCAGAATGATGAGGGGAGGTGAGTAAGTATTTGAGGTTTGAGGACAGAGAAGGTGTGAAATAGTCACCCAGGAGAGTGGGAGAATAAAAGGGCCAGGGAAATTCAGTGTGGTTGTTAGCAGCATTAAGGGCTTACTCAAAACTTATGATCATGAATTTAAAGTGAGATCTCTTAGTATGGTTTGGTTCTTCACTAGTTGCATTTGGCTGCACAGGTGTACGACTGGACTATGGGGAATGTTTTCTTCAACAAAGGTTATTGTTTATTCAAGTGAGTATCTCAGTGTCAGAGGCGGCAAGGGAGCTGAGGGTACATGCAACATAATATAAGTGAGTTTAAGCTGGGTGAGGTATCAAATGAACGCATACATGAAAGAATAAATTGTTTCCCCACTTAGAATGCATTTTTTTCTTTTTAGAGTGGGGTCTTGCTCTGTTGCCCACGTTGGAGTACACTGGCACGATCACAGCTCACTGCAGCCTCAACCTCCTGGGCTCAAGCAATCCTCCCGCCTCAGCCTCCCAAGTTGCTGGGACCACAGGCATGAGACACCTCACACAGTTCTGGAATTCATTTTCTGTCTCCGGTCCATTGCTTCAAACTCACTTTATTCTTTCTTTTTTTTTTTTTTTGAGATGGAGTTTCACTCTTCTTGCCCAGGCTGGAGTGCAGTGGCACGATCTTGGCTCACCACAACCTCCGCCCCCGAGTGCAAGCAATTCTCCTGCCTCAGCCTCCCAAGTAGCTGGGATTACAGGCATGCACCACCACACCCTGCTAATTTTGTATTTTTAGTAGACACAGGGTTTCTCCATGTTGGTCAGGCTGGTCTCGAACTCTCAACCTCAGGTGATCCCCCTGCCTTGGCCTCCCAAAGTGCTGGGATTACAGGCGTGAGCCACCACGCCCAGCCCAAACTCACTTTATTCTTAATAGTCCATATAAGAACTGTACCCCCAGAAAACAAGCTTGGTGTTAAGCTATAAACGTTGCTCTTGGCTCAGAATAATTTAAGAGGAGCAAATCTTATATCATAGGTCATAGAGTACAGGGGTTATTCTGTTTAAGTTTTTCCTTAGATTGTTTAGAATTCTTCTTCCATTCAAATTTTAGCTTATTCTGGGAGCAAAACACACTGACCCAGGGTAGATGCTGGAGAGTGACTCACAGAAGTTTCCACAAACATACAACTTTTTTTTATTTTTCTTTTTGGCCAGGACTCAATATTTTTATTAGTGTCTGGTAAATGATATTTGAGTAGATCCTAATTAGGGGTGTGTGTCAAGGGGCACGATGGTGAGGGGACCCTTATTCCCTTTGGGTCCCTGTTTGGCTTCAAATTTGTATTCAGCAGGCCGAAAGAGAGGCAAATGTTACCATCTGTCCTTGGCCAGGGAAAACATATTTACAATGCAGACTCTCGTTTCACGAATCCAAGTTGGAGATCAGAGAGAGAACCAAGAAGCAACGTGGAAGACCAACCAATCTTTCTTAGGAACCTAAACACATCAGCACACCCACCATTTCCACCTCCCTATAATTTAAATATAGCACAAAATAAATGCTCTGTCTACCTTGCTCTACATAGCCATCAGTCCATGCGTAGCATGGCCACTCCCTGACCAAAGCCTTGTTACTGTATGTGGCCAGGGACCTTGGTTAATATGGGGTGTGTGTGGGGTGTGTGTGTGTGTGTGTGTGTGTGTCTGCTATTTTAAAACTAGTGGCCTAAAAATAGTTGTGTACACATAGAAAATGCATGCTGGTTGAGTGGTTGAGTTCAGGATTGCCAAACCCCAGAACTCTTAGCCTGGGAGGATGGCAAGTATAATATATCTTATTCTATTACCTGAATATCTTAACCAAGGGACAATCAAAAGGAATCCAATATACAGGCACTCCTACTCAGACCAGTGGTTCTCAACAGGGGCAGGACCACTTTTTGGATATGGTTTGGGAATTACGGATGCATTTTTGGTTATCACAGTGATTGAAGGCATGCTCAGTGGCATTTGGTGGCTGGGGCCAAGACTGACAGATGTGTGGAACAGTTCCATAGAACAAAGAAACTGTTCTGCCTGACTTTCAAATGCCCTGCAGGGCATTGATATGAATGAAAAATCTATCTATAATTATTTCAACTTAGACCCTAACTCCAGTTTTATTTCTTCTTTATTTTACACTTATGACATTGTGCTAATTAAAAAATTTTTTCCTGTGTGGAATTAGATTATATGATATATGAATTTCATTTAAAATCATGAAGGCGATGTTTTATTATATAAAGGGGATAATGGGTCTGATATGATGGAGAACTACCATGCTGGTTACTTATATGTATCCAGACATCCTTCCATGGCAAATTTACACATTATCTATAACTGCATCTAACCTTATTCATAAAAGGCAGCGATACATCAACCCCTGCAGTCCACATTTAAATCCTAAAGTGTGAAGAGTCTCGGCTGGGGGCTAGCTGTGATTCCTCCTCCTTATCCCAATTAGGAGGAAACTAAAAACAGGAACTACCCACATTTTTTAGGGAAAAGGGAATCACAGTAAAAATGTATGTGAGGATGAGAAATAAGAAGCTCCAGCTGGTGAGAAGAGCAAGGGAAAGGAGAGTTCGGGGCTGGGCATCAAATTAAGTGGAAAGCCCCATCAAGGACAGAGACGAGATCTCTCTTCTAGATCTCCATCTCCAAACACTCCCCTGCAACAGATGTACACACAGAGCCCATTGTTTTCTCTAGAAATGTAAACTGCACGTCACAGTTACTCCATACACACCACAAACAGACTCCCTTTGTTCTCAGGATATGTGTTGACACAAGAATATGTCATCCTCTCAGCTCCAGACTTTCCACTGAATAAAGGTGCCAAGGGAAAGTTTTGGAAAGCTTTTCAAAAGAAGATCTACGGCTGAGTGCGGTGGCTCATGCCTGTAATCCCAGCACTTTGGGAGGCTGAGGCGGGTAGATCACTTGGGACGAGGAGTTCAAGACTAGCCTGGGCAATATGGCGAACCCCCGTGTCTACTAAAAATACCAAAAGAAAAAAAAAAAAAGCCAAGTGTGGTGGCACAGTGCCAGGCTGAGGTGGGAGGATCACCTGAGCCCGGGAGGTGGAGGTTGCAGTGAGCTGAGATTACACCACTGCACTCCAGTCTGGGCAACAGAGTAAGACGCTGTCCCCCACTCCTGCCCGCCCCTCTCAAAAAAAAAAAGATCCTGGGAGGCAAACGGTTTATTAATCAGGACCCTACAATTACAAGGATATGAGGCCTTTTCCCATAATCAGGGTGAAGCAGCTACAAATAATCACAGCAGGAGGGAGTAATGCATGACACCACCATTTTTTTTTCTGCAATGACTTCCTGTCACATCTGCTGCCATGTTTTATGCTAGAAACTGCAGTGGAAAGTGGCTGAAGGTTTGTTGTTGTGAAACCATCCCTATAAACTTTACAAAAATTAATCAGAAAAGAAGGGAGGGACAGAAATAAAAATAAACCAAGTTTGCAGCATATTCAGCATTTATCATGAGGTCAGCTCACTCTTTGACCTGCTTCCTCATCGTCATTTAGTGCCTGTTGTATTAGAATTTCATAGATCCTGTTACAAGATTATAGTGTCCCTAAAGTGCTTTATAGATAACAACTTGAACATTATAAAATGTTAAGTTTTCCATTTGAGATATTCCTTCAGGTCCTGCATACCAATGAAACTACTGACATCAGCTGGTCTGAACGACCCCAAAAGGAGCTGACTCACCAAAGAATGCAGTTTCCACATCCTAATGATTTCATCCCCCTTATTCCAACTGATCAATGACCCCAGTTTTCCAGGTCCTCGCCCTCCACGATCCCCTTAAAAACCCCAGCCTACAATTCCTTGGGGAGATGGATTTGAGGGTCTCCTCCCATCTTCTTACTCAGCACCCTGCAACCATTAAATTCTTTCTCTGCTGCAAACCCTCCTGTCTCAGTGTATTGGCGTGTTACTATGCAGTGGGGATACGAAACTGTTGGTCTTATAACAGTGTTTTGTTTTTAAGAGAGGAGCAGGCTAATTAAAAGAGAGGTTTTAGGGACCAACCAAAGAGAAGGCTTGACATTGAAAACTCATAAAATTGTGGAACACTGGCTGGGCATGTTGGCTCACACCTGTAATCCCAGCACTTTGGGAGGCCGAGGCGGGCAGATCATGAGGTAAGGAGATCGAGACCATCCTGGCTAAGACGGTGAAACCCTGTCTCTACTAAAAACACAAAAAATTAGCTGGGTGTGGTGGCAGTCGCCTGTAGTCCCAGCTACTCGGGAGGCTGAGGCAGGAGAATGGCGGGAACCTGGGAGGTGGAGCTTGCAGTGAGCCAAAATCACGCCACTGCACTCCAGCCTGGGTGACAGAGTGAGACTCTGTCCCAGAAAAAAAAATTGTGGAACACTTTCTGCTGCTCAGTATGATGTGAAATCTCAACAAGCAAAAGGATTGGCTAGGCTGGGAGCAGTGGCTCAGGCCTGTAATCCCAGCACTTTGGGAGGCCAAGGTGGGTAGATTGCTTCAGCTCAGGAGCTCTAGAACAGCCTGGGCAACATGGCAAAACCCAGTCTCTAAAAAAATACAAAAATTAGTTGGGCGTGGTGGCACATGCCTATAGTCCCAGCTACTTGGGAGGCTGAGGTAGGAGGATTGCTTGAGCCCAGCAGGCAGAGGTTGCAGTGAGCAGTGATCATGCCACTGCACTCTAGCTTGGGTGACAAAGCCAGACCCTGTCAAAAAAAAAAAAAAAAAAAAAAAAAGGTCCAGGCGCAGTGGCTTACACCTGTAATCCCAGCAATTTGGGGGGAGGCTGAGGCGGGTGCATTACTTGAGGTCAGGAGTTCGAGACCAGCCTGGCCAACATGGTGAAACCCTGTCCCTACTGAAAATACAAAAATTAGCTGGGTGTGATGGAACACACTTGTAATCCCAGCTACTCAGGAGGCTGAGGCAGAAGAATTACTTGAACCTGGGAAGCGGAGGTTGCAGTGAACCTGCAGTGAACTGCAGTGCCATCGCACTCCAGCCTGGTGACAGAGCAAGACTGTCTAAAAAAAAAAAAAAAAAAAAGGTTGCTTGAGAAATACATGTTGTTTGTCTCCAGGCTGAATCTGTATCTCTCATGGATCAACATAAGACCTCTTTCAGTGGAGATACGGCCTCGACAAAATATTTGTTGAATTAGGTTGAGGCATGGGGATAAGGCCACAATGGAGGAAAGTGATATGAACAAAAGCAGGGCCAGCTTCAGGGGTGTATGACCTGTCCAATCACACAGGGCCCTGTGCTTAGAAGGGCTTGCACCCGTTGGTTCAATGCCTCACTATTACCATCTTGAAATTATTAATAATTTTTGAATAAGGGGGCAACACACTTTCATTTTGCAATGGACCCTTCAAATTATATAGCCAATCCTAATCAAAAGAGTGAACATCTGAGTCTGAGAGAGCTGGGTTCAAATCCAAGTTCTACCATTACCTGGCTGTATAATCTTGGGCAACTTATTTAACCTCTTTTCATCAGTAAAATAGGGACCATGATAGTGTCTACCTCATAAGGCTGTTGTGAAGACTAAAATAAACTATATTGCAGTTTTCAGTAGATATTATTCGTGTTATCATCAGTGACAAAGATTTAGATGACATTGCAAAGGCACCAAGGCACTAAGGCACCAAGCAAGGCTGGATAACTGTTTTCTAAACCCATTTTTGGGACAGATTTCTGCTCTGGATGTATATAATTGACGTCACCATCTTGTGGCAAGACAGGCCAAGATAATTTTCCTAATTGCAGGCTTCACTGACACATTTTGTGCCAGAACCGCAGGAGAGTAGGTGTTATTTCAAATCTGTGAATCATCACCACACACTCATGCATGGCATATTTCTTATAAATTTAAAAGAGTTGAACTCTAACCAAGATAATGGAGACATTATTTTAGAATGTAGAAATATGCCCATATAAAGGCAACTTGCTATTGAAAATACTTCTGCTGCGTGGCCCTGTCGAGTCATTTTATTTGCCATACAGTTATTGAATGCAATATTCCCAACCAAAGAAGGTGCAAATCAAAAAATATCACCAGACCCATTTTACTAGGACTACATACTAATTACCACCTTGCCATGAATAAATTGATTGTATTGTATTAGAATATGGTTTGGGCTAAGTTAGGAATGAAATGTGGAGGTGAGGCCAAATGGAAGCATATTTTTCCTTTTTGACTGAATACCCCCCATTAGTTCCTTGCTTATTACTATAATTAAAAGTAGTCTTTGTCAGTACTTGTTCTTTCAAAATTATTTCTGAAGTTGAGAACAAATTTTTAAAGTGTGAGATGGATTTTTTAAAAAGGTTGTAATACATTAAATATATCATGAACATTCTACTTAGACAAAAGACCGCAGCTACCATACCACGATAAGAAATTGTCTCCTCAAGAGTTGAGTCATGGTTCTAGAAGAAAACTCGTCAATGGCTAGGGAGATAGAATTGACCCTGTGATCTGGGAAGTGAGTTCTTTCCCCCAGCCAAGGCTGGTTCCATGGTTGCAGGTGAAGATCAAGTTGGTCTTCCAGGTCTCACTAAGCATTGTAACCTTGGGCTTCACTCTATTATTTAAGTCATTAGAATCTGACAAATGTAGTATTATTCATTTAGAGATGATTTTTCCTAATTTTATATATATTTTTTGTAATAAAAGTTTTTGTAGGCCAGGCGCAGTGGCTCATGTCTGTAATCCCAGCGCTTTGGGAGGCTGAGGCAGGAGGATCCCTTGAGGCCAGGAGTTTGAGACAGTCTGGGCAACACAGGAAGATGTTGTCTCTACTGAAAATAAAAAAAAGTCAGCTGAGTGTGGTGGCACACCCTATGGCCCCAGTTGCTCAGGAAGCTGAGGTGGAAGAATTGCTTGAACAAGGGAGGTCAAGGGTGCAGTGAGTGGTGATTGTGCCACTACATTCCAGCCTGAGTGATGGAGTGAGTTTTGTCTCAAGAAAAAGAAAAAAAAATTAACCATGTGTTAACAGCTACATAACAAACTTACCATTACAGCCACTTTTTAAAAATTAAATCAATTAGTTAATTTTTTTAGAGATGACAGTCTTGCTCTGTCACCCCACTGGAGTGCAGTATCATAGCTCACTCTAGTGTTGAACTACTGGGCTCAAGGGATCCTCCCACCTCAGCCACCAGAGTAGCTGTGATTACAGGCACATGCCACCATGACCTACAACCATTTTTTAAGTGTATAGTTCAGTAGTATTAAATGCATTCACATATATGGCATTTTTAAAGATATCTTCAGTGCCTAAATGTGCAGAATTGTTTTCAAATCTTTTAGATAATTAATTTAGACACTGACAAGAGGAAGTGACAGACTTGGCTCTGAAATTCCCAGGGACTGCACTTTTAGGGTTTATGAGAGCACCTCATACCAGGCAAGGGTAGGTGCACCTCAGGGCTCAGCAGGAAGCAACAGCAGGGACAAGGACAGAGATTCTCTGAGAATTTGCTATGTGTCAGTGTCTGTTCTGAGATAGGTTAGAAGTAATGAGCTGGGGCCAGGTGCAGTGGCTCACACCTGTAATTCCAGCACTTTGGCAGGCTGAGGTGGGAAGATCACTTGAGGCCAGCCTGGGAAACGTGGTGAAACCCTGTTTCTTCTAAAAATACAAAAATTAACCAGGCGTGGTGGTGCATGCCTGTAATTCCAGCTACTCAGGAGGGTAAGGCAGGAGAATCGCTTGAACCCGGGAGGCGGAGACTGCAGTGAGCCAAGATCGCGTCACTGCACTCCAGCCTGAGTGACAGAGTGAGACCCCATCTCAAAAATAATAATAATAATAATGAACTGACTAGTGCCACCCTGATCTTTTGTGAATCCTTCCACCATCTTATAAGACTGCCTTACCTCCTCAGACACTTGCCCCTGTCAATGTGTCTTTTTCTTCTCCGTGGTTTTATGCTTTCTCTATTGGCTTCCTATCCACATGTAAATATGCTGTTTCCCATTTTAATAAAACAAACCAAACCAAACAAACAAAACCTTCCCTTGTCAAAATCCTCCCTTTTAACTTTACATTCTTTTTGTGTTTGCTTATGCTTTAATGTAGGGTTTCTTTTTTCCTTTCAAAGCTGTGCAAGCATGGGCATGGTTGCAAGTGTCAAATCATTTTCCAAGGCCTTTGACAAAAAACAGCAGTCCTTGCCCCTCTGCTGCTTCTTACTCCCCCCAAACAACTATGAGTACTTTCTATTCTTTCAACCAGTATTTTTTTTAAAAAAGAGTATCTCCTCATCTCAGAATAAGAAGCTTGCTCACATTTTTCCAGCTTTGGCCATTGGGAGCTCTTTCAGATTGGCTCCACATCCCTCTTGTTTTCTGAGCAATTCCTTTCTTCCTGGCACTATACTTACTTTTTGCCAAGCTTATCTTGTATTTTCCCTTATCCAGCCCTAGAATCAGTTATTTTCCAAGGAGCCCTGGTTTCTTTCATTGAAGAGTGGTTTTTGGAAAGCCAAATCTATGCACAAGTGTGCTCATTGCTACTGGGTGGACACTGCTTCTAGGCCTTCTCAGTGGACAGTTAGAAAATAAATGCGTGTATTTCTGTGTACAGCAAGTCCTTACTTAACATCAATAGGTTCTTGGAAACTGCAACTTTAAGCAAAATGACATATAAAGAATCAAATTTTTTTCTTTTTTTTCCTTAGGACCTCATGATGCAACAGTAGAAACCAAATTTTTTTCATGAACAGTCTAAAAAATGACATTTAATGAAACATTATTTGAGGACCTGCTGTATATTGTTTCCTTTAAAGTCGCAAAGTCTTGCAGGTGCTGTGGCTCTTGCCTGTAATCTCAGCTACTTGGGAGGCTGAGGTGGGTGGATCATGTGAGGCCAGGAGTTTGAGATCAGTCTAAGCACACATAGGGAGACTCCCATCTCTAGAAGTCATTAAAAAATTAGCAGATGTGGTGGCACGTGCCTGTAGTCCCAGCTACTTAGGAGGCTGTGGTGGGATGATCTCTTGAGCCCAGGAGTTGGAGGCTGCAGTTAGCATGATATCTAGTGCACTCCAGCCTGGGTGATAGAGTGAAACCCCATCCCTGAAAAAAAAAAAAAAAAAAGAAAATAACTAAAGAAAACAAAATTTTAAACTCGCATATATGAAAGTTCATTCTTTCTACTGTGAAGTTATATGGGTTTTAAAAAATGCATAGTCATGTATACACCGCTCCAGTGCTGGGTAAAACAATTGCATCCCCCTAAAAATTGTCTTTATAGTCTCTAGTTCAATTTTTGATTGCACTTATCAAATTCCTTTGTCTTTTTAAAATTTTATTTATTTATTTTTGAGGCAATGTCTTTTTCTGTCATTGAGGCTGGAGTGCAGTAGCACCATCATGGCTCACTGCAGCCTTGAACTCCTGGGCTCAAGCAATCCTCCTGCCTCAGCCTTCTGAGTAGCTGAGACTACAGGTGTGCACCCAACTAATTAAATTTTTTTCTTTTTTTGTAGATACAAGGTCTCGCTGTTCTACCTAGGCTGTTCTAGAACTCCTAATGTCAAGCTATCCTCCTGCCTCGGCCTCCCATGCTGTTGGGATTACAGGTGAGAACCACCGTCCTTGGTCACAAATTCCTTTAAAGAGCTGTGCAATGGCTCTCACAGCCATTGCAGTACACTGAACTCCATAGAGACAGCACTGGGCAAGTGAGAACCAGACAGGCATTGGGCGACTCTGCCTCACTGAGGAAAAATAACTAAAAATGGGCAAAGGAGATCCTAAGAAGCTGAGAGGCAAAATGTCATCATATGCATTTTTTGTGCAAACTTGTCAGGAAGAGCATAAGAAGCAGCAGCCAGATGCTTCAGTCAACTTCTCAGAGTTTTTAAGAAGTGCTCAGAGAGGTGGAAGACCATGTCTGCTAAAGAGAAAAGTGAAGACATGGCAAAGGTAGAGAAGGCCCATTATGAAAGAGAAATGAAAATCTATATCCCTCCTAAACGGGTGACAAAAAAGAAGTTTGAGGATCCCAGTGCACCCAAGAGGACTCCTTTGGGCTTTTTTTCTGTTCTGTTCTGAGAATTGCCCAAAAATAAAAGGAGATCATCTTGGCCTGTCCATTGGTGATGTTGTGAAGAAACTAGGAGAGATGTGGAATGACACTGCTGCAGGTGACAAGCAGCCTTATGAAAAGAAGGCTGCGAAGTTGAAGGAAAAATATGAAAGGATATTGCTGCATATTGAGCTAAAGGAAAGCCTGATGCAGCAAAAAAAGGAATCATCAAGGCTGAAAAAAGCAAGAAAAAGAAGGAAGAGTGCCAGGCTCAGTGGCTCACACCTGTAATCCCGGCACTTTGGGAGGCCGAGGCAGGAAAATCACCTGAGGTCAGGAGTTTGAGACCAGCCTGGCCAACATGGCAAAACCCTGCCTTTACTAAAAAAATACAAAAATTAGCTGGGCGTGGTAATGCATTCCTGTAATCCCAGCTACTCGGGAAGCTGAGGCATGAGAATCACTTGAATCCAGGAGGCAGAGGTTGCAATGAGCCAAGATCGCACCATTGCACTGGAGCCTGGGCGACAGAGCAAGACTCTGTCTCAATAAATAAATAAATAAATAAATAAATAAATAAATAGAGGGAAGAGGAGGAAGATGAAGAGGATGAGGAGAAGGAGGAGGATGAAGATGAAGAAGATGATGATGCTGAATAAGTTTGTTTTAGTGCAGTTTTTTTTCTTATCTATAAAGCATTTAAGCCCCTTGTACACAACTCATTCCTTTCAAAGAAAAACAATTGAAATGTAAGTCTGTGTAAGATTTATTTTTAAACTATACCGTGTCATTTTTTGTATGGTAAACACACTACTGAACATGTCTTTAGATAACCCTGTCCTGGTGGCATTTTCAATAGCCACTATTGAAAATGTGGCTAAAACTGTACTTTGTCTGGTACAGTATGGGGGTTGTAAATTGGCATGGAAATTTAAAGCAGGTTCTCCTTGGCGCACAGCACAAATTATATATAAGTTATATATGGGAATTGTAATTTTTCATCTTCAGTTGTCTCTGTTGCAGCTTATAAGAAACAATTGCTCTGTTAACGTAATATTACACTGTAATTGCAAAAAAAAGTCGCAGCTGTTCTGTTGACAGTCTGAATGCTTTTAAGTAAATACAATTTTAAAAATGAGTATTGTCCTTAAACAAAAAAAAAGAGCTGTGCAATACTCTATCTGCCACCAGAGGACTTCACTTACATCTGTGCCACCTTCAAGAAAGGCAATAGATTTCTGAGGTTTCCAATTGAAAATGGCTGGAAGGGCTCTGTTAGAAAAATCAGTCATTGGGAAGTTGATGGAAGTAGGTGGCCCATGAGGACAAGATACACTCTAGTGAACAGGAAAGAAAGCAACTAACTGGGGAGGTCTGATTGTATGGAGTGCTTTCCCCAGAGGGAGAATGTGCCAGTTATCAATTTATTGCCTCTCAGCTCCCTTCACTGACTCATCTATTAAAACATATCTGGGCCCTGTAATTAGTTTTTACTTTTACTAGCTGGCACAATGTTTCATCAGTAGAGGGTGCTGGAGAGAGGCATTGAAGAAAAAAGGTGTTTTCCTCCCTGGTCCTGATGGCTTGTTGGCTGGACCCCTGAAGAGCATGTTTTTAACTTCACTGTTGGCTCAGTATAAGTGCCTACAGGGCATTGCTTTTGCTGTGTGCCTTCTTCAGCTCTTTTCTTGACTGGCAGAGTGCGGTTAGGAGACCCGGACAGCATGGCTTTCACCCTGTCCTATATTGCTGCTCTGCATAGGCATGCTGGGGGCCCCATAGGGCTGGCTGTCTAGTGAACTGAATGCCCAGCCTTCATCCACTAGCTCAGACTACTCTAGCCCAAGTCATATGCAGAGGTGCACTCGGTTGCTGTGGAAGGCCTCCCCAGCTCTCAGTCCCACCAGCACCCTCAGTGGCAGCCCAACTCACTCTGCACACCCACCCATCAAGTTCAGCTTTCCTGGGTCCTAGATATCCTGACACAGACACTGTGTGTTCCAGGCCTCACACCTACAGTGGCTCTGTGACTCTCTCTGTACCAGTCCCCCTGTGTACACCCAGCTTGCCCACCGGCTCTGACTTGCCTGCCCCAAAGGGTTACTTCTTTCCTGGCAACTCTTAGCCATCTCTGGGCTGTGCAACTTAGGAACTCCTCTGCCACCAAGTAGATTGTGACCACACCTTCTTCAATGAGCTCTGATCCCTTCCTCCAAGTTTGTCCTTTTTTGGAACTTTCCCTCAGTCCTACAGCAGTGTTTAGAGCTTTCATTCTATCTTTAGAGTCACTCTCCTATCTTTCTTTACTCAGTAATTCTTTATATTAAACATCCCTGTTTAAATTACTATGTGGTTTTTGCTCTTGATTAGACCCTAACTAATTAAAGTTTACTCTCACTGGGAGAGGGCAACAGGTGTTCTGGTCTTTCATTAAATCTCATTTCAAGAAAGGGAAGAAAGCAATTTCCTGTCAAGAAACTTGATGTTGATACTGGCACAGACTCTCTGGGTAGAGGATGGAATTGGTATAAAAACCCTAACCAGTAACTCAGGCCCTAGGCCCAGATCCTGGCTTATATTCAAGTACAGTTTCGAGATAGGGATTTTCCTGTACAATGAAAGAACAGCTTCTGAGTGCCTATCATAACCCAGAGCTGGTAAGGGTTTAAGACGTTTGCTAGACTTCTGCCTACAATGGAATAAGATAACTTATTCTGGGAACATTATTAGTTACAGTGAGATGTAAAATTCACCTTCTTTTCATTGAGGTGGCACTTAAAAATAGCATAAGAGACAGATAGTTTCTAGATTAGGTATAATGTGCTAATAATGTAAAAAAGGTTCTTCTTTTGCTTCTTTCTCTTTCTTGCCAACGATGCATTTCTAAGTTTCTCTTTTAAAGAAAATTTCCTGGGTCTGAAAAGGAAGTTCGAAGTCCTTGTGATATTCTGCTGACAGATTGATCTTGTTTTGATTTTCTTGAATGTTCTGTTCTCCTCTTCTGCAAACAATGGGTCATTTTTGTCTCTCGATTTTACTTAGCTGTGGTTTGAAGTCTTCTTAACATAACAGTACTGTGTGTTAACCATGCTATAATTAAAGAGTGAAGCTGAGGTTCTCCAGTGCTCCTTAAAGATTTCCTGGGTTAACTCTACCACAACTATACATCTCTGATAATGATATCTGCAGTCTTGTTCATAAAATAAGATGCATTACCAAGGTGAGATGATTGCCCACAATCATATATCTAAAGAAGGAACATATAACTCATCTGAATACAAGAGACTTCCTTCTAAAGGATTTGACATATCTCCCATTGTTTTCCCATGTTTGTCCTCATAGAAATCTAATGAGGTAGATATTACTTTAGAGATAAGAAAGCCAGGCTAAATAAATTAGGGAGATTTCTCCAAGAAGTTTCAGTAGTAGTGTGCAGACTAGAAGTTGTATTTTAATTCTCTGGCTTTACGTAAATATTTACTTACTAACTTTTCCTCATATAAAAAAGAGCTGGCTATGCAACAACTGGTTTTTCTTTTTCTTTTTTTCTTTTTTTAGACAGAGTCTCGCTCTGTCAACCGGGCTAGAGTGCAGTGGTGTGATCTTAGCTCACTGCACCCTCCACCTCCCGGGTTCAAGCAATTCTCCTGCCTCAGCCTCCCAAGTAGCTGGGACTACAGGTGTGCACCACCACACCTAGCTAATTTTTGTATTTTTAGTAGAGATGGGGTTTCACCATGTTGGCCAAGCTGGTCTAGAACTCCTGACCTCAGAGATCCACCTGCCTTGGCCACCCAAAGTGCTGGGATTACAGGCACCCAGCCTGGTTTTTCTTAAATGAGATAATTTCTTCCTTTTTTCCTAAATCATGTGTCAGGAATAATAAAATTATTATTTATAGTAATTCCATTACTCACAGTAATAATTGTGATAATAATGTAAACAATTTGTATTTATATAGCATTCTATTATTCACAAAGCATTTTGACATATATTGTCCAATTTCATTCCTACAAAAATCCTTGTGAGGTAGATAGAAAAAGTATTATTTTCCTATTTTACAAATAGAAAATAGAGGCTCAGAGAAGTTAATCGAATTTCTTAATAGCATATATTTAGGACGTGATGGTGGAGATTGAATTTCATCCTAAATCTAACTCTAAAACCTGTCCTATGACACCCTCCATATACTACATAATAGCCAAAGACATATTAAGCCTATCTGCTGTTCAACAAATTACATGCACCCAGAGGTCCAATTTGGCAGAGAGAACAATGCATCTAAGTGTTCAGTTATGAATTGAATTCTGAAGTTAGAGAAATATTTGACACATATTGAAATTGTGTATTCTGTAACATGTGTTGTGATAAACACAGAGTCTAATAATGTGTAGTACTGTCAGATATAGTACCTCCATAGACATACTGTAATATAGTAGTACTGTCAGATATAGTACCCCCATAGGCATACTGTAAATAGATTTCTTTCACTCCATGGAAACCTAAGCTCAGAGAAGTTAAATAAATTATTTGCACCAGGCTCCTATGATTTCAAAATGCTGCTTTTTCTGGATTAATGTAGTTAATTTCAAAAAAGATGTCCATATAGAAAAGGTTCTCCAGGGAGTAGAGAAAAAGAGCTGGTTGTCTTCCACCAGCTTGAGGAGGATTCATGAGTGGAACCAGGCACTGGTGGAACTAATCAGGGTGTCACCCAAGCAGGACACCCTAAGTTTATCTGCTTATCTACTGAACTGATAGGCAGCAAAGAAGATATCACCATTCACGGCCTGGTGACATGGGCAGTTTCTGACATATTTGCCCATCGTCCAGGATACAATTCAAATAAAATCATATGTTCTTTCCACAGGTTGTCAACATCCCTTGACTGATTTAGGTTTGATCATATCCATTGGCAAGGGCACATGCTCACTGAGTTTAACAGAAGCATAATACCCTGTACTGCTTTTATTTCCATTTCTTTTTTAAAGATATTTTTGCTCAGAATGTGCAGTTGAATTCTAGATGGTAAAATAAGTATCAAATGGAACCTCTTTGTATTCTTTAAATGAATGATATCTTTCTTTGCATTTATAATGATGTATATTTTCAATCATGACACATTCTGGATTTTCTAAGATAGTTCTGTTTTCAAATTATTTATTTTTCCCATGGAAGGGCTTATCTTGGTCCAGATTTTTTATTCAGAAAATAGTAACTATATTGCATGTTGTGTATGTCATCTGTATTTTATTTGCCATTTGTCACCTGTACTTTAATAGCTTTCTACTATATTACCTGTTGATTCCTATATTAAGAATATAATGAATTTTCTGTAAATCTAAAATCAGAAAAAAATACTTTTAAAAAGAACTTAAAGGAACTTAATTATTTGTGTAAGACAAATGCTTTTTATTTCATTTATTCATTATATATGTTTAATATATCTAACTGATATGACAAATAGTTTATCAATATCTTGCTCACACCAAAACATTAATTCCATTTGCAAAACTATGTGAAAATTATAGCTATTATCCCAATAATTCAGATAAAATAGCTTTCTAGTGTGTTTTCCCTTTCAATATTTGGGTTGATAGGGAAGGGATATGAATTTTGACTTGAACCATAAATTAGATTGTCTAGATTGACTGATTTCATGACATAACTATGCAACCTGCCCTTGGGGTTTCTTGGTGATGAACTTTTTCTTACTGTTCTCACATATTTTGTTTCCAGCTATAAATTCATACAATTATCAGAGTTTGGTTTTGGTCAAGTCATAATTGTGAGTGAAGAACCATGGAAGGAGAACATTTCTTGCTCATCAACTACTTTCATAAAATCAACAATTTGCTTAAGTAAGTCTTCAAAATAAATACTGATTTTAATGAATATCTACCTTTTACAGTTCATCAGAACATTTTGGTATATAAAATTAGCCTCAGGATGGCAGAACTTATCTGTTAGAGACATTTTGAGGGAAAAAGTGCCCATGTAAAAGAAACGAATATTGAGTCTATGTTTGATTGATTCAATTCAAAGATAGTTTTTTACAGTCATGTAAGCACTGACAGACTGTTCTGTCTACCAGAGAAGTACGTTTTATTAGAAGCATACTAAATTTGTTTACTCTAGATTAATAGGTTCTGAATTTATACACTTCTTTACTGTTTTATATATATATGTGTGTATATATATGTTGTTAGCAAAAATATATATAATACTGTTGTTTATAGGATACTGAATATTTGGCAGTTTGTAAGGTGAATGTGGGAATTACTCAAATGAGGAGTCAAAGCAGGGAAGGCCCTGGGTGATGTAATGAGGTCACCATTTGAGAGGGGATTGAGTGGCTAAGGCAGAGCAGAGGAAGAGAGGCTTTTGATTTGGTTATTAAATGCCAAACAGATGTGGTGTAGTAAATGTAAAGAATCAATGAACATTTGGAAAACAAATATTTTAAATTCATATTTCATGCTTTGGGATATTCACTTATCACACATAGAAAATAGGAGAAAATATTTTTCCCTTTGTGAATAATGCTTTGAAAATTCAAGTATTGGTCCCTGAGGGAGGTAGGGCATATGAAGCAATGATTGGTCTCTTCCTAAATTTAGTAAATATTGGGTCTTTGAAGATAATTCACATTAAATGGAGTGTTGGTGTTAACGCATGATACAAGCTAAAATGTGAATAAGCTCTGGACTTATTCTCATTGGTTCTTTTTGGGGGCAGGGTTATCAGTTTGTTTTATCAAAGTAGTACAAAGCTATATACAATATTAAATAGTACTACAAAGCTTATATTAAAAAAAAAAAAAGCAGTACCTTCTCCCTCCCCTCAGCTGTGCTTCCCAGGGGCTTTTAAATCTTCAGTAGTTTTTCCTGATATAAAATGCCTATCATTATACACCTATGTCTTCATTTACAAATTTTAGATATTATCTATTAACCCCTGACACACACATATTTCCCTCTCCTGTCATTCTAATATAATTCTAACTTCATTTCTAGTTAATTCAATATCGAGTATTTACATTATGATGTCAGTGTTGGTCATTGGTAACCCAAGTATTGTACTTTGACTACTTATCCTTCATTGTACCACCTGTAAGAGTTAAAGAAAGAGGAAAGAAACACAAAATGTGGCTTGGCAGTTAAGACAGGTTTACTTTAGATAAAACATGAGAGGGGCTTCTGGCTGATAATTTTTTTTTTTTTTTTTTTGGTCAGGAGCACTTTCTCTTACAGACTATATATTGGAGTATATATTGGTCTTAGGGTGAAGGGGCTTATTATAAGCTTGGAATGTTTCTGTGTGAGGGAGAAGTTTTATGGTGGGGTTGGAATGTCTCTGGGAGGAGGGATGTTTATCTTGGGGCAGACATCTTTCCACCCAGATGGGGGTTATCTCAAGGCTGGTATCTTCCCCACTGGAGGTGGGTTATCTCATGGCTAGCATGTCTCTGGTCACGGAGGGGTTTGGAAAGTTTCTGGTTGGAGATGTTATTTGTGGTTTATGGTCATGCTGGCCTAAGCCATTAGGCTGATGCCCTTTGGATTTAGGCAGTTTTTTATTAAGGTGAACTTTAGAATGAGGGGTTTGTCCAAGATGGTGATGTTCCTGCTGTATCACAACCTTTTGTTTTCTTTCTTTTGAGTTAAGAATTGCCTAGCTTTCCATCTTATCATTTTTCTTTCTTTCTTTCTTTTTCTTTTTCTTTTTTTTCTTTTGAGTTGGAATTTTGCTCTTGTTGCCCGGGCTGGAGTGCAATGGCTCAATCTTGGCCCACTGCAACCTCCACCTCCCAGGTTCAAGTGATTCTCCTGACTCAGCCTCTGGAAAAGCTGGGATTACAGGCGCCTGCAACCATGCCTGGCTAATTTTTTGTATTTTTAGTAGAGATAGGGTTTCACCATGTTGGCCAGGCTGGTCGTGACCTCAGGTGATCCACCCTTTTTGGCCTCCCAAAGTGCTGGGATTACAGGTGTCAGCCACCATGCACGGCGAGCATCTTATTATTTTTCTATCAATTCAACCAAATGTTTCGTTAGATTTTCAGATGCTGACTAATACTACATTCAACATTTCAGATAATCTATTTGTGGTCTCTGTCTTCCTGATCCTGTCTGGACTGGTTGCTGTCTTGATTGTCATCCCAGGACATTCCCTGTTTTCCATCTTCCATTTCTTTTGTTTTGTTTTATTTTGGTTAGGTCACTCCATTGGTAACAATTGTGCTGGGACTCATCCTTCAGTAGGGTGAGCAAGAGTGCATGGATGCCTTGTATGTTTACCTGCACAGTTGTTTGTTACTTAAGGATATGAATAGAGTTCTAGGATGAAAATAACTTCCTGTTAGAACTGGGAAAGGATTGCTTCATTGTCTTCTGAACTCAGTTGCTACCAGCAAGTTTGATGCCCATTCTGATTCCACATTCTTTTAATGTGCTTGCCTCCCATCCCCAGTCCTCTAGCAATTCCAAGTTTTTTCTTAGTTTCCTGAAATTCCATACTGTGACTTGGTGTAAGTCTTTTTTAATTCATTGGGCTGAGCACTTAATGGGACCTTCCAATCTGAAATTGTATGTCTAAATTGAATTACTTCAACTCTGGGATATTTTCTTCTTGGATTTATTTGAGGATTTCTTCCCATCAGTTTATTCATCTCTCTGTTTTCTTTTTCTGAAAATCCTATGAGTCAGATGTTGCACATCCTGGAATGAATATTTAAGCATCTTATTTTTTTCTCTCTTTTTGGCTATCTTTTTTATCTTTTGAGTTTACTTTCTAGATTCGTTTGCTTTTATCTTCTAATACTTTTATTGACTTTTTTTGTTTCATGGCCATATTTTTAATTTCTATAAACTTATTCTTGTTCTGATTATTCCTTTTTAAAAAATAATCATCTTCTTTTATGGATATAATGTTTTTTGATCTCTCCAATGATTCAATTATAATTTTAGTAAAGTTTTGTTTTGTTCCTTTTACTGTCTTTGTTTCTTCTGGGATTTATTGTTGAGGTTGGAGGCTTTCCTCAAATATCTTATAATCTTAGTTATCTATTTCTACTTTTAATAACCTAATTTATTAATTTTCTGCAGAGGTAAGTAGGTTCTACTAATTTATTTGCCCAAATACATTTTATTTTGGTATGATAGAATTTTATCAGATTCTCTAGCCACCCATGTGTAGTCATAAGGCATGAAATGCTGCTTTTTATGCACAGGATGTTCTCAAATGCTTCTAAGTCCTCAGCCTTTTTGAATGCCTGCAGAGTAAAGTGCTTGGCTGCTTCTTGGGATCCACTGCTTTGAAAACAGATTTTAGCTTCTTTTGCTTGGTAACGTTATTTACCATTCTTTCATTTGTATCCTAGCTTTCAAATACTTGTTTTTTTTTGTCTGCTGATATTCATTTCCTACCTGCCCTTATGTTTTATACCATTTTTAGATGAAATTTCAGAAAAAAAGAGAAGACAAACACATTTAATTTATCTGCCATATATATTTTAATTAATTAATTATTTTTTCATAGAGGCATGGTCTCCCTATATTACCCAGGCTTGGTCTTGAACTTGTGGGCTCAAGTGATCCTCATGCCTTGGCCTCCCAAAGTGCTGGGATTACAGGCACAAGCCACCATGTCTGGCCAATCTGCCATATTTAGCTGGAAGTTCCTTATTGGTTTTTTATTTTGGCAATCCAACTTTTGGATATGAAGATGACTTTTATGTCTTAGAAATATTACATTATTAAAAATATGTTGGTTTTGACTTGCTGGGGTTATTTTCCTCCTTCCTGGTAAAAACACTTAATTCATTACTTTGAGCAAACTTCCCCTTCCCCAATTTGTGTGGTTCTGGTGGGGCTGCCCACCAGACATCAGCCCTCTGACCACAGAGGTGGACACGTGCTCTAATCTGGAAAATTAGTTTCACTCTCATGGGAGTATGACTCCTGAACAGAGACTAAAGTTGCTGATGATGTTGTTTTCTTACTGGTGAACCTTAGAGGGCTGGTCTATAATTGTACCAGCCTGGGTCCTTTGTTGGACATACTAGAAACCAACTCTGATTGGCTTTAGCATAAAAGGGTTTTAATGGGAGCCTATTGGTTAGTTCATGAAATTTATGAGAAGGTTTTAGAATCAGGCTTAGAAAATAATCAGTTACCATGCATGTTAGTTTCCTACAGCTGCTGTAACAAATGGCCACAAGCAGAGTGATGTAATACAACACATTTATTTTCTTATAATTCTGGATGTCAGAACTATAAAATCAAGGTCTGGTCTGGACATGGTGGCTCAAGGCTGTAGTCCCGTCATTTTGAGAGGGCAAGGTGGGAGGATTGCTTGAGCCCAAGAGTTTGTGACTACCCTAGGCAACGTAATGAGACCCTGCCTCTATAAAAAATAAAAACTTAACAGGGCGCAGATTACAGATGTGAACAACTGTGCCAGGCCTGTAAATGTATTTTATTAATATCTTACATAGTTAGATCATTATATTGGCTTTAAAGTGTTTTGCGTAAGTTGCATTGCCTCTGAATTCCATTTCAGGAAAGTAAAGGAGATATTACAAACTATTGTTATTAAAAGGGGGCATTGGGTCTCATAGAGCTCTAGCCAGAAAAAATAAGCACATTCCACAAGGCTTGAGGGAGTAACATCTGGGGGTTACAGAGTCTGTTTCTCACAGGAAGGCATGGGTTCTCTGGACCTGGGGTAGAGCTTGGGCTTGAACGACTCCCTTGCTACGGCTCAGGGGCTTCTCTAAACATCTCCTATTTGCCCTCAACATTACTTTGAGTCTGACCTCCCCAATCATACACCTGTTTTTATCTGGTAGATTATTTTGTAAGTGACCTCACATACCAGCCATCTCTATTCAGCCTCCATCTCATTTCCACTGTGACATTGAAAATAAGTATTTTTAGTTGCTGAGACCAGATCAACCTATATAGAAAAATAAATCTGGTTCCACTTTTACTTCCTATATAGGATATCATTAACATATTTTCCATATGAATAGGGACTGTCATGTACCATATGTTATTCATCATATGGCATCATGCCTGTTTCAAGGCACATTTTAATATAGCACAAAGGCAAAGAGTTTTAAACTGGAATGTCTGCTGTGCATTATGGTTTAGACTTTCTGGTTATCATGAAGCCTGATTAAGTTAGCTTTCTACATGTATACCATAGAATGAGCTCTCAACAAATTACCTAGAAAAGTTAACTTAGCAAGATAAATTTTGGGCAAAATAAAAGTAAACTCGTAGAATTTTAGCTCACTTTAGGCAAGGTCACAGAGATTTTGCAGTTGAAGCACATTTTATTGGATGAACAAAAAAGAAAAAACAGGAAAACAGCCTGGCTGGCAAGGAAGTAGACAGACATGACTTCTCTGTTCTAGTTATTAAAGGCTTAAGAATTCGACTATTTAAAGCACAATATCCCATATTCAGATACCTTCATTAATTCGACTATTGACTGAAGCCCATCTGTGTGTCAGGTACTACGCTAGTTCCTGGGGAGTTCCTGGGGAACAATGGTAAGCACAGATAGACTCAATCTCTGACCTTGAGGAAATTACAATCCAGTGGGGAAGATAGAAAATAATAATAATAATTTATTTTATTTATTTATTCTCTTTAAAAAATAGAGTCAGGGTCTCACTGTGTTGCCCAGGCTGGTCTTGAATTCCTGGGTTCAAGCGATTTGGCTGCCTCCACCTCCCAAAGTGTTGAGATTACAGGTGTGAGCCACTGCACCTGGCCATAATAATAATTATTAAGCCACTTATGATAATATAGATACATATAGAGTTAGGTGCTGTTAGGGAAAATATCCTAAAATAAAAGACACTGGATTTTTTTCCATTAGCCCTTTTAGATCCACCCTCCATCTTTCTCGACCCTGCTGTGTGCTCCAGGAGGCGGCCTCTGTGGTCTGCATCAACAAGCAACCTGTCCCTCTGGCCTCAGGCTGGGTTTGACCCAGGAGAGGCATCAGCAGGAGACTGGGTGGTGGGAACAGAGAGAAATCAGGCAATTTACTCCCCTTTCCAGCCAGACTATAGATTAACTTAATTTCTCTGCTGAAGGCCACAGCTATTCTTTCTAGGTTCTGGGAACCAACTGTCCACTTATTCCTTTAGATGAGGGGGTGTTAAAGGATTCCTGCTGTTGCTAGTTCAGAATGTTTCACTATAGCTAGTTGGCTTCCTTTAACTATGCTCATACCTTTGTAAATGGTTCCCTCCTGGAACTCACCCATGGGTGTGCCATCTTTTTCCTGCCAGGACCCTGACACGAGCCTGGACCAGAGAGGGTGGGGCTGGTGGTGGTGAAAGGGGCATTCTAGGCAGAGGCAAGAGCTCTTCAGGGGAAATATTTGAAGGAAGGACAGTGTAGCTGGAGCGTAGAGAAGGAGGGGTGAGATGGTGTTGAAGGGGGAGGCAAAGGTTTATAGGATGCAGTGGATGCTTTTCTTTTTCTTTTCTTTTCCTCTCTTTTTCTTTTTTGAGACGGGGTCTCGCTATTGTTGCCCTTGTTAGTCTTGAACTTGGGCTCAAGTGGTCCTCCTGCCTTGGCCTCCCAAAGTGCAGGGACTATGAAGGAATGAGCCACCACACCAGGCCTCTTTTTTTTTGGCTGCTCAGCATTTTTTGAAACCCCTTCTTGAGTATGGGGAATTCCCTACTTTAGGGGTCTTGGCAGGAGGCCCACTGCCTTCCCATTATAGAAGCTCAGCTCCCAGGTGGTTAGGTGTGGGTGCAGGACCTAGTCTCAGCCAGTCAACACCACCCAGCCAGTATCTGGGTCGGGAGCCAGAAGCAGAACAGTGAGGGCTTCTCCTCTGGCCTTGGCAGGTGTGGCAGTGGCTCTGGCAGTGGTTTCCAGGGTGTTGGCAGTGCAAGCTGTGGCAACCATTTACTTAGCTGCTGGGGGCCATATCTTTTATAAATTTCTTTCTTGTCTGAATGGGCCAGATTTCATTTCTTCCTAGTGGTAATATCTTTTTAATACATTTCTTTGCTTTTTAAATTAGCCAGAGTCCACGTCTGCTTTTAGTAACTAAGAGCCCTGAGTGTACTTAGTTGTACACCGTGGTAACTAAAAACACTGTACCTTATAGATCATGCTAAGTGTTTTAATCTTAATTATAAGTACAAAGGGAAGACATTTAAGGCTTTAAGCTGCAAGAATGATGCGGAGGCAGTGACAGGACCAAGTTTGCATTTGGAAGAGCTCTTTCAGACTGCATTAAGGAGGGTCAGATTAAATATAGGGGGACCGCCAGCACGGTGGCTCACGCCTGTAATCCCAGCACTTTGGGAGGCCGAAGCGGGCGGATCACAAAGTCAGGAGTTTGAGACCAGCCTGACCAACATGGTGAAACCCCGTCTCTACTAAAAATACAAAAATTAGCCAGGTGTGGTGGCACAGGCCTGTAATCCCAGGTACTCGGGAGGCTGAGGCAGGAGTATTGCTTGAACCCAGGAGGCGAAGTTTGCACTGAGCCGAGATCATGCCACTGCACTCCAGCCTGGGTGACAGAGTGAGACTCCATCTCTAAATAAATAAATAAATAAATAAATAAATAAATAAATAAATATAGAGGGACCAAGGGATAGATGATGTTGGCTTAGAGTAGGAGTTGCAGTGGTAACACAGAGAATTGCCTGGATTTAAGGGTTATTTAACATTTGAAATCGTTATTACTGGATGTGAGGAAAGTTAAGGAAAAGAGAGGCATCAAGGTTAGTCCTTAGATTTTTGCTGTTTGAATTGGATGTTGACTATAGGAGGCCCAGGTACTTTGTTTAAATCCTGATTGCTATCGATAATTTAATGGCTGATCAAAATGATTTTTCTATTCTCCTATGCTTTTATATACATACATAAACTTGTTGGAGTTGGATGACCAATTGTATGTACATTTTCTTTAGATCCAGACTCTGAATTCAGACCATGTTTCAATGCTTGGCTATCCCTGATCAGGGAAAATGCAGTTGGTCTCTGAGTCACACTGTGAAATAGTATTCAGAGCTGAGGCTTCATCTGCAGTGCTTGATTCAACAGATCCCTGGGCTGGTGTGAGTAAGTGGAAAGCCATTTTAGAGAAGCCAGAATTGGGTTGCCATCTGTCACGCATGGGCTTTGCTCCTTACACATATTGGTGAATAAAATGTTTAACAGGCTGTAGCCGGAAAGTGATATGAAGCATCTCATTCATGAGGAAACTCTACATTTTGCTTTCTATTTAAGAGCATTGTTTAAATGTCCTCTGGGCTGTGTTTATGCATGCTCAGCTGAATAGATTCTTGCCTAAAGTCCACTATCATCAGCACTTACAAGATGGAACAAGAGGAAATTGTAAAACTAATACGTGCTGCTTACCGGTGTTCAGAGCCTCTTCTTTCAAACATGACTTATTTACAAATTTCTCCAACTGAAGTCATGCAATTTTTATTTGTTGTGCACTTATTTTGTACCAATCACTCTTCCAACCACTAATAAATATGTATTTATACACACACCACACATCCCTCCATACCCCATGTGTTTATTCGACTCTCACTCTGATATGGTTTGACTCTGTGTCTCCACCCAAATCTCATCTGGAATTGTAATCCCCATGTGTTGAGGGAGGGACCTGGTGGGAAGTGATTGGATCATGGCGGCAGTTTTCCTCATGCTGTTCCCATGATAGTGAGGGAGTTTTCACGTGATCTGATGGTTTAGAAGTGCGTGGTGGATCCTCCTCTCCTCTCTCCTGCCACCATTTAAGACATGCCTTGCTTCCCCTTCGCCTTCTGCCATGATTGTAAGTTTCTTGAGGCCTCGCCAGACATGCAGAACTGTGAGTCAATTAAACCTGTTTCCTTTATAAATTACCCAGTCTTAAGTAGTTCTTTATAGCAGTGTGAAAACAAACTAGTGCACGCTTCAACCGTATGAAATAGATATTGCTGACCTCATTTTCCAATAAGGAAATTGAGGTTCACATTTAGCAATCTGAATTTGAACCCAGCCATGTGTTACTAGTCCTATGCCAAACCAATGTGCCATAAAATCATCTGATTTATCATTTGTTCCTTTCCCTTATTATGTGTTCCCTCGACTGGTATCAATCCAGGATGTATTCCATTATTTTGAAATTGAAGACATCTCTATTTAATAGGGACAAAAGCATAGGCAAATAACAAATAAGTAGGGTGAGGAGTTAAAGAAGTAGTTAAAGGAATTTAAAATTTAAGTGGCTAAAAGAAGCCATCAGGATCTCTGACCTATCCAGACATGGTGGCCAAACTCTGGTGAATTTCTCCACTTGACTCCTATATTATAAATTAGGATGAGAAAAAGGATCAGAAGCTTTTAAAAACATTAGAGTAGCTCCACTACAAATAAGGGAAAATGCTGGAGCTAGAGTCAACAGATGGAGTTTGAATCTGAGATTTGAATCTGAATTTTACTACTATTTGTGTCAACTTGGGCAGATCAGTTGACATGTCAGAGCCTCTGTCTCCTCTGATGGTAACACTTTTGTCATGTAACATTTATGTGGAATAAATGAATAACATTTACAGAAATTATTTATAAGCTGTAAAGCATTATACAAATGCAGATATTATTGTTAACTTACTTGAGACTCTAAAGGTTGAATTTCTGAAAGTTAAGTCTAAGTAAAATGTCTGTGTTCCTATAAGCAGAGCAAGATCACCAACAACAGTGTCAGCCATCATAGCAATTTTTATATTTGCTACATCTTCATATTTTTTTCTTACCACAAAGCTGTAAAGCATTGTCATTGTATAAAATTTACAGAAGAAGAAGGCGAAATAAGTTTTCCATTGTCAACGAGAGCATCAGAAATAAAATCAAGATTATTTCTACCTTGCACTATGTTCTTCCCACATTAAAATACCTTTGCTTAACACCATTTATGGAAAAAAATGTAACTTAAGGATCTGTAGTTAAATTTAGCAGATAATGTTGAAAGATGAGACTAGGAGAATATATTTAGAGACAGTGCCTACTTAACATGAATTGTTATCTGCTAGGGAAAAAGATGAGTTTTAGGTATTCCTAGAACTCAGTCTAGCAAATTATTCATCTGTAAGGGGAAAATCTGTGGTAACTGTACCTAAAATTATTTTTTAAACATCTCAACTTTGAATTTATATCTAAAAGTAACTTTTTTTTTCCTATGCAAGATGTCCCACACTTACTAATATATCCAAAGACTAGCAAACCTGTAGGGGAAAGTAAAACATAACAAAACAATAGATAATTATCAGTTCAGTGACTCCTTAAAGTTAACATTTAAATCATTTGCCTTTTCCAAATAAAGGCTATAAGCACAAATTGCTTTATTATTAGCCTAAATGCTTTGGTTATCTTACGCATAAAATATTTTTTAGCTCTGCTTGCATAACCCATAAGATTTAAGCAAAACATTGAGGGAAGGAGAATGAACACACATTGTTTAATGTGGCGTTTGACTTTACAGGTGTATTTTGTCATGGCAGTCGTCCAGTTGGAGTGGGTCACTGATAAGCCAGCTTAGCTTATTCTTACACTAGATCTGATATTTCTGTGTGGAGGGAGATTGATTCTCTAATGCTCTTGGGATTTTCTCTGTGCCTTTAGTTGGTTCATCCCAGGAGAGAAGGGATGACTCATGTTTTTGTTGAATTTGAGAGAGGAACTGGGTTTGTACAGTCCTATCCATTTGTTGTACGCACTCTTTAGTATATCTTCCTACCTTATAAAAGATCTACCTTATAAAAGACCCGTTGAATACTTCCTGGGCCTCAGGGCTGGATTGCAGGTAGCAGGATGTCCACCTCTGGTCACAGGTAGGCATCTGATCCAAACTGGGCCAATGAAATTTTCTCTTAGGACTTGAGAGGGAATAAAGAAAATCAGTCTGGCTATGATATGTATGTAAACTCAGAAGCTGTGGGATGGCCATTGCTTTCGACTCATGTGGATTAAGAAGAAACAGGTATTCTGTAGAAGGAGAAGCATAAACTAGGTCCAAAGAGAACTGCTTGGGCTCTGATGGTTTTTCAGTTCTTCCCTCCAGCCTGTTCGAATTTCTGTTGTTGGATATTATGAGATGTCTGTGTCCTCATAATAAAGTCTCTCTTTTTGTTTTTGCTAAAGGTAACATGAGTTGTTTTCTGCTACATGCGCCCAAAAGCATCTTAGCTAATATACCATTTAGTTGTGAATGAGAATATAATCTTACACAGGCTGTTTGAGAAGGAGGCTGCATTCTTCTCAAACAGCCTGTGTTTGAAGGAGAAGCAATGGCTGTTGGTACAGCAATTTTAGGTGGTATAATGAAATTTCATCTTTTCATTAAATTAAATTAATTACTTAATTTTATTTTCATTTTTAATTTATTTTATTTAACTTTATTTTTAAGGCAGGGTCTCTCTCTGTCGCCCCGGCTGGAGTGCAGTGGTGCAATCACAGCTCACTGTAGCTTCAAGCTCCTAGGCTCAAGCAAATCCTTCCACCTCATCCTCTTGAGTAGCTGGGACTACATGTGGCACCACCACACCCAACTAATTTTTTTAAACATTTTTTGTAGAGATGAGGTCTCACTTTGTTGCCCAGTCTGGTCTCAAACTCCTGGCCTCAAACAATCCGCCTGCCCAGGCCTCCCGAAGTGCTGGGATTACAGGTGTCAGCCACAGCACCCAGCCAGGAAGGAGGATTTTTATATAACCAAACCAGAAGGTAATGTGATTCAGTTTTGTCATATATATGGGGATAATTTGCCTGAAATTTCTCACCCCCTACTTTCCCAAGAACTTGCATAAACATCTCCCACTGCTAAAACAAAGCAAAATACAGGCTGGGCACGGTGGCTCATGCCTGTAATCCCAGCACTTTGGGAGGCCGAGGCGGGTGGATCACGAGGTTAGGAGATCAAGACCATCTTTGCTAACACGGTGAAACCCTGTCTCTACTAAAAATACAAAAAATTAGCCGGGCGTGGTGGCGGGCGCCTGTAGTCCTAGCTACTCGGGAGGCTGAGGCAGGAGGATGGCATGAACCCGGGAGGCGGAGCTTGCAGTGAGCCAAGATTGCGCCACTGCACTCCAGCCTGGGTGACAGAGCAAGACTCCGTCTCAAAAAAACAAAAAACAAAAAAAACAAAAACAAAACAAAGCAAAATACAGAATGAATGGAAAGATTCACATGATGCTACCATATTTTGAACACATTGAGGGTGACCAGCTGATGAATATGCTAGTTGGCCACTAAGTTTTTGAATTTAGCTATGTAATTGACATAATTGTAGTTAGCAAGTTATATGTGTTTAAAAACATTAGTCACTAAAATATGCAGATTTTAATGAAAGAGAGAAGATATTGTGCTGGGAATATTTAACCCAGAATACTTCTCTGGCATAAGTTAAATCTCAAGATGTTTTACTTCTTAAGAAAAAATACATTTGGGCCAGGCTCAGTGGCTCATGCCTGTAATCCCAGCGCTTTGGGAGGCCAAGGTGGGCAGATCACCTGAGGTCAGGAGTTCAAGACCAGCCTGACCAACATGGAAAAACCTCGTCTCTACTAAAAATACAAAATTAGTTGGGCATGGTGGCACATGCCTGTAATCCCAGCTATTCAGGAGGCTGAGGCAGGAGAATCTCTTGAACCTGAGAGTTGGAGGTTGTGGTGAGCCAAGATTGTGCCATTGCACTCCAGCCTGGACAACAAGAGCAAAAGTCCATCTCAAAAAAAAAAAAAAAAAAGAAAGAAAGAAAAAATACATGTGGAATCTGCTCTGCAGGTGTCCAGTCATAATTGACAAAATGGCTTATAATAAGGATTCTGAAATTCTTATTCATGTTAAATCATTCCAGTGATTTACATTGAAGTCAAATGCTGGTTAAGTGGTTTCATGAGGATGAATTTTACACCTAACCAGAGCACACTATCTGCCGTTCCTCTGCATTGTTTACTGTGCTTCTATAGGTGAGATTTTTCCCCACTTACTTAGCTCTTTTATGAATCCTCAACCCCAGAGTTATTTAACACATATTCCAGAATTGGTGATCACTGCACCAATTCAGCCCTCTGTGTTCCAGGGAAACCCTTCTTAACAACTCTAGTTACTTTGTAAGCTATGCTCTAATTTTAAGTGATATCTAAATGAAAATAAAATATAATTCACATTATTTTCAAAAGCTATTCCATTTTTTTTTTTTTTTTTGGTGGGGGCAGGGTCTCAGCTCTGTCACCCAGGCTGGAGTGCAGTGGCACGATTATGGCTCACTGCAGTCTCCAACACCCAGGCTCAAGTGATCCTCCCACCTCAGCCTGCCTGGTAGCTCTATAGGTATGTGCCACCACACCCAGCTATTTGTTTGTTTGTTTGTTTGTTTGTTTGTTTTTTTCAGAGACAGAGTTTCATCATGTTGCCCAGGTTGGTCTCAAACTTCTGAGCTCAAGCAGTCTGCCTGCCTTGGCCTCCCAAAGTGCTGGGATTACAGGCATAAGACACTGCACCCGGCCTCAAAAGCTTTTCTTTATTTGACTAATCCAAACACCCTTTCATGATAATAGCATGCAATAAATTAGGAATAGAAGGGAATTTTCTCAACTTAGAGAAAAACATCTACAAAAAACCCACAGATAACATCACGCTTAATAGTGAAAGGCTGAAAGCTTTCCTCCTAAGATTAGGAATAAGACAAGGATATTTGCTCTCACGGCTTCTATTCAACACTGCACTACAGATTCTAGCCAGGACAATGATGTAAGAAAAAGAAATGAAACATCCAGATTGGAAAGGAAGGAGTAAAACTATCTCTGCTTACAAATGGCACAATCTTGTGTGTACAAAATACAAAGGAATCTACAAAAACTCTTAGAGCTAATAAACAAGTTTGGCAAGGTTGCAGCATACAAGATCAATTGTGTTTTTCTTTTCTGTCTTTTTTTTTTGAGACTGGGTCTCGCTCTGTCGCACAGGTGAGAGTGCAGTAGTATGGTCATAGCTCACTGCAGCCTTGACTTCCCAGGCTTAGGTAATTCTGCCACCTCGGCCTTCTGAGTAGCTGAGACTACAGGTGTGCACCACCACACCCAGATAATTTTTTGACAAGACAGGGTTTCACCATGTTGCCCAGGTTGGTCTAAGATCAATTGTATTTCTGTATACTCCAATGAACAATTTAAAAATGACGTTAGGCCGGGTGTGGTGGCTCATGCCTGTAATCCCAGCACTTTGGTAGGCCAAGGTGGGTGGATCACCTGAGGTCAGGAGTTCGAGACCAGCCTGGTCAACATGACAAAACCCCATCTGTACTAAAAATACAAAACTTAGGTGGGCATGGTGGCGCGCACCTGTAATCCCAGCTACTTAGGAGGCTGAGGCAGGAGAATCATTTGAACCCAGGAGGCGGAGGTTGCAGTGAGCTGAGATCGCACCACTGCACTCCAGCCTGGGAGACAGAGCGAGACTCTGTCTCAAAAAAATATATACAAATACAAATAAATAAATAAAGTGAAAATGGTGTAAAGGAAACAGTTACATATGCAAAGGATCAAAAGGAATTAAAATACTTAGGAGTGAATTAAAATAAGTGCAAACCTGTAATCTGAAAACTATCAAATATTGTTGAAAGAAATTAAAGAAGATCTAAATAAATGGAAAGACATCCCATGTTCATGAATTAGAAGACTTAACATTAAGATGGTAATATTTTCCAAATTAATCTACAGATTCAATGCTATTCCAATCAAAATCCTAGCTGCCTTATTTTATTTATTTTATTTTATTTTTGTGACAGGGTCTCACTCTATACCCAGGCTGGAGTGCAGTGGCATAATCACAGTTCACTGCAGTCTTCACCACTCCAGCTCTAGTGATCTTCCCACCTCAGTCTCTAGAATCCAGCTACCTTTTGAAATTCTTTCTTTCTTTCTTTTTCTTTCTTTCTTTCTTTTTTCTTTCTTTCTCTCTCTCTCTCTTTCTTTCTTCTTTCTTTCTTTCCTTCCTTCCTTCCTTCATTATTTTCTTTCTTCTTTTTTTTTTTTTTTTGACAGAGCCTCACTCTGTTGCCCAGGCTGGAGTGCAGTAGCACAGGCTTGGCTCACTGCAACCTCTGCCCCCTGGGCTTAAGCAATTCTTGTGCCTCAGGCTCCTGAGTAGCTGGGACTACAGGCACGTGCCACTGTGCCAGGCTAATTTTTGTATTTTTAGTGGAGACAGGGTTTCACCATGTTGGCCAGGCTGGTCTTGAACTCCTGACCTCAAATGATCTGCCTGCCTCAGCCTCCCAAAGTGCTAGGATTACAGACGTGAGCTGCCAAGCCCAGCCCCCAGCTACCTTTTTTAAAAGTGGAAAATTTAAGCTGATTCTAAATTCATATGGAAATGCAAGGTACTCAAACAATCTTGAGAAAGAACAAAGTAGAAAGACTCACACTTCCTAATTTCAAGACTTACTACAAAGGTACATTAATCAAGTGAGTGTGGTACTGACAAAAGGCTAGACTTATGATCAGTAGACTAGAATTGAGAGTTCAGAAATAAACTCTTATATTTACAGTCAATTGATTTTTTGACAACGGCGCTAAGACAATTCAATGGGAAAAGAATAGTCTTTTCAGCAAAATGGTGCTGGGACAACTGGGTATCTACATACAAATGAATGAAGGCGGACTCTGACTTCACACCATATGTAAGAATAAATCAAAATGAGCCAGGTGTGGTAGTGCATGCCTGTAGTCCCAGCTACTTGGGAGGCTGAGGTGGGAAGATCTCTTGAGCCCAGGAGTTTGAGTCCAGCCTGGGCAATGTAGGGAGACCATACCTAAGGAAAAAAAAAAAATTAACTCAAAATGGATCAAAGACCTAACTACCAGAGCTAGAAGTACAAAACTCTTGGAAGAAAACATAGATGTAACTCTTTATGACTTTGGAAAGGCAATGCTTTCTTGGGTTTGACACCAAAAACACAAGCAACAAAAGGAAAAAGTAAATAAATTGGATTTTGTGAACATTTAAAATTTTTGTGTTTCAAAAGACACCACCATCAAGAAAGTGAAAAGGCAACTCATAGAAGGGGAGAAAATTTTTGCAAACCTTATATCTGATAAGGAACTTATACCTAGAATATGTAAATAACTATTACAACTCAAAAATAAAGACAATGATTAAAAAATGGGCAAAAGGTCTGAACAAAGATTTCTTCAAAGAAGATTTACAAATGGCCAATAAGCACATGAAAAGTTGCTTGATGTCTGATGTCATTCATTATTAGAAAAATAATCAAAACTACAAAGAGATACCACTTCATACCTACTAGAATGGCTAAAATGAAAATGATGGAAAATAACAAGTGTTGGCATGGATGTGGAGACATTGGAACCTGCATATAATAATGGTGGGAATGAAAAATAGTGCAAATTCTTTGGAAACAGTCTGGCAGTTCCTCAAGAAGTTTAACATAGAGTTGCCATATGACTCAGCAATTCCACTGCTAGGTATATACCTAAAAGAAATGAAAACAAGGCCGGATGCAGTGACTCATACCTGTAATCCCAGCACTTTTGGAGGCTGAGGTGAGGAAATTGCTTAAGGCCAGGAGTTTTATATCAGCCTGACCAACATAGTGAGACCCCCATTTCTACAAAAAATATTTTTCAAAATTAGCTGGGTTTGGTGGTGTGCACCTGTAGTCCTAGCTACTTAGTGTGCTGAGGCAGAAGGATCACTTGAGCCCAGGAATTCAAGGTTATAATGAGCTATGATTGGGCCACTACACTCCAGCCTGGGTGACAGTGGGAGATCACATCTCTAAAAAATAAATAAATACCAAGGTGGGAGGATCACATGAGTCCAGGAGTTCGAGACCAACCTGGACAATACAATGAGACCTCATCTCTACTTTATTTTAAATAAGTAAATAAAAAACCAAATTGATTGTGGTGATGGTTGCACAACTCTGTGAATATTATAAAAATCACTGAATTGTACATTTTAAATGGGTGAATTTTATGGTATGTTAATTATATATAAATAGAACAGAATTTGTGTGTGTGTGTGTGTGTGTGTGTGTGTGTGTGTGTGTGTGTAACTGTATTAGACAGGATTCTCCAGAGAAACAGAACAAACAGGATGTATTTATATACAGAAAGAAATGTATTTTAAGGAATTCGCTCACACAGTTATGGAGATTGACAAGTCCAAAATCTGCAGGGTGGGCCAGCAGGCTAGAGATGCAGGGATGAGTCAATGTTGCACTTGCGGTCTAAAGGCTGCAGAATTTACTCTTACTCAGGGGAGGTCAGGCCTTCAAATGATTGGATGAGGTTCACTCACATTATGGAAGGCAATCTGCTTTACTCAAAATCCACTGATGTAAGTCGTAATCTCACCCAAAATACCCCCACAGTAACATCCAGAATGATGCTTGATCATGTATCTGGGCACTGCGGCCCAGCCAAGTTGACACACAAAATTAATCATTATAATGGCCTATTCTTTCTACTTTCTCATTGGTCCTGGTGACTGGATAACTTTAGGAAGTGGCATTGTTGATTCACCTAAAAAGCAGTTCTAAATATAGTAGCTATTCACAATAAAAGTTCAACGGACGGTGTGTGCCTGATAGGCTACTTAGGCTATTAACAGATTTAGTAATGGAGGTTATAAAAATAATTCCTAATAGGCCAGGAACAGTGGCTCATGACTGAAATCCCAGCAGTTTGTAAGGCCTAGGAGGGTAAATCGCTTCAGCTCAGGAGTTCGAGACCATCCTGGGCAACATGGTGAAACCCCGTTTCTACTAAAAATACAAAAATTAGCTGGGAATGGTGGCACATGCCTGTAATCCCAGCTACTTGGGAGGCTAAGGCATGAGAATTGCTTGAACCCAGGAAGTGGAGTTGCAGTGAGCAGAGATGGCACCACTGCATCCTATCCTGGGTGACAGAGTGAGATTCTGTCTCAAAATTAAAAAAAAAAAGAAAGAAAAAAAAAAAGGGTGGACACGGTGGTTCATGCTTGTAATCCCAGCACTTTGGGAGGCCAAGGCAGGAGGATCACCTGAGGTCAGGAGTTAAAGACCAGCGTGGCCAATATGGTGAAACCCCGTCCCTACTAATAATGCAAAAATTAGCCAGGTGTGGTGGTGCATGCCTGTAATCCCAGCTACTCAGAAGGCTGAGACAGGAGAATCACCTGAACCTGGGAGGCCGAGGTTGCAGTCAGCCAAGATCACGCCACTGCACTCCAGCCTGGGCGATAGAACAAGACTCCATCTCAAAAAAAAAAAATTCTCGTAATAAAATGATATAATATTTACCTCTAGAAGTTTCCCTTTTCGTAAACCTTTTACATAACTAAAGGTTATAAAATATGTCACTCATATTGATATTTCTCTTTTTTATTAATCTTTATATTTTATGAGTTCTTTGTAGCAGATATTTCGAGTTTTGCATTATAAAAAGTGTTTTGATTTTAGATTTAATATTGTTTTTAGAACATTCATTAGGGCCAAAAATGAAAATGTTCCCATCTGGAAAATGATGCATTTGTACACAAGTTGAACTCTCATTTCTTTGCATAATTACTGCTTAGTTTTTCATATGTAAAATATTAAATCTGGTGGGGAGCTTATGTAAGTGTAAAGAAAGTATTCTGGAAGAAGATGCCAAACTGATAACACCAGAGAAATGAAAAGGTACTGGGCTTGAGAAAATGGCGGGGGAAGTCCAAAGAGAACTTCAAACTTATCTGCATTGTATTTAAAATTTATACGGAGAATATATTGTATGCATTACTTACACAATTAGCAATTTAAAAATAGCATATCTAGTCTGATTTCCTTATTTTGTAGATTGCAGAATGGTGGCTTAAAGAGATTGAGAAGCTCATGGAAGATCGCACTGCTAGTTAATGGCAGAGAAAGGACTGGCAGCTAGGCTTCCAGTGGCCCAGTCCCTAACTAAATAATCTACCCAGACAATAATGTACTAAAAACATCAAAATAGGCATCACAAAATATTGAATATAAAAATATTAACTAGTCTAGAAGTTTAATAGATTTTTATATAGAATATCATTTAGAAGATGAATTTAATTTTTCAGAACCAAGAGAAAGAAAGGCCAGAGTGTTTTGGAGAAGGAATTTTGAAGAACTCATAGACCTGGAGATGGATCAGGGAGGGAGAGAGAGAGAGGGTACAGCAGCCATTTGGCTTGGCCTGGAGTGGAGGTGGTGGCTAGATCAGGGCCCCTTAGGAGTGGTCAAATATAGCTTGCACAGTGTGTGAAAAAGATAACACTTAGCAGCTGTCTATACTGAGTCCTGAAAGTTGTCTTTATAATTTCACCTCTGTGAGCCTTAACTATTTTTATAAATTATTTCTATTTAACTGTAATCCTGAATCGGGTTTTCAGGGTCTTCTAAATAACTGTTATTTGGAAACAAAACCGTATTGAATTTTACTAAAAACACATACACATATAAATCAGGTTTTCAATAATGTGTTTTTCTTTGTATACAGAGCTAATGAAACCTACCCTCACTTTGAGTTACTATTTAATGCATTTAGATTCTCTATCTTGGTTTTTGTTGTTGTTGTTGAAATGTAAGATACATTTTCACAAAATAGAACAAGGTTGAAGCAGAATTAGAGATTTTTGGAAATGGAAGAAGTCCTAGACTCATCTAAGCTAACCTAAGAATTCAAATGACTTGCCTAAGTTCTCATAGTTGGAGCAAAAGACCTTTGTTTGTGACTCCCCTCTACCACTATAAGCTCCTTGGTGCATCTATCCATTGTTTGCTTTATAAGGGCAAACTTGTTGTTGTTGTTGTTTAACATTTTATTTTTAACTCTCTGCCTAGCATATATAGGGACTTATAAATGTTTGTGCAATAAATTAATCTAAATGCTAACTCAGAGCTAGTGATAAAGGTTAAAAAATTATCAGTGCATGCAGTATTGCAGCACGGCTGCTGGAGGTGGGAAGATAATTATCAACAAGGGCAAGACAGCCAGTACAAGGAAAGGGGACTTCTGAGAAGAGGAAGTGGTAACCAGGCAGAGAAGTGGCTTGTGAGGATAGACTGACCATTAGAGTGTCCAGCAAAATTGTTCTGCAAGGGAAGCAGCCCTTCAAGGAGGCTAGAAAGTACAGAATAGGGGAATAATCTGTGTGGGAGTTTGGCTTATGTTCCCAGCAAACTAAGGCACAGAAAGGCTGTGACTTTCCTAAGGTGTTATGTAAATTAGTAGTAGCGCTGGAAGTAGAACCAAGTCTTCTGTGTCCTGGCCTAGTGCTCATTCCATTGAACCACTTCACCTTCTTTAGCAAATAAGAGAACAAGTTATGAAATGCTAGACTAGGACTATGTTCTAAGCAAACCCCCTCAGTCTACTGAAGCAGCAATGATTGCACTTTCTTTTCTTTCTTTCTTTTTTTTTTTTTTCAAGATGGAGTCTCGCTCTGTCACCCAGGCTGGAGTGCAATGGCACTGTCTCTGCTCACTGCAACCTCGGCCTCCCAGGCCTCCTGAATAGCTGGGATTACAGGTGCTCACCACCACACTCAGCTAATTTTTGTATTTTTAGTAGACATGGGGTTTCACCAGGTTGGCCAGGCTGGTTTCAAACTCCTGATCTCAAATGATCCACCCGCCTTGGCCTCCCAAAGTGCTGGGATTACAGGGGTGAGCCACTGTGCCTGGCCAATGATTGCATTTTCTGTCTCATCTCTGACACGGGGAAGTGTGCTGATGCTAGGAAGATGCTAGGACAGCCATCTACTGTCCCAATAAGAAGTGATATCTTCCTAAAAAAAAAAAGTAATAGCTTCCATATATACATATATGCAAATCATATATATATGCGTACCATATATGGTACGCATATATATATATGGAAACCAGCTCCTGTCGCTATTATTATTATCTGTACAACTCATTGGAAGCTATCCTTGTACCATCTTGCATCATCTCCTCTATTGTCATCTTGAACAAATATTTATTTATTTCAGTTATTTAAACATTTTATTATTTTAATTTTTCACTTAAGACATCTCAATAAGCTTTTTTTTTTTTTGAGATGGAGTCTTACTCTGTCACCCAGGCTGGAGTGCAGTGGCGCAATTTTGGCTCACTGTAACCTCCGCCTCCTGGGTTCAAGCAATTCTCCTGCCTCCGCCTCCAGAGTAGCTGGATTACAGGCATGTGCCACCACACCCGCTAATTTTTCTATTTTTAGTAGAGATGTAGTTTCACCATGTTGGCCAGGCTGGTCTGGAACTCCTGACCTCAAGTGATCCACCCTCCTCAGCTTCCCAAAGTGCTGGGACTACAGGCATGAGCCACCATGCCCGGCCTCAATAAGCTTTTTAACTTATGATGTCAAAAATTTCATTTTGCATCCCACTCCTTGAAGGGTATGCCGTAGGCATATATTGTTTGTTTACTGAATGAGTAGAGACTTTAAAAGTGAGATATATTGCAGTTTCTAAATTCCTTTTGTAGTAGTATTAGAATCAAATATCTCAAACCAAAACAGTCTCTTAAAATGAAGAGACTGTCTCAGTGAGGAGGAGCTGGGAGGTATCAAGTTATTGTTTATCTTTGTCTCCTAGATGACTGACACTTGATGTAGAATTTAGTCCATAGAATATCTAAGGTGTGCTCATGTCTTCCCTCCACTGGACATCGTGGTTGTCTTCCAAGCACTCTTTTCACCTTTACTGTGTACCAGCCAGGAGACTTGGGGAGAGGGTTAACCCCATTCTAGTAATTCCATCCACCTTGCTACCATTAAGTTCTTCAGGTAATCAAACCTAAGCCAATCAGCATTCAGGAAGGGGAATGTGGCTGATTTAGGAATCACATTAGTGATGGGAGCTTCTGTTTGAGCTTTCTCATTCTTCTGAGAGAACAATGAGAAACCAGCTGTCCCTCTCCTTCTGGATGGCACACAGTACAGATGAAAGCTTGGAACTGCTACAGTTCCATGGAGGAAGTCAGCTCCATTGTCACTGTCAAAAAGGCAGCATTAGGGTGATGCTGACATCACAGATTTCAGAGCAGAGGGATGGAAATAAAGGAAATCCTTGATGACATTGTTGAGTCCATATCAAGTGATTCCCATAAAACCAACGTTGAAACCTGACCAGGGACAGATCCAGATTTAGGTTCGGAATAGCTTGATGCTTACACAATTTTGAGAGTTCTCTTTAAGAAAAATAATATAAGATTACAAATGCAAAATTAAGTACAGAAGTGAACATTTAAACAGAACAAGAAATCATACCAAACTACAAATTTTGAAAAGGTGTCAAATATCCTAAATATCCCCAAATCTAAAACAACAATAATATTTTAAATTATCCTTTCCATTTTCTTCTTTTTCCAGAGAATAATGTTTCTTCAGTCTCTAAGGACTCAGCTCCTTACATGAGCTTTGGTGGAGGTAATGAGGCAGCACCTGCAGGTCTAAATCGAGATGGGAATGTTCAGCCTTCGTGGGCTTCACAAGATTGATTCCTGACTACCTTGCTGTGAATGGCACAACTCACACCATAATGCAGCTTCATATACAGCTTGGGAAGCACATAGGCATCAAAGATATTCTTTAGAAATGTCCCTAACAACTGCAGCCTTTGCTGTGTTTTGAATGATGAACCTAATAGCCTTATCCGTAGGCTGCACATGGCTGTGATCCTTTGTGGCAACACCATTGTTTCTTCTTTTCTTTGTCATCTTGGAAGCAAGGACCCTAAAAACAATATTTTTATTGTTTTATTATCTGCCTGACACATCTCTATGGTATTTTTTCTCCTGCTTTTTGGGATGCAGTTTCTTTGATGTCCTCTTCATGAGACAATGCTTTTGTATTAGCATTACAGAGATACCGTAATCTTATTATAGAAAGAATCCAATGTTGCAGTTGATCAAAATTTGTGGGTTTTTTTTCTTTTTCTTTTTTTGAGATGGAGTTTCGCTCTTGTTGCCCAGGCTGGAGTGCAGTGGCATGATCTTGGCTCATCGCAATCTCCACCTCCCAGGTTCAAGTGATTCTCCTGCCTCAGCCTCCTGAGTAGCTGGGATTACAGGCACCTGCCACCATGCCCAGGTAATTTTTGTATTTTTAGTAGAGATGGAGTTTCACCATGTTGACCAGGCTGGTCTCAACTCCTGACCTCAGGTGATCCTCCCACCTCGGCCTCCCAAATTGCTGGGATTACAGGCATGAGCCACCGTGCCCTGCCTCTTTTTTTTCCCTTTTTAATAGAGACAAGGTCTCACTCTGTTGCCCAGGCTGGTCTCAAGCTCCCCAGCTAAAGTGATTTTCTTGCCTCGACCTCCCAAAGTGATAGGATTATAGGGGTTAGCCACCATGCCTGGCTGTTTTGTTTCTATAGCTTAAAAAAACTTTCTTTTGGTTTTGCAGCATTTTGAACAGATTTGTCAAATTTGAGAAAACCTCTATCATGTTTCATATATGGTTTATATGATTTCAGGACATTTCAAATTTTCTTGAGCAAAAATAACCTCAAATACTCTTTGAGTTCATCGTATTTTTATAGTGGCAGACAATGAATTCTGTGATATCCTCATTGAAATCAGTGTTCGAGGAGTCTGCCTACATGTGGACCTCCTCAGTTCTGTTTATAATACTGCTATAGTTTGTGCTCCATGAGTACTGGAATTCTGAAAAACTCTATCTCAAAATATCCCCATCGAAAAAGATAAAAAGCACGGTGTATTTGTAATAATAACGGCAGTATTATCAAGTACAGTCCTGCAGTACATATGACATTTCCATCCACAATGCACCTCTAATAGGATGGCCCGCCTAGAAAACGGTAGCCCCATAAGATTATAATATTGTATTTTTATTGTACCTTCTCTATGTTTAGATATATTTAGATACAGAAATACTACTGGGTTGCAACTGCCTACAGTATTCAGTACCGTCACATACTGTAAAGGTTTGTAGCCCAGGAACAATCAGCTATACCATATAGACCAGGTGTGGAGTAGGCTATACCATCTAGGTTTGTATAAGCACACCCCGTAATGCTTGCCCAGTGATGAAATTGCCTAGTGACACATTTCCAACGTTAAGGCTATTCACAATGTTAACTGATGCATGACTCTACATACCTGATGAGAGAGATTTTTTGTTTTCATTAGGTATCTGCTTTTGCTTTTACATGTCTGATGATCTGGTCGGGTGGGTGGTTCTCCTGTTCTGAGTCAGCTCAGCTGATTTCAGTTTCCCATGTGTGGCCACCTGGAGGGGTGACTGGCCACAGGATGATCTGGGATGGCCTCACCGTCATGACTGGCGGTTGGCTGGCTTATCAGCTGAGCTGAGGTAACAGGGATGATTAGGCCACATGTCTGTCATCTTCCAGGAAGCTCGTATGGGCTTCTTCAGAGGGCAGTCATAATTCTAAAGCCTAAGACACAAGTATTTTTCAAGTCTCAGTTTGCTCCATATATGGTACCACAAGAGATTTACAAACCCCCTGTCCTGCCCCAGCCTGGAGCTGCTCTCCCTGAATCCTAACCCTGATCTGACAGGCATATCACAGTAATTAGGAGAAGGGATGCAATATTAAGGATCTCTAATGATGCAGCTGAATTTTGAAATATCAATCAGTTTTCATTATTCCTCATTTATGTTAGTAAACATAATTTGTACACATATATAGCTCTTTTTTTTTTCTTTTTTTTTTGAGATGAAGTCTCACTCTATCGCCCAGGCTGGAGTGCAGTGGTGTGGTCTCGGCTCACTGCAACCTCTGCCTCGCAGGTTCAAGCGGTTCTCCTGGCTCAGCCTCCTGAATAGCTGGGATTACAGGCGCATACTCCCATGCCCAGCCAATGTTTGTATTTTTAGTAGAGACAAGGTTTCACCATGTTGGCCAGGCTGGTCTGGAACTCCTGGCCTCAGGCAATGTCCCTGCCTCGGCCTCCCAAAGTGCTGAGATTACAGGTGTGAGCCACCACACCCAACCTATAGTTCCTTTATAGTACAAGTACTTCCTTATTAAAATAAGATAACTTTCCTCCAATAATCAATTTTTAAACCATTTCTGCATTGTCATGGTTTCACATGTCTTTAAGCTTATTTTGTATAGTTTGCAACCTAAATCTATGCAACATTTTCTAGTACTGACAAACCTACGGTATTTGAGTTATGGGCTGACATTCATGGTCTTGCAGGCAAAACTCAAGTTCCTAGGTAGGACTGAGAAGTGGTCATGGCCAGGCACAGAGGCTCATGCCTGTAATCCCAACACTTTGGGAGGCTGAGGTGGTGGATCACCTGAGGTCAGGAGTTCGAGACCAGCCTGGCCAAGATGGTGAAACCCTGTCTCTACTAAAAATACAAAAATTAGCTGGGCTTGGTGGTGAGCATCTGTAATCCCAGCTATTTGGGAGGCTGAGGCAGGAGAATCACTTTAACTGGGAGGCAGTGATTGTAGTGAGCCAAGATCATGCCACTGCACTCCAGCCTGGGCCACAGAGTGAGACTCTGTCTCAAAAAAAAAAAGAAAAAAAAAATAGTCACTATTTCTCAGGAAAATTACAGAGGAAACTAGAGACTTGCATGATGTGTTGTCATGGCAACGGCTGCCCATGTCGATTCCCAGCAACAGGATCTGTTATTGAAGCGAGCACAAATGTTAGTCTGCTGCCACCCGCCAGGGGTCAGTTTGCGAATGATGTCTCTCTTGAGGGCTAATCAATACGGCCATTAGCTTCCCAGACAGAGACCACAGCAATGGCAAGCCATGTGAAGCTGACACATTATCTTTATTTCCCATTCTAGTTGAAGCTCTGATGGCAGCACACCAGTCTTCTTTGTTCAATGACATTTTATCTGTGAGCCGTAAAGACTTTACTTCCCACAGCTGACCCAAAATGTTCGATTGGGACAAAACCCAATGGATTGCTACTTTCAAGAGAAATCAAGGTTCTAAGTTTACAGAGAACAGCCATTGTTGGTGTGGTCAGCAGCAAACAGGGTGATGGGAAAGGATAGTGAAACCAGGAGGATTAAAAGAACCAAACACATGTGATGGAGAATGACTCTCTACACAAACATGTTAGGAGAGTCTGGCCTGCTGTCAAGAAGCTCCAGAGTCCTGCTGATAATTACTGTTCCCCCATCCCCCCAAAGGCACAATCTGGACAGAATATGCTCTTACATCCCCCCAGACCCTGGGGCATAAACATCTTTAAAACCCAAACCAAATTCTACATAAAACTGGCCAAATCCCATAAAATTGACCTTGAAAACTGACCCAGGGCAGATCCAGGTTTCAGTTTGGAGTAGTCTGATGCTTGTACAGTTTTGAGCGCTCTCTTTAGAAAGAGAATGCAAGATTACAAATGTAAAATTAAGTACAAAAGTGAATATTTAAACAGAACAAGAAATCACACCAAATTATAAATTTTGAAAAGATGAGAAATGTCCCAAATATCCCCAAATATAAAACAATAATGATTTTTTAAAAGTATAATTTCCAATTTATTTTTTTCCCAGAGTATAACGTTTCTTCCATCTCTAAAGGTTCAGCTCCTTACATGGGCTTTGGTGGAGGTGAAAGGTGACCTGATAAATAAGGTTCTACTACTCCAAAAATAGAATAATGGTTTATATATCAGAATTCTTCAAAGCCTAGAGAAGGTATCCATTTAGGGAATGTCAGTTCAAGGATTAAATGCAAATCTTAGTATTCAGTTTATTTCTTTTTTTCTTTCTTTCTTTCTTTTCTGAGACGGAGTCTCACTCTGTCGTCCAGGCTGGAGTGCAGTGGAGCCATCTTGGCTCACTGCAACCTCTGTCTCCCAGGTTCAAGCTATTCTCATGCCTCAGCTTCCTGAGTAACTGGGACTACAGGAATGCGCCACGCCCGGCTAATTTTTGTATTTTTAGTAGAGACGGGGTTTCACCATATTGGCCAGGTTGGTCTCGAACTCCTGACCTCAAGTGATCCACCTGCCTCCACCTCCCAAAGTGCTGGGATTACAGGCATGAGCCACTGTGCTCAGCCTCAGTTTATTTTTTACTCATAAATAACTCAGATTTGATTTCTTCTTATGGGTTTGCTGGAAGTAAAAATCACATTCACAACCACTGAAGCCAGACATTTGATTACTCTTAACAATTAACAGTATTATTTATTAGGAAAGTAATGCTGTAAGAGTCAGCAAAATGGGGCCTGGCTTCCCGGGGCTTTGTCCTAGTCAGCAACTTGCCTTGCACTGCCCTCTTCCTGCCACCTGTGTCCAGCCTGAGCAAGAAAAGATCTGATGCTCAGGGAATCCCTCATTGGGAAAATTTAAATATGGACCGTATAGTAGATGATAATATTGAAATTAGGTTATCTTTTTATTAGATGTGATGATGGTAATGTGATAATGTAGGTGAATGTTCTTATTTTTAGGTGAGGCGTGGGGAATGTTTCCGGATGGAATATTCTATGTCTTCAACTTACTTTCAAAAAAACAATACAGCAAGTCCTCAAATAAGTCTCTTTGTTCAACGTCGTTTTGTTCAGTGTGAGAAAAATGATGAGAAAAAAAATCATTCCTGGAAATATATTCCTGGTCAGGGCCACTGTCTGTGTAGAGTTGCACGTTCTCCTCACGTCTGTGGGATTTTTCTCCAGGTGATCCAGTTTCCTCCCACGTTCCAAGGCTGTGCACATTTAGTTCACTGGCGGGTCCACGTGGTGGCACTGTGAGTGAGTGGGTGCTTGTGGGGGTGTGAGAGTGCACCCTGCCACGGGACTGCGGACTGTCCGGGGCTGGTTGTCACCTTGTGCCCTGAGCTGCCAGGATGGGCTCTGGCCACCTGTGACATTAAACTGGAGTAAGGGGGCAAATCATTATCTTACTAGTTTTTATTCATCTTTCTTTTTTTTTAAATTCATCTTTCTTAAATGTGTATATAGCTCACATTTATCTCAGTGTCTAATACTATGTGTTTTGGGCTTCAGAAGTTTGGTGATGTTTTTGTGACCAGAAATATGCTGAAGAAACTTAACTCTAGTTTATATCAATTAGCCTGTGGTAAAATTGGCTTTGTTATAAGTTGTTTCTCTGAAAGTTGAAGTTTCCAAGAACTTATTGACAACTTTAAGTGAGGACTTACTGTGTATGGAAAAAGAGATAGAGATGTGAGACAGAGAGAGAGAGGTGGGAGGAGACAGGCAATGTGGCAAAAGTTAAAATTATTTGATCTCAGTGAAGAATATATGGCTGTTAATTATATCATTCTTTCAACTTTTTTGAAGGCTTGAAGTTTTTCAAAATAAAATGTTGGGAAAAATATGTATATATATATATAAAGACTATGTATAGCCTCTGACCTCTGGTGACTCTAAAAGTTTCTTTGAGTCACTTTTTATTTTTATTTTTTTGAGACAGAGTCTCACTCTGTTGCCAGGCTAGAATGCAGTGGCGCAGTCTCGGCTCACTGCAACCTCCACCTTCCAGATTCAAGCAATTCTCCTGACCCAGCCTCCAGAGTAGCTGGGATTACAGGTGTGCACCATCAGGCCTGGCTAATTATTGTTTTTTTTAGTACAGACAGGGTTTCACCATGTTGGCCAGGCTGGTCTCAAACTCTTGACCTCAGGTGATCCACCAGACTCAGCCTCCCAAAGTGCTAGGATTATAGGTGTGAGCTAGAGGGCCCGGCACAGCCACTTTTACATTTTTTGCAGAACTGGAAGGCTAACACTCATAAAGACCTCTGCACTAGACATGTGGTGGTCAGTTATTGATTAGTTCAGGCCTTGTTCCTCTAAAACCTACACAGTGAGGGCAGGCAGGGGAGAGTGAGCTGTGGGGAGGACTTCAGATGGGAGAGGGAGAGCCAAAGGTGGCTGTTCCCTTGGCTCATGAGTCTCACAAGCGGGTGTGGGAAGTGGGTAGTTAAGCATAAAATATTCTCCAAAGAATATAAGGTATTTAGGAGATTAACATATTTCTCTTTTCTATATTTTGCTGCATCATTTATTATCATTTTGGTCTGAGAACCAGGTCTGTTTCCCTCATTTCAAAGAGCAACTTATTACATCAAGGAGCTGGAACTAGCATCCTAGGAGTTTCCAATGGGAAAGACAAATTGTGTGTGTGTGTGCACGCGCGCGCTAGTGCGTGTTTGCTAGGCATTTGAAACAAGCGCAGACTGCTACAGGTTCATAGATGAAGCCAGTGTTTCCTAAACTCTTGTTCCCATTTAAACTGAAGGATTTTTGTGGTCAAATGTTTGGAGACACTGCATATTAAATTATCTTCTTCAGATTCAAAGCACATTTGTAAATTATAATTCTGGGAAGTCCCACAAAAAGGAAACCTGGGTAAATGGTTTAGCACAGGATTTTCCAAACTTACCAGGATACTTATAAAACATTATGCCATAGGATACCCAGATCTACAGGCAACTAGTAGAGCTATTTTAAAATAATTATAGATTAACGTTTTCTACTAAATTCTGACAGTCTATGAGCAATTACTTTCTCAGAAGCAGCCTTTGCACACACTATTGTGTTTAAGGTATGGGTAAGAATAGGCCAGTTAGAGTTTAAGGAACCAATGTAACATGAATAGAAATCATCAATGAAAACAAAGCATTTGAAAATTATAATATTAATCCATGGGAAAGTTTGCATTAGGGAAACACACTTGTACACATGTCCAGACAAATATCTGTTTTAGAAATTAAAGTGTACATTTGTTATTTTTGGATGCTAAATGTTTCTAATCTTCTTGGCATTGACCTGCTAGTTTCATTCACTTTTTTTCTTTTCTTTTTTTTGAGATAGGATTTCACTTTGTCACTCAGGCTGAATTACAGTGGCGCCATCATGGCTCTCTGCAGCCTTGATCTCCCCAGGCTCAAGTGACCCTCCCTCCTTAACCTCCGCAGTAGCTAGGATTATAGACATGTGCCACCATGCCTGGCTAATTTTTTCGTATTTTTTGTAGAGATGGGGTTTCACCACATTGCCCAGACTAGTCTCAAACTTCTGGGCTCAAGCAATCTGTCTGCCTTGGCCTCCCACAGTGCTGGGATTACAGGTGTGAGCCACCTAATTTCATTCTTGAATACACCTCTTTCTGCTATTATCTCCTTCTTCATTATTGCCCCCAACTTTTCCTTAAAAGTATTGCTCAAGACATATGGATGGGTGAATAAGTGGATAAAGGGACGGACAGATGGATGGATAGGTAGCAGGACATTAAAACTGAAGTTTCAACCAAGATACTGAGAAAAAATAGATGTAAGATGCTAGAGACAGATTCCCGAACATGAAATTTACAAAGGAAATTTTTCCAAGACTCTCACACAGATTAAGGATATAAAAAGTGGCAGGGGAAGAAGAGCAGTTAGATTATGCAAAGATGGGAGAACTTTTTGGAGGAGGAGTTCTTCAGAGAAGGTTGTGCTGTGACACAGATCCTACCTCACCAAGTAAGGGGTACTTCCAGTAGATTCTTTGGACAGTTTAATACATGGCCCCTGCAGCTGGGAGTCTTTGTGGACTGGCGTCTAACTCCTCTCTGGAAAGGTGAGAAGAGGAGGGATTAGCAACTCTTCTAGTGGAGCCAAAAGCGTGTTGCTAGGTTAGAATCAGCCTGTATTCCAGAGAGTGTTAGGGCAAAGTAATGTGTTTTCCCCATTCCTCAGAAGAGGCCCAGAGAGAGAAAGCCAGCATGAGGTCATGTTGGATCATGTTCAACAGGACTACTTAGAGGAGTGGAGGGACCTCAGCTTCAAGAAGCAGGAGGCAAGCTGGATTACTGTGAAATGGGTCACAGGCCACTGTCCCTCCTGCTGCAATGAAAGGGGCCCCACAGGGAGTCTCAAAGGAGCCCGTACGTTATTCACCAGAGAGTCAACCTCAGGTGTCTGCCAGGGCCTGCGAGCACAAAGCCTCTTACTCTGCCCTCTCCATCTCCTCAGCGGGGTCAGAGACTAACTGGCAAACTGAGCCTGGGGTGGAGGTGGAGGGAGAGAAGACAACCACACCCCCTTTCTCACGGCAGGCTTCCAGTCTGCCCCAGGGCCAAGCTGCACAGGAAGAAGAATCGCCTCTAAATCAACTTCCGAATTCTGTTCAACATCTTGGACTGGATATTCTAATTATTGAATTGAGACTGTGGCTTAAAGTGACCATAGATTGGCCTATTAATTAAGATTAAGCTGAAAAGTTATGGAGTCTGCCAGAGTTTTCATTTCAGATTGGGGAAAGGTTATTCCCACTTAGTATATCAGAAAGAGTACAGTGAGGACAAGGACAAAGTTGTGTTTTGACCACACACATTCCTATCGGTCACCATAAAACATTCTATTCTATCTGTATTCTGAAGCCCTACAGCCCACAATTGCATGTTCAACAGACAGCTGAAAGACTGTTAGATAAGACTATTAGATAAGAAAGTAAGAAAGATAAGATAGTAGGAAAGATCAATAAAGTGCATTAACAGGACTTCTATGCTAATAGGTTTCAGATATTTCTTGGGAAAACTAGAGCTGCTCTCGAAATGGAGTTGAGAAAGTTTGTTCTATCATTGGATTATTAGCTCCTTACAGCAAAGGACTAGCTCTTATTTATAATTTTACTTCCCAATATTTAGCTTAATTATTAGAGTTCAGAGCTGATACACTAAGCAGTCAATGAACCTTGAATAACAAATACTAATTGAATCAATGTGTTAACTTGCTAACTAAGTATTTATTTTTAATATTAAAAATGTTGGCCAGGCTTAGTGCCTCATGCCTGTGATCCTAGCACTTTGTGAGGCCAAGACAGGAGAGGAGATTGCTTGAGGCCAGAAGTTCAGATATATATATATATATATCTCCTGGCTATTAAGTTTATTACTATTTTTCAACATACAAATTGTATTTTATGGCTGGTGCAGTGGCTCACTCTCGTAATCTCAGCACTTTGGGAGGCTGAGGCAGGAAGATTGAGGAGTTCGAGACCAGCCTGGGCAACATAGTGAGAACTTGTCTCTACAAAACAAATTAAAAAATTAGTTGGGCATGGTGGTGCATGCCTGTAGTCCCAGCTACTCAGGGGGCTGAGGTGAAAGGATCGCCTAAGCCCCAGTGGTCAAGGTTGCAGTGAGCCGTGACTGCACCACTGCACTCCAGCCTGGGCAACAGAGTGAGACGCGGTCCCAAAACCAAACAGCAATTACTTTTGCACCAACCTAATATTTCTTTAACATGTTCATCAAGTCACTTAATAATTCAGCATTTTTCCCACTGAATTAAGGACTTTTTAACTATTAAAAAGTTTGCTCAGCCGGACACGGTGGCTCATACCTGTAATCCTAGCACTTTGGGAGGCCGAGGCAGGCAGATCGCTTGAGGTCAGGAGTTCGAGGCCAGCCTGGCTAAGATGGTGAAACCTCGTCTCTACTAAAAATACCAAAATTAGCAGGGCATGGTGGCGGGCACCTGTAATCCCAGTACTCAGGAGGCTGAGTCAGGTGAATCTCTTAAACCCAGGAGATGCAGGTTACAATGAGCCAAGATCACACCACTGCACTCCAGCCTGAGCGACAGAATGATACTCCGTCTCAAAAAAAAAAAAAAGTTTGCCCATGTGTTCTTCACTGTCTAATAACTTTGATGATGAGAAAATGTTGGGAATCCTCTTCTTGGCATTCAAGCCTATCACATTCTGCTCTCACCCTGCCTTGCCCCTTTATCTCCTGCTTTTCTACTGCATGAACCTCTTTTGCCATGAAACTGGGCTACTTGGCATCCTCAAAAAAGTGTTTTCGGCCAGGTGCAGTGGCTCATGCCTGTAATCCCAGCACTTTGGGAGGCCGAGGTGGGCAGATCACGAGGTAAGGAGTTTGAGACCAGCCTGGCCAATGTTGTGAACCCCCGTTTCTACTAAAAAAATACAAAAATTAGCTGGGCGGGGTGGCGTGCGCCTGGATTCCCAGCTACTCAGGAGGCTGAGGCAGGAGAACTGCTTGAAACCGGGAGGTGGAGTTTGCAGTGAGCCAAGATTGCACCACTGCGCTCCAGTCTGGGCAACAGAGTGAGACTCCGTCTCAAAACAAAACAAAATGAAACGGTGTTTCCTCCCTTCCTGCCTTTGCCAATCCTGCCTAGAGTACTCTAGGATTCTCTTACGCCTGGACCGCTCTTCCTCTTTCTCTTTGCCTTTTGCCCTATTTTCCTTTGCAGCTTATCAAATCCCTCAACTCTGTTCCCCTCCTCTGTATCATTGTCCTGGGCCACTCCATGCACGGGACTTCTTCCTCTGACTCTTGAGATCTGTTAGGCAGCACTTGCATAGACTTGTTCCTGTTTTCCATGTATTTGGATGATTTTACCATCTACATGTTGGTGCTTTGAGGGTAGGAATTCTACACTAGACATCTTTGTTTCCATGATGTTGCCTTGGACACAATGAACGCTGACATAATTGTTGATTGATTTAAAATACATTTTTCTATTTTTAAAATAGGCAGAGAAGAAACTCTACTAATGTTTCTCAACACCTACAAGAGCCTGCCTGTAATGATTAAAAGGACAAAAGGGGTTATTTTATGTCTTAACTCAACATTTCAAAGCAGCTCAAAGGAGTATTTATCAAATGAAAAGAAGCAATCTCTGAATATTGATTTAGTACATCTAAACTATAACTAAGTTGGAGGACAGGGGAAAGCATGTGTATATTGGGGTGGGGAACACAGGAAGAAAGCTAAATCCTCATTTTCCAAAATAGTAGGAAATCAATATATACTTTCTAACATGGAAAAAAGATGAGAAAAAATGTTGCAGCATAAGCATTTTATATCCATGAAGGTAAATAACAAAAGGGCTATTTTTTTCTTTAATGGCCTCTGCAGATGCCCTTATCTCTTTTCTCTTCAAGTCCCTCTTAGAGCACATCTCACTCTCTTGATTTTATTTATTTATTTATTTATTTATTTATTTATTTATTTATTGAGACAGAGTCTCACTCTGTCACCCAGGCTGGAGTGGTGGCACGATCTCGGCTCACTGCAACCTCCATCTCCTGGGTTCAAACAATTTTTCTGCATCAGCCTCCTGAGTAGCTAGGACTACAGTTGTGTGCCACCATGCCCGGCTAATTTGTGTGTTTTTGGTAGAGATGCGGTTTTGCCATGTTGGTCGGGCTGGTCTCGAACTCCTGATGTCAAGTGATCCACCCGTCTCGGCCTCCCAAAGTGCGGGGATTACAAGCGTCAGCCACTAACCCCAGCCAACTCTCTTGATTTTAAATGTCGCTCTAGATAGAGACATTTCTAGTTCCAGGTCTCTTTGTTTCTCATTTTTATACCTCAGAGATGCTGGTGGGAGGAGTACGAGCAAGACTGGAGAAAGAAAGTGTTTGTAATAGTCCGTGTGAGAAAGGAGGGGTGCCCAGACAAGGGCAGCAACTGTGGGGAAAGAGAGTGAGGCTGATTTAAAAGCCATTTAGGAGGGAGACTTTACAGAGCTATAAGGCAGCTATAGAGGGTGAGGGAGTTGGAGGACCCAAAGATGAACCAGGTTTCCAGCAGAGGTACTGGATGGTTGAAGAAGAAAGAGCAGTTTAAGGAAGGGAAAAAAATGTCAGTTCAGTTTTGAAGATGTTGAATTTGCAGTGCTGGGGAACAATGGAATAGAGCTGTCTTATAGGCACTTTCATTTACAAGTGGGTTATGAAAGAGGGAAGAATAGGGACAGGAACCACATTTCAGCAGGAAAAATGGATCCTGATAATCAGGAGAAGTTGGGATTTCTGCTTCATGGTGGGACAGAGAAGAATATATTTGACACTCCGCTGATCCGTAGGAGCAGCTCTTCTTTCTCTCCTGCCCAGTTGTGATGGTAAGTGAACAATGTAGCCAACCTATGTTATCCTATAATCAGCCTTGGAACAGGGTTGGGTGACAAAGGGCTAAGATTTATCAGGGATGAGGAATGGAATCATCCACCAGTTAAGCCATCTAGAGCAGCATAGGTGCTAGGTGAGGGTGAGGGGAATCTAGAATTGGTAGTGGAAGAGGGAAATGGAGTGTCTCAGAAGTGGCTTTGAGAGCAGCTACAGAGGGAAAGACTGTAACTTGGCCCCCTGACATTCTAGTAAGGTTCTCCTAATGGAACCAACCAGAAATCCAGGGTAGCTAATTTCAAATGGGGTGAACTTACTATAGAAGCAGGTGGGTTCCAGTGACATAGAGGGTGTACAGTGATGCATGCCATGGTGCTCTGCTCAGATCCCCACTTTAGGACCATGATGTTCATTCTCTGGCTGCCAGAAGTACTGGCTGCTTGACAACCTACCTTGAGTTCTTTTAGAATTGTCCTCAGCCAAAGAGAGTTGGCTTTCTAAGTTTATGTGCCCCAGGCTGCATCCAACGACCCATTGATGGTGGGGTACAATCGTTCAGAGTAGACAACTCTGAAGTGAGCTCTGAGCTCCCACTGGTTGGGCTGAGGCTTCTATTGTCGACTGCACAGCAGGTAAACTCCTCCTGCAGCTCAATTCTGCTGCCTTCACTGCTCCAGAGTTGTGTGCCTCCTACATGTAAGTCTCTGCCTGAGAGTCAGTTTCCCAGGGAACCTAACCTAAGACATTAGGGCAATGCAAATGAGCTAAGTCCTCCCCCTTCACAGGAGGAAGTCAGCAGATAATATCTAAGGGTGATAAAAATCAATATGTAAAGGTGTAAGCATATTCTCTAGAGTTACACAGACAACTGCCGGAAGAACTAAAAGTAGAAATATTGAAAAGAATATTGTCTCTGCAAAATGTGACTGCAGATTGATTAGGTGGGAGATTTGCTTTTCCTTCTAAGATTTTCTCAACTACCGAAATTAATATCGTATGCAAATAGTACTTTGACTCAAATCTAATTTTAACATTAAAACAAGACTTTTGGAAACAACTAATGATAAAGAGGTAGTGAGTGAGGCAGAGAGAAGTAATAATGTTTGATTCAGAGGATGTGGCCTAGAATTCAGGTGCTGTTTCTGTGTCTGGGTACAGGTCACTTCCTCTTTTAGAGACTTAGTTTTCTCATCTGTCAAGTGGGAATAACAATGATATTAAATAAAAACCACTTGGCCGGGCGTGGTGGCTCACGCCTGTAATTCCAGCACTTCGGGAGGCCGAGGCGGGTGGATCACGAGGTCAGGAGATCAAGACCATCCTGGCTAACACGGTGAAAACCCGTCTCTACTAAAAATACAAAAAATTAGCCGGGCGTGGTCGTGGGCGCCTGTAGTCCCAGCTACTCCGGAGGCTGAGGCAGGAGAATGACATGAACCTGGGAGGCAGAGCTTGCAGTGAGCTGAGATCATGCCAGTGCACTCCAGCCTGGGTGACAGAACGAGACTCTGTCTCAAAAAACAAACAAACAAACAAACAAACAAACAAACCCACTCAGTATCATTGTGAAGTGTAAATAAAATAATGAAAAGTAAAATGCTTAGTAAAGCTATGAAGAGCTGTCCTACTTAGGAGAATGAAGTACATGTTAGAGATACTGGCAATGTACAAAAACTACAAAAAAGTGGTTAATTCTGGCTGTGGATGAAAAAGGCCTCATGAAGGCAGGATCACTCATGGTTGGCTTGCAAAAGAAAGGAAGATTTTGGTAGGCAGAGAAGAAGACATGGTGGGGAGAAAAAAAATTTTTTTTTTTTTTTTGAGACAGAGTCTTACTCTGTTGCCCAGGCTGGAGTGCAGTGGTGCCATCTCGGCTCACTGCAAACTTCGCCTCCCAGGTTCAAGCAATTCTCCTGCCTCAGCCTACCAAATAGCTTGGATTAGAGGCATGTGCCACCATGCCTAGCTAATTTTTTTGTATTTTTAGTAGAGACGGGGTTTCACATGTTTGCCAGGCTGGTCTCGAACTCCTGACCTCAGGTGATCTACCCACCTCGGCCTCCCAAAGTGCTGGGATTACAGGTGTGAGCCACCATGCCCGGCCCAGTTGTGTGTGTGTGTGTGTGTGTTTGAGACATTGTCTTGCTCTATCGCCCAGGCTGGAAGGCAGTGGCACCATCTCGGCTCACTGCAGCCTCTTCCTCCTGTGCTCAACCAATCCTCCCACCTCAGCCTCCCAAGTAGCCAGGACTACAGGCATGTGCCACCACGCCCAGCTAATTTTTGTATTTTTTGTGGAGATGGTGTTTCACCACGTTGGCCTGACTGGTCTCAAACTTCTGGCCTCAAGTGATCCGCCCACCTCAGTCTCCCAAAATGCTGGGATTACAGGTGTGAGCCACCATGGCCAGGCAAAATATTTTATTGTATTTTATTATTATTTTTTAATCTGTTTTTTTTTAAACTTCCTTTTTTTTTTTAATTGATCATTCTTGGGTGTTTCTCACAGAGGGGGATTTGGCAGGGTCATAGGACAATAGTGGAGGGAAGGTCAGCAGATAAACAAGTGAACAAAGGTCTCTGGTTTTCCTAGGCAGAGGACCCTGCGGCCTTCCGCGGTGTTTGTGTCCCTGGGTACTTGAGATTAGGGAGTGGTGATGACTCTTAACGAGCATGCTGCCTTCAAGCATCTGTTTAACAAAGCACATCTTGCACCGCCCTTAATCCATTTAACCCTGAGTGGACACAGCACATGTTTCAGAGAGCACAGGGTTGGGGGTAAGGTCACAGATCAACAGGATCCCAAGGCAAAATAATTTTTCTTAGTACAGAACAAAACGAAGTCTCCCATGTCTACTTCTTTCTACACAGACACGGCAACCATCCGATTTCTCAATCTTTTCCCCACCTTTCCCCCACTTCTATTCCACCAAACCGCCATTGTCATCCTGGCCCGTTCTCAAGGAGCTGTTGGACACACCTCCCAGACGGGGTGGTGGCCGGGCAGAGGGGCTCCTCACTTCCCAGTAGGGGCGGCCGGGCAGAGGCGCCCCTCACCTCCCGGACGGGGCGGCTGGCTGGGCGGGGGGCTGACCCCCCCACCTCCCTCCCGGACGGGGCAGCTGGCTGGGCGGGGGGCTGACCCCACCACCTCCCTCCCGGACGGGGCGGCTGGCCGAGTGGGGGGCTGACCCCCCCACCTCCCTCCCAGATGGGGCGGCTGGCCGCGCGGGGGGCTGACCCCCCCACCTCCCTCCTGGACGGGGCGGCTGGCCGGGCAGAGGGGCTCCTCACTTCCCAGTAGGGGCGGCCGGGCAGAGGCGCCCCTCACCTCCCGGACGGGGCGGCTGGCCGGGCAGGGGGTTGACCCTCCCACCTCCCTCCCGGACGGGGCGGCTGGCCGGGCAGAGGGGCTCCTCACTTCCCAGTAGGGGCGGCCGGGCAGAGGTGCCCCTCACCTCCGGACGGGGCGGCTGGCCGGGCGGGGGGCTGGCCCCCACCTCCTCCCGGATGGGGCGGCTGGCCGGGCGGGGCTGACCCCCCCACCTCCTCCGGATGGGGCGGCTGGCCGGGCGGGGGCTGACCCCCCCACCTCCCTCCCGGACGGGGCGGCTGGCCGGGCGGGGGGCTGACCCCCACCTCCCTCCCGGACGGGGTGGCTGCGGGGCGGAGACGCTCCTCACTTCCCAGACGGGGTGGCTGCTGGGCGGAGGGGCTCCTCACTTCTCGGACGGGGCGGCTGCCGGGTGGAGGGGCTCCTCACTTCTCAGACGGGGCGGCCGGGCAGAGACGCTCCTCACCTCCCAGACGGGGCGGCGGAGCAGAGGCGCTCCCCACATCTCAGACGATGGGTGGCCGGGCAGAGACGCTCCTCACTTCCTAGATGGGATGGCGGCCGGGCAGAGACGCTCCTCACTTTCCAGACTGGGCAGCCAGGCAGAGGGGCTCCTCACGTCCCAGACGATGGATGGCCAGGCAGAGATGCTCCTCACTTCCCAGACGGGGTGGCGGCCTGGCAGAGGCTGTACTCTCGGCACTTTGGGAGGCCAAGGCAGGCGGCTGGGAGGTGGAGGTTGTAGCGAGCCAAGATCACGCCACTGCACTCCAGCCTGGGCACCACTGAGCACTGAGTGAACCAGACTCCATCTGCAATCCCGGCACCTCGGGAGGCCGAGGCTGGCGGATCCCTCGCGGTTAGGAGCTGGAGACCAGCCCGGCCAACACAGCGAAACCCCGTCTCCACCAAAAAAATACGAAAACCAGTCAGGTGTGGCGGCGCGCGCCTGCAATCACAGGCACTCGGCAGGCTGAGGCAGGAGAATCAGGCAGGGAGGTTGCAGTGAGCTGAGATGGCAGCAGTACAGTCCAGCCTTGGCTCGGCATCAGAGGGAGACCGTGGAAAGAGAGGGAGAGGGAGACCGTGGGGAGAGGGAGAGGGGGAGGGGGAGCTAATCTGTTTTTTAAAAATAGAGACGGGGTCTTGCTATGTTGGCCAGGTTGGTCTTGAACTCTTGACCTCAAGCAATCCTCTTGCCTCAGCCTCTCAAAGTGCTAGCCTTACAGGCATGAGCCCCCACATCCAGCCTGAAATATTTTATTTTAAAGGAATCTTTTTCAATTATTTTTAGCAAAGTAATCCATGAACATAATTAAAAAGCAATAATTCAAAAGGGTTTATAATATCTTTCACCTCCTCCGAGTCTCTGTTCCAAGGTTACCTTTTTCAATGAGCTCTTCCCTGCACTTGCTATTTAAAACTACAGCTCTGGCCCCACTCCTGGTCCTTCTTAACCCACTTATTTCCTCACAGCACTTACCCACTTCTACATATTATAACTTACTATGTCTATGGTTTGTTGTCTCTTTCCCCTGATGGGAATGTGAGCTCCATGAGGACAGGGACTTTGATCTGTTCTCTTCATTTCCCTAAAGTGTCTACACAGTGTCTCATGCATTGCAGGACTCAGTAAGTATTCATTGAATAAATGAAAACTATGAAAAGCTTGCCAGCACCACTGTTCCCCAAATCCTATCCCATTCCTCAGAGGCACCTGGTTACAAAAAATGACAATAACAACACAACAACAGTGTATTATTTTGGATTTTTTAAATCTAATTTTTGTTCTCACACTGTTATAATATTTTGGAAATTTTCAAGCATACATGAAAGGAGGGAAAGGTATGGTGAACCCTAGGAATCTATTACACAGCTTCCACAATTTGCAACATTTGGCCAGCCTTGTTTCTCTGTCCCTCTTTATTCTCGGGGGAGGAAGGGGTGGTTTTGGAGCATTTTAAAGCAAATCTGAGACGTCATGTTATTTTAGCTAGAAATGCTTCCCTGTATCTATAACTGCAAAAGATATTTTTAACTCTAACCACCATGCTATTATTATACCTAATGAATTAACAATTTCTTTTATTTTCTTCTTTCTTTCTTTCTCTTTCTCTCTCTCTCTCTCCCCTCCCTCCCTCCTTCCTTCCTTTCTTTCTTCTTTCTTCCTCCCCCTCCTTCCCTTGTTTCTTTCTCTCCTTCCTTCCTTTTTTTTTTTTTTTGAGGTGGAGTCTCCCTCTGTCACCCAGGCTGGAGTGCAGTGGTGTGATCTTAGCTCACTGCAATCTCCACTTCCCAGGTTCAAGCAATTCTCCTGCCTCAGCCTCCCCAGTAGCTGGTATTATAGGCACGTGCTATCATGACTGGCTAATTTTTTAAAAATTATTTTTAGTAGAGTCAGGGTTTTGCCATGTTGGCCAGGCTGGTCTTGAGCTCCTGACCTTAGGAGATCCACCTGCCTCAGCCTCCCAAAGTGCTGAGATTATAGGCATGAGCCACTGCACCTGGCCACAATTTCTTAACATCATCTTATATCCAGTTCATTATTAAATTTTTCTGATTGTCTCAAAGTTCTAACAAAGGATCCCCCAATGAAGGGCCCACGTTGAATTTGATTGTTTCATTGTCTCCTGAATGTCCTTTTTTCTATAACTCATTTCCTCTCCCTGCCATTGATTCATTAGAGAAACGAGGGCAGTTGTCCCATGGAATGTCCTATATTCTGGATTTGACTGATTGCTTTCTCATAGTGTCCTTTAACTTGTTCTCCCGAGGCAACTTCTTTGAACAGTTTCTGCTTTTAGTTCTTTTTGTGATTAGCTTGATATCTCCAAATATGTTGTTACTTGATTTAGATACCAAGATGGATGCAAATTTAGCTTGCTTGTCCTGCCTCCCTTCTCCCAACATAATTTGGTCACTAACCTCTGCTACTGTGCTGGTCCTCTCTGATTTCAGACAATGTCCCTTTTTTTTTTTTTTTTTCTAAAGACAGGGTCTCACTCTGTCACCAGGCTGGAGTGCAGTGATGTGATCATAGCTCACTGCAGCCTCAATCTCCCAGGCTCAAGTGATTCTTCTGCCTCAGCCTTCTGAGTAGCTGGAACTACAGGCATGCACCAATACACTAGGTTAATTTTTAAAATTTTTGTAGAGATGAGGTCTTGCTATGTTGCCCAGGCTTGGTCTCAAACTCCTGAGCTCAACAGATCTTCCTGTCTCAGCCTCCCAAAGCACTGGGATTACAGGTATGAGCCACTGTGCCCAGCTGATTGCAGACAATATCTTAGAACCTCTATTTGGTGTTCCATCAACCAAGAGTTGAGGATGTTTGTGCTTGGATGGTTCCCTTCACCTGCTGTTCCTTTTTTCTTTTTAACTGTTTCTTGTTTATTTTTTAATTGGCAAATAAAAATTGTATACATTTATGGTGTACAAATATGTTTTGAAATATGTATATGTTGCAGAATGGCCAAATCAAGCTAATTAACGTATGCATTACCTCAAATACTTACTTTTGTGTGGTGAGAACACTTCGAATCTACTCTCTTAGCAATTTTCCAAGTATACAACATGTTGTTATTAACTATAGTCACCATGCTATACCGTAGATCTTTTGAACTCATTTCTTCTGTCTAGCTAAAATTTCTTGTCCTTTGACCAGCGTCTCCCCAGTCTCCACTCCCACCCCCAGACCCTGGTCCCCACCATTCTACTCTCTGCTTCTATGAGATCAGTGTTTTTAGATTCCACATATGGGTGAGATCATGCGATATTTGTCTTTCTGTGCCTGGCTTATTTTGTGCAACACGATGTCCTCAGATTCATCCATGTTGTCACGAATCACAGGATTTCCTTCTTTGTTAACACTGTTCCATTATGTTTATAAAGCAATTTTTTTTTTATCCATTCATCCACTGATGGACACTCAGGTCCATATCTTTTATTTATTTTTTTTAGCTCCATATCTTGACTACTGTGAAAATGTTGCAGTGAACTTGGGAATGCAGATATCTCTTCAACATACTGATTTTATATCCTTAGGATACGTATCCAGGAATTGCTGGATAATGTGGCAGTTCTATTTTTAATTGCTTGAGAAACCTACATACAGTTTTCCATAATGGTTATACTAATGTACACTCCCACCAACAATGCGCAATGTTCCCTTTTCTCCACACCCTCGCCAACACTATCGTTTATCTTTTTCATCACAGCCATTCTAACAGGTGTGAGGCGGTATCTCCTTGTGGTTTTAATTTGCATTTCCCTGTTCTTCTCTTTTACTTCTGTTAAATGCAAATTTAAGTCTTCCAGGTGTATCACATACTCTTTTCTGTAATCACAATTTAGTCTTCTGTAGTTTGTGAATTTATTCCAAAATTGTAAAAAATAATAAATGAACATTTACATGTTTTGACTTTCCAGATTTAGTTCACTGTATAGCCAAAAACTACTCTTTTCTTTCCACTTTGTAGGGTCAGTGTTAGAACTCCTATGCCAGTCAAAGAATGTTTCTAGTTTTATGTTAAAATATATACTTCCTTTTTTTTTTTTTTTTTGAGACAAAGTCTTGCTCTGTTGCCTAGGCTGAAGTGGAGTGGCATGATCACGGCTCACTGAAGCCTCAACCTCTGCGGCCCAAGTGATCCTCTAATCTCAGCCTTGCAAGTAGCTGGGACCACAGCTGTGCCCCACCACACCTGGCTAATTAAAAAAAGATTTTTTTTTTTAGAGATATGGTCTCCCTCTGTTGCCCAGGCTGGCCTTGAACTCCTGGGCTGGAGAGATCATCCTGCCTCACTTTCCCAAAGTTCTGGGATTATAGGGACGAGTCACCACACCCACCCGAGATCCTCCTTTTTTAATACTCTACCAATTGTACAAAATCATGCCACATTTTAACTCGTTTCCTATTTGGTCCATGTCAGGAATAGTATTTAAGATATTTAAAACTGTAGTTTGAATTGACCATTCATGCCTCAGCCGATTCACAGGGAACTATTTTCTATTTTTTGAATAATGGTAGAGGAAAGTACCTGGTATTTTCAAAAAACTAAAACTACTCTTCTATGAATGGGAAATGAGGCTGGAACAGTCAACTCAAGCACTTAATAAAATGTCTTGAATATCATGCCAAGAAATGTGGACTTTGTAGGTGCTAGGAGACTCTTGAAGGTTTTTAAGCAATTCAAGGTACTTGGGCTAAGCCTTCTTGGAAATAATCCACCAAAGAGGGTGGCCTGCCAGGGCAAGGGAATGCCAGCAGTTAGCAGCTGAGGGTACCACTAGTTGCCCCCATAGTGCTCACCACAACAGGGAGCTGTGGTCGGAGGACCCCACGGAGCCTCAAAGAATCCATCAATAGCCCTGTGAGAGAGCTGCATTTGAACCCCTGCAGCTCAGTCCTGGCCTGTAGGGAAGAACCCTTGATCAACATTATCATCCTCCAAGACTGCATGTGAATCATCATTTATTTAATTTTATTTAAGTTGATGGATATTTGAGTACTTCCAATTCTTTTTTTTTACTGTAATAAACAACTTCATGACAGTTGTTTTGTTTATATCTTTGCATTCTTGCCTATTTTCTTCCCCTTGGGAGAGATTTATAACTTAAGAACTGCCAGGGGCCGGGCGCGGTGGCTCACGCCTGTAATCCCAGCACTTTGGGAGGCTGAGGTGAGCAGATCACGAGGTCAGGAGTTTGAGAGCAGCCTGACCAACATGGTGAAACCCCGTCTCTACTAAAAATACCAAAATTAGCTGGGTATGGTGGAGCGCGCCTGTAATCCAATTCCAGCTACTCAGGAGGCTGAGGCTGTAGAATCGCTTGAACCTGGGAGGCAGAGTTTGCAGTGAGCCAAGATTGCGCCATTGCAATCCAGCTTGGGTTACAGAGGGAGACTGTCTCAAAAAAAAAAAAAAAAAAACTGCCAGGTGAAGTGTGTGTAATCTATCTTTCCTTCCTTCTTTCTTTCTTTCCTCCCTTTCTCCTTTTTAAAATTAGTGTGTTTTATGTCTTAGAGCAGTTTTAGCTTAACGGAAAAATGAAGCAGAAAGTACAGAGGGCTCTCATATACATCCCCCTCCGACATATTTTCACTTCTTATTAACATTTTGGATTAGTGTGATACATTTGTAGTTACAATAGATTAATGGATATTGACACTTTATTAACTAAAGTCCACAGTTTACATTAGGGTTCACTCTTTGTATTACAGCTCTGTGGGTTTTGACTATGTGTAATGTCATGTATTCACCATTATAGTATTATACAGAATAGTTCCTCTGCCCAAAAAATCCCCTGTGCCTCACCTATTCATCCCTCCCTCAAATGTATATAATTTTTAAGGCTTTTGAGGACTATAGTCAAATTGCTTTACAAAATGTTTGTATCCAAACGCCAGCAGTGCGTGAGAGTCTGTTTCAGCATATCATCAATAACACTGGGTATTACTATTTTTAATGTTAGGAAAATTGATATCTCATTTATATTAGGACAAATACAAGTAAGATATAATTGTTTTGGAACTCTGTACAATGAGCTGATGACATTGTTACAATGAGAGACACTTGTTAGAGACCAGCTTAAGCAAATAATGAGATTTATTGCCTCATGCATCTGGGTGCTGGCCTCAGGGTTGATTGATTCAAGAACTCAAATGATGTCACAGAAAGTGCTATCCCTCATTCCTCTTCTATTGCAGACACTTTTTTCTAAGGAGGGAGGCATGGTTGCAAGGAGGTCTAGGCTTATATCATCTTAGCTAAGGAGGTCTAGAGGAACGAGACATCTTTGTTGTCTCTGATTTAATCCTACATTAATCAGAGCTCATTTAAGTGCCATGATAGAAACCCAATTTAAGCTGGCTTAAGCCAAAAAAAAAAAAAAAAAAAAAAAAAAAAAAAAAAAAGAATATATTGGCTCATGCAACTGAGAAGTCTAGTTGAGAGTTCTTCTTTCAGGAACAGGGGCTCAAACAATATCATCAGGACTTGCTTTTTATCTTTTGCCCTGCTCTCCTCTTTGTTGGCTTCATTCTGAGGCAGGCTTTCTCTCTTGCCTGTTGGCAAAATGATTCCTGATAGCTCCAGGGTTAAATGATTCAGCAGTCTCATGGGTCTCAAAGGGAATACCTCATTTCTAATGGGTCCCACAAAGGTTCTGAGGAAGGAAGACTTTGGTTGGCCTGGTTTCCAAATTGTGTCCATCCCTACCTCTCATTGTAGCAGAGGTATAAAAAAATCTGATGAGTTAGGATTGGGTTATATGCCACCCCTGCACAAGGGTAAGGGAAGGCATTAGCTCCCCTAAAATCACAAGGACTAATAGGGGAGAAAGAGGGTTTGTAAAAGACAAAAAAAGAGTGGATACTGTGCCAGCAAAAGAAAAAATTTATATTACAAGTATCATCAGCTCTCCCACAACCACATGTTGGAGTGTGTGAGAAAGAAGTTTTCTATCAAAAGTTGGGGAGAAGGAATAATGCATAGATAAAAGCAACACATGTCCACCACATCATTGTTTTATTTCACATTCATTCATAAACATTATTTCAGATATCTGTTGATCATTTGCATTTGGGTTTTTATGAGTTATCTGTCCATTTTGCTGTTAGGACAGTGCTTTTAAGGTGTTCCTAACATCTTAACCTTGGTCTTAATTCCTTTCAGTTTTGCATGCTGGAAATGTTTTTTTTCCAGTTTGTCATTTGCTTCCTAACTTTGTTATTTACATTTTTATTCAAGATTACTGTTTTAAATTACACATAGATCCATGCAATGGGTATTATGCTTTTACTCATCCTCATTCTAAACACTAAATAGTTGTATGGCTTAGTTATTACTCTGATTTAACTTCTGTGGCCCAGTTTTCTCATCTGTAAAATGGGCCATTGATTTTCTTCCTATTCTTCTAACATGTTTATGACTATGAAATATGATTTATTTATTTGAAAATATAGAGCTCAAGAAAGTGAATAGGAAATATTAGAGAATAGTGTTCTGAGCATTAAATATCAGAGGATCTTTAATGGTATCCCACAGGGAGTACTATGAGTGATTCATATGCAGCTTGATGTTGCTCTGTAGCCAAATAGAGCAGAATAAGCCCCTCCCCTTCCCCACCCTTTGCCCTAGCCGGCCAGGTCATGCAGCAGGCAGAGGAAATGCCTGCAGCTACACTGAATACAGATGCCAGTCAGATCCTGCAGGTTAGAGAGAGTGCTGCAAGGCTAAGCTAAACAGACCAAAGCCAGCCCCAGGTTGAACAAGAAAGCAGGCAGCCAGTATTTTCCTGAGTGTAACTGTGGGTACTGCCTCTATTGGCGGTAGAGACTTGGTACTTAAAATGAACTTCGAGCTGTTCCAAATGTACAGATTAAGAACATCTGGCATGTAGAATTAGGATTCTGATGGGAGATATATACTGATGCTGCCTGGTGTGGGACAAGAGTACATTGATGCATGGATGATGATCAGTAGTCTTGGAGAACAGAATCAAGATAGGATGAGAAAAGAAAGTATTCTTTGATTATAATGACTAAGTGTTCATAAATTCCTTCATGAGGAAGAAGTGGAAATTATCAGAGCCTCCCACTATGTACCTTTGGTATTATAGTGTATTATATATTTATTTTAAAATTGGTGTGTAGTAAAATGGATAACCATAAAAGGGCAAGCTTAGTCATGTAGCTCAAGTCCTTTTGTCACCTTTGTAAAGAACTTTTCCAGGTTTTGTTAAGTAGACATTTTTGATGTAGTTAGATTTTACCAAACTGCTAGATACAGAACTCTGGAGCCTGAGTGATACACCAAATAAACAGTCACCTTACAGGCTACTGTTTTAGTCTTATGTTAGTCTGAGTATTCTACACTTGACAAAAATCACTTTGACAATGAGAAAGTATTACATAAAAGTCATTTATCACAATCCCTCAGATCAGCAATCCTCAACCCTGGCTAAACAGTAGAACTACCTGAGAAGCTTTTTAACAACTGCTGATGGCTGGCCCAGCACCATATTAATTACATTAAAATTTCTGGAGATGGGAAGAACACTCCCCAAGTTCCCCAAGTGAACATAATGTGCAACTAGACAAAAAAGGCTGATAGGGGATTGCACAAAAAGTGGGGTCTAGTCAGGTCTTAGAGGATAACTGTGTCCACAGTGTAACACTGTGTTACAAGCTGAGGCATGGGGTATAATTCAGGTATTCCCTTCGAAGCCTACACAATTGTTAGCAAACTATCTAGTGGTCTCTGGAAGATATTTTTGGGGAAATATTCAGATGTTTTTTGAATACTATTTTGTTGAAAACAATTCAGGAAATTTCCCCCCAGGAAAACTTCTGATTTGCAGCATGCAACATAGAGCCTGAGCACTCTTCCCCGGCTTCCCACTGTACTTGGAACAGGAACCAGACTCCACCGTGGCTTCCACAGCCTGGCATGACCTTTCTCCTTGCCTTGACTGAAAGCTGTATTTAATGCCACCATCTCATATTTTATAATGCAGCAGCCACACTGGGCTTCTTTCAGTTTCTCCTACTTGGGAAACTCGAGCTTTCTACATGCTATTCCCTCTGCGTGGATTAAGTTCTCCCACCTTTCTTCTTGGTTTCTTCTTATCCATTCTTCAGCGATCACTTCCCCAGAGACCTTCCCAGACAACCTCTCTAAGCCCTAATCTACCCCCATCTCTAAATTTTTTAAATTTATTTATTTATTTATTTTTGAGGCAGGGTCTCGTTTTATTGCCCAGGCTAGAGTACAGTGGCATGATCATGGCTTACCTCCCTAGCTCAAGTGATTCTCCCACCTCAGCCTCCCAAGTAGCTGGGACTACAGGTGCAGCCTCCCGAGTAGCTGGAACTACAGCCAAACCACCATGTCTGGCTAATTTTTGTATTTTTTGTGGAGAAGGGTTTTGCCATGTTGCCCGGGCTGGTCTCTAACTCCTGGGCTCAAGCGATCCTCCTGCCTCAGGCCCCCAAATTGCTGAGATTACAGGCATGAGCCATTGCGCCTGGACCCTATTAATAAATAAAACATCACCTTCTCCCCAGCACCTACACATGGCACATACTGGGTATTCAGTAAACATCTGTTGAATGAGTGAATGAAAGACTGTTGAAGGCAGTGTGGCAGAGTGGAAAGAACACTGAATTTTTCCGCAAAAGGCCGGATTCTAGATGGGGTTCAATCCTTTAAATGTTCTAAGACTATTTCTTTGTCTTTAAAGTATAGTACCTGTCCTACTTAGTTCTGTACCTGTAAATATAAAATGGAAGTTGGTATATAAAAGTGTCATAATAATCATAAAATGCCACTGCAAATGTAAGTTAATGTACTATTCATGGACTCAAAAGGAAATCACATATAGTCAATCAGCAAAATGTTTTTCAGTGCTGAATTATTGACACTGTACTGCATTCATCACTATTATCAACCTTTTAAAGGTAAGATTTAATTTTTTTAATTTTTAAAATTATTATTATTATTTTATTTGTAGAGATGGGTTGCCCAGGCTGGCCTCAAGTGATCCTCCCGCCTTGGTCTCCCAAAGCACAGAGATTACAGGTGTGAACCACCGTTCCCAGACAAATATCAGATTTTATGAGTAAGGATGAAAAGTAAATAATTCTAGGTGAAATATTTTTATACTGCAAAAAGCTTCCTATGTCCACGTAAAAACCATCTTATTTACTTAACAAGAGATCTCTGAGACACACAGTCTTTATGAAAAGCTAATTTTAAAGGATATAGTAGATGCATATGCTGTCAACATAATGTCTCATATAATAAGAGTTCAACTAACATTTACCAGACAAATTTTTGAGATGGAGTCTTGCTCTTGTTGCCCAGGCTGGAGGCTACAATGGCATGATCTCGGCTCACTGCAACCTCTGCCTCCTGGGTTCAAGCGATTCTCCTGCATCTGCCTCCTGAGTAGCTGGGATTATAGGTGCCTGCCACCAAGCCCGGCTAATTTTTGTATGTTTTAGTAGAGACGGGGTTTCACTGTGTTGGCCAGGCTGGTCTTGAAGTCCTGACCTCGTGATCCGCCCCCCCTCGGCCTCCCAAAGTGTTGGGATTACAAGCGTGAGCCACCATGCCCGGCCAAATTTTGCTTTTCTTATAACATCCATATCTAATTGTAATTCATGGTCAAGATACTTTAATACTTAAGTCATCTGTTGAGTGAAGGGTACTAACAGTAATTAAACAGCCTGTCATTTAGGGGTTTAGCATGCACCTAAAAGTATTTTAGAAGTGTGTCACCGAAATGAAAGACATTTAGGTGGCACTAGCTTCCTGAAGACTGAAAGAGTAACCCTACCCACGGGAACTGCCTTGCCTTGGGTAGATGGTAGGTGGCAGCAACAGACCAGAAATTATGGTTAACTAGAGCGCTAGACATGTTCTTTTTAATGTTATTCTATCATTTTTTTCCAAAATAAAATAATATAGCTGCAAACCAAGTAGATAGTAAAAATAAATAAGCATGATGTGACTAATTTGCATAATACAGGCTACCTAAGCCTTTATTTATTCTATAATCTTTCAACAGCAATTTATTTTTCAACAGCTCTAAGCTTGGTTTTGTTACTATTCTTAGCTTGTTTTTTTTTGTTACAATCTTTATTTCTTCTCTTTGTAAGTGTTGAAAATTTTAATGCTCCTCTATTGACAGAAAGGGATGGCATATTTGAACTTTCATTCTGCCTAACCTTTGTTCTATTCCTGTTGTGAAGATTTTGCCCCAGACATTGCACTGGTCAAGGTTTAGTTACTGAAAAAATAATCCATTCCAGACAGTTTAAACAGAAATTGTTTAACACTGGGCATTAAATGGCTTATGAAGTTGTTGGCAGGGCTAATGAAAGAGGCTCTTGGTCACTCACTCTCAATCTGAGCTTCGTATCACAAGCATCTGGGTTGCTTTTTTAGAATATCAATTCGGGAATCCATTGCTGACATAATGAATCAAAACCTTTGGGCATAAACTCCCCTGGAAATTCAAATGTTGAGATCAGATAGAGATCCACTTTGAGGCTGAAGTTTTAGGATGGACTTTTACTGCAGAACTGGGCCATCAAGGGATCTACTGATCCTGCAATAGGAAACCATTTGCTGAATTGGGAAGTTGTTGCTATAGCTGCTGGATTCAAAACAATGCATCCCCTGCCATCATCAGAAGCTGCCATGCTCTGGAAACTGCCACATCCAAAAAGCTGCCACTCCGGGACCCGCCAAGCTTGCTATGATATTAATTAGTAAAACAGATGTCCTGTGCCCTGCCTCTTGGTGCCCCACAAGCCAGTGAACAGTCAGTTAACAATGGCACAGAATAACTAAACTCCTCCGCGACTGTGCTTATCACAGAACCAGCAGCAGATGGCCCCTGCCTCACTCATACCCTCCCTCCACATCTACAATTTTAATTCTGCTGGTGGAAACTCTATCACATGAGGAATCTTAATTGCAAGAATGTCCAGGGTTTGTAGCTTTAAACTTCCCAGCCCTACAGAAACAGAAAGTCCAGCTAGAAAGAGATTGCAATGGATGTGTGTACCAATCCACTGTTTCACCAAGGACATCATGAAGTAGATGAGTTATTTTAAAGACACGAAGGCCCTTGTTGTCACACTAGCCCAGACCTGCGGGTAAATCTGAGTCAAGCCCTTTCGGGAGTTTAAGTGTGTGTGAACTAAGAAGAAATCAGGACGAATCTCTTCCCCGGATAGGCTCCTTGCTTCCATAGGAAAAGCAAACCTGATACCAGCTGAAGTCCACGCCTGGGGGATATTAGGAAGGGAGGGGTCTGTGTTGCCTACTTTTTGTCTGAGCTGGTGGCTGGCCCTTTTTCCCCCGAGTTGGTGGCTGGCCCTTTTTCGCCTTCCCTGTCTTGTTGTGATAGCTCATAGTCTGGGCACACTCTGTTCAAAATCTGACTTTGCCATTTTTTGCCTCCTTGGTGTGTCCAAGCAGTGGCATCTGTGATTAGTTGCCTCCTGATGTAATATTAACTTTACCTTTTTCTCACTCAATACCTTCAGATGCCTACTTCCTGTTTTCTAAAGGACTCAATGCTAATTATAATGATATTTTCCTTTACTTTTCCTTACTTCTAGATATATTCTTTTGCATTTTATATTATTTCTTCCTCTGGAAATGAACTATTTCTGTAATACATTCTTTTCATTAATAAAGGTTTTAGTATATTTGATTATCTACTTGTTCTTCTTTATGCCAGTTCAGATATGCTTTAGTGCTTTGAAAGTTAACTGTTTGGTCCTATCTATGCCTGAGCATGACTTCAGGGTTGCCTCGAAATTTAAATTATATGCCCACAATTCACAATTGCAAAAATATGGAACCAGCCCAAACGCCCATCAATCAATGAGTAGATAAAGAAAATGTGGTATACATATATATGCACATATACCATGGAATACTACTCAGCCATAAAAAGAAATGAAATAATGGCATTCACAGCAACCTGGATGGAACTGGAAACTATCGTTCTAAGTGAAGTAACCCAGGAATAGAAAACTAAATATCGTATGTTCTCACTGATAAGTGGAAGCTAAGCTATGAGGATGCAAAGGCATAAAAATGACACAGTGGACTTTGGATACTCGGGGGAAAGGGTGGGAGGGGGTGAGGGATAAAAAAACTGCATATTGGGTACAGCGTACACTGCTTGAGGGATGGGTGCACCAAAATCTCAGAAATCACCACTAAAGAACTTATTCATGTAACCAAACATCACATGTTCCCCCAAACCTATTGAGATAAAACATAAATTTAAAAATAAAAAAAATTATATGCCTGTATACTGAAATGGTGAATCTGCTCATGCACCACATTGAGAAATTATTTTGAAATGTTATTATGAAAACATATAATAGGATACTAAAATAAACTTTCAGAAAGTAAAATTTTAATTTTAGAATAGTTGTTGATTAAAAAAATTATTGTGAATATAGTAGAGTTCCCATATGCCCCACATTCAGTTACCCTATTATTAATATCTTAATATTAATAAATAGTATTTTCTACCATTGTTAATGATAAATGGTATATTTGTTGCAATTAATGAACCAATATCAATATCTCATTATTAACTAAAGTTTGTACTTTATTCAGATGTCCTCAGTTTTCACCTCAAGTTCTTTTTCTGTCCCACGATCCCACCAAGGATACTAACATTGCATCTAGTCATCAGGTCTCCTTAGGCTCCTGGTAGATGCTTCTCAGGCTTTCTCTGTTTCTGATGACCTTGACAGTTTTGAGGATTACTAGTCAGGCATTTCGTAGAATTAAATTATATTCTCTTCAATTTTTAATTTTATTTTTAAACTTCACGTAAGCATTTTAAACACACACAAAATTAGAGAATAGTATAATGAATCCCCATCTACCCAAGACCCAGCTTCAAAACTGTCACCATTTCCAAGTTTATTCTATCTAAACTGTCCTACCTGCCAACCCTGAGGATTTTAAATCAAGCGCCAAATATTATATCATAGTACCCTTATGTATTTCAGTACATGCCTCTAACAGATAAGGCCTTTAAAGAATATACCCACGATGCCGTTATCACAGTGACAAAGTTAATGATGATTCTGTAATGTTTAGTAGTCAGCCTACATTCAAAGTTCCCCAATGGTCTAAAAAATGTCTTGTTCAAGTTTACGTACTCAAATCAGGATCCAAACAAGGTATATGTATTGAATTCTGTTGATTTGAAAAACAGGACTTTTATCTCTGCTTTAGCTGAGACCTGGGACTGAAAACAAAACCATAGTTATAGCTACATTTTGAGATGAGGTGCTAAACTCCCTGTGTTGTGCAAAAGGGGCATTTTAAAAGAGTTTTAAGATTTTTAGTCCAACACCCACCTCAGGATCCAGAGTATTTCTTTGGGGAAATGCAGTAGGGAACTGTGGCTTTTTTCCCTCCCACCGTGGGAGAGAGAAGCAAGGTGTCGCCCCATCACCCCAAGCTCAGTGAGACAGTCTTTAAGAAAACCTCTCTGAGAACTCGGTGTTTACTCCTTGGAGCTAGAAAGACACGTTGACCGATACCTGAGGAAAGGAAAGAGGAAAGGCTGTGGCTGGAGATGTCTGAAAAATGACTGCCAAGCAGAGCAAAGAGAGGTGGTTGAGTTCAGAGCAATCTGTGACTTCTATCACTGGTAGGGCAGAGATATGAGCCTCCATAACTAGATATGATGGGAGGGAGGGATGTGGTCCTGTGGTCAGTTTAAAATGGATCCCACCCAGATGGCCTTCTTGCTGGGGGCTAGTCTCTTTCAGCAGAAAGAGGTTGGAGGTGTAGCATTTAATACAGAAGCTGGGATGGGGCACTTAATACAGAAGCTGGGATACGGCTGTAGAGAGAACTGGCATAGCCTAACAAGGGAGCAGCAGTCAAGAATTCCAAGTGGGGTGAAGCTCTGAGTCCCTACAAAAAGAATCCTGCAAAATAAGTAGTCAGCTTTGAATATTCACCATTCCCAGAGAGCCTAAATGGATTTCAAAAGTACTTGTTTGTTCCCATTTTCAGCTAGGTAGGGGGAAACTAAGGCAAGGGCGGGGGGGACCAACCATGCCCTCTCCTCACTTCAGCATACTCAGTACCAAGCTGGGAGAGGGAAGACACTTTAATGTTACATATCCTTCTGACTTTTTAATATTAAATTGGACTGTGACAAAGAAAAATTGGTTCAAACCTGGGACAGAATCTCCTTCTGGAAAGAAATCTGCTTTGCTGATAGAACGCTTAAGCAATTTTCTGATAACTTGTAATAAGATTAAAGCCTCTTCTGGGAAACCAGCTACTTGCTCAGCTGACCAACAGTCTGCTGTCTAATAATTTTGAATCCAGTTTAGTAATAATTAAGCATTTATTTTACCTATAAAGTATTCCTTCCACAGGGAATCATTGAATGGAAGTTAACAATTTGTATCATGTTGGGTCCTGCACTTTCAACATAATGATTACAAAAATATTTCAGGGATAGAAATATGCCGATGGATAAAGTAATTTTGCTTGTCCTTAAAATCAATCATATCTTAATATCAAATTTCTGAGAAATAACTCTAGCAATCACTTTCAAATGACCCCATGTGGTGATGAATTTGAGAGTTACAGGCGGTACCTCCTCACTTCAAATGTCATTTGGACACAGAGTACTATCTATCCTTATTTCACAGGTTCTGTGTATTATCTATCCTTATTAGATATACACATATAGAGATGTGTATTATCTATCATATGTATTATTGTCATATATAGATAATACACACATGTAAATGTGTATTATCTATGCTTATTTTACAGATTCTGGTGCCTGGTCATCTTTTACAGTCATATTATATAAGCAGGATTTTCCCTTTCTATGTATTACCTTAAACATGATCCTAGATCACAAACCAATTGTCTTAAAGGGTTCAAAGAAGGGAATTAACAGGTTTTAATTTCAACCAGTAGTAACACAAAGCCTAGTTATTCCAAAGCTGTTGCTCAGGTTACAAAACCAAAGCTTCATATAATTTAATCATGCATTGTACGTGAAGGACCTGCATACATTTGTTTGTATAAAAAGCCAAATAATCATATACAGTCTTGGTAGTAATATATTTAAATTGGCACAGCCCTTCGAAAAACAGTTTGGCAATATATATCAAGAACAATACATGCTTATACCCTTGATTTGATATTCCAACTTCAATTAAAAATATGTGGGAAGGAAGCTACATGCATAAATATTTTCTTTTTTATGGTAGTGAAAAATGAGAAGCAGCCTGAATATGTAACAACAGGGACTCACAGTAGGTAAATGTGTGGTTTATCCACCTAATGTGATTTATTAAAATATTCATTGGAAAGACTACAACATGGAAAAGAAGAATAAAAGTTGCATTCATACTATAATTACTTAAAACATATATTAGAAACATTTGCGTACATTTTCTAAAGACTTAGAATCACATATTATTGGCAATCCATGCCGAAATGGTACATAAAAATTTCCGTTTGCTAATGTTAGACTGCTGGCAGACACAGCAAATTTTTCAGCTAAGCAAATGTCAATTGTTGCTATAGCACTTCTAAAATTCAAATAAACCTACCTAATAATTGGCAGGGGTACTCTTGGGTAAATGTGGAGAAAAGTCAAAGATTAAGAAAAGGAAAATGTCAACCTTCCCAGTCAGTGACTACTTAGAAGCTATGCTATAGTTGTCCGTTGTTATCTGCAGGGGATTGGTTCCAGGAATCCCCTTGGATATAAAAATCCTGGAATGTTCAAGTTCCTAATAGAAACATACATACACATATTGTCCTGTATGTTTTAAGTCATCTCTAGATTATTTAAAATACCTAATGCGATGTAAATGCTATTATACTGTATTGTTCAGGGAATGATGACAAGAAACAAGAGTCTGCATGAGTTCAGTAGAGATGACTTTTTTTTTTTTTTTTGGAGACAGGGTCTCGCTCTGTCACCCAGGCTGGAGTGCAGTGGCCCCATCTCGGTTCACTGCAACCTCTGCCTCCTGGGCAAAAGTGATCCTACTCCCACCTCAGCCTCCCAAGTAGCTGGGACTACAGGCACAGGCCACCACAGCCAGGTAATTTTTGTATTTTTTATAGAGGCGGGGCTTCACTGTATTGTCCAGGCTGGTCATCTCTAACTCCTGGGCTCAAGCTGTTCGCCAGCCTTGGCCTCCCAACATGTTGGGATTACAGGTGTGAGCCACCGTGCAGGCCAAGATACTTAAAAAAAAAAATTCTGTTTGAGGTTGGTTGAATCTATGGATGCAGAACCTGCTAATATGGATGGCTGACTGTACTAGTGGGGAAGGCACACTAAATAACTAGGATAAAATCTGGTAACCACTCGCAGAGATGACTGAGCGGGATAGAGGAAGATTTTGGAGAAGGGGGAGGCATTCCAGATAGAGTAGACCCAAGAGAAGAGGTTCTTTGTTTTAAACCTCTGTACTGAGAGAGCAGAATAACCGAGAGTGTCTTGACTATAGTTTAAATGCAGGATTTGCATAAGCAGGTAGTGGAGGCTGAAGACCTTAGGTTCTATTTTGAACGTATTAAGAAGAATGATTTAAAATTTATGTTGATTCTAGAGTCTGCATGGAATGAACTGGGAGATGGAAGAGTTAAGTTACGAGGTCTCTGCAATAAACTAAGACCTTCACTACATAAATTAACTGCACTAGCATTTCCAGAATATATTTTACTTTAAAAATGATTTAACCATATTCTAACCAAGTTTTGGATGATTTTTGGTGTTCTCTAATAGAATTGGCACAGTATATTGAATCAGATTGCAGTGGATTATTTTAACTGTGTGGCCAGATGCAGAGAAATATGCCAAGGTATTGAGGCCAACAAATAGAGAAATGCAAATTCTCACAAGTAAACAGATTTGGAATTCTAGAAGGTGGCAGATTATCAATAGCTGTATCCAGATCCTTTGGAGTGGTGGATGGTTTTATATTAAAACTTGGTAATAGCTCACCAGGAAATAAAATTCAGCCTTAACCTTCTAGGCAATTGGGATGTTGCTGAGAATAATCAAGACAATCAAAAAAAAAAAAAAAAAAAAAGGTCGGGTGTGGTGGCTCACACCTGTAATCCCAGCACTTTGGGAGGCCGAGGCAGGTGGATCACCTGAGGTCAGGAGTTTGAGACTAGCCTGGACAACATGGTGAAACCCCGTCTCCACTAAAAATACAAAAATTAGCTGGGTGAGGTGGCGCATGCCTGTAATCCCAGCTACTTGGAAGGCTGAGGCAGGACAATTTCTTGAACCTGGGAGGTGGAGGCTGCTGTGAGCTGAGATTGCACTACTGCACTCCAGTCTGGGAGACAAGAGCGAAACTCCGTCTCAAAACAACAGCAACAAACCCACACCAAAAAAACTGTATGAACAGCAGACAAGATGACTACAGTGTTTTTCTTTTGTCTGTTTCCACTAGCATAAAAGACTTCATATTTTTAAAAAGTTTCTTATCCCAGAAAATATCACAATCCGTTTAGAATACGAGTTCAGGCTCAATTCCTTCCTGACTGTACAGAAGAGCTCAAGATGTTGCAGACCTTATCTTAAAAGCTGGCTTGGTAGTCACCTAAACATTTCATAAATAATTTACTAACTCTCAAAACACTAAACACGCAGGCCCTTGATTTCAAAAGCCAATCTTGCTGGGATGGAGTGGGGTGGGGGACCTGGGATGGGGGATGAAAGGGGTTGGAAATGGGGAGATATTGGTCAAAGGGTACAAAGTTTCAGTTAGTGTGAATAATAAGTTCTGAAGATCTGTTGTCTAACATGGTGACTGCGATAAATGTATTGTGTCCTTAAAAATTGATGAGAGTAGATCTTAAATGTTCTCTTCATTAAAAAATGGTGCAATGGATACGTTAATTTCATTGATGTAATCATTTCACAATGCATACATATGTCAAAACATCACCTTGTACACCACAAATATACCCAACTTTTATTTGTCAATTACACTTTAATAAAGCTGGGGGAAGCCACTCTTTTTTTGGGCACAGCATCCGGCTTTTATTTACTAACTTTGAGAACAGAGTACCTTGATCAATTAAATGGTAGGGAGCGCTGTGGAGACAGCATCCTCCCCAGTCCGGGAAGAGAGGCCTAGGATGCCTGGGGCCCAGCGGCCTCTTCCCTCCTGGCGTCCCCGGCTGCCCTCGCTCCCAGGCCCCGCAGTCTCATTTGCCGCTTCCGACGCGTGACCCCGGCGCGCTAGCGTCCGGGACCGGTGACAGGCGCGGGGTGCGCCAAGCAGTCCCATGTGTCCCCTCCCTCTCGCAGCCGCCGCAGTCGCTGCGCCCCGAGCCCCTCTCCGGCTCCTCAACAGAGGGCTCGCCGCCGCCATGTCTACCGCCCAGTCACTCAAATCCGTGGACTACGAGGTGTTCGGAAGAGTGCAGGGTAGGAGGCCCCTCTACGGTGGGAGATCAAAAAGGTTATGGGAGGAAGGGGAGAAAGCTGTGAGAAGCGCCTCCCACCTAAAGTATGCCTTTTCCCGTTGTGGCTGGGACTTCCGCTCCGCCATGACACAGCAGCGGCGGCGGGGAGGGAGGCGAAACGCGCATGCGCCCGAGGACTTGGACGGGCGGAAGTACGGGAATGGGGAGGGAAGTGGGGGAGCGGGAGAGGAGGGGTCAGGGGACTGCTGAGGACCAGAAGTGGGCGGCTGCTGGGTGCGGGAGTAAGCGGCACGGGGGAATGTTGAAGTTGGGTAGGAAAAGAAGAGGGTCTTTTAACTAGTGGTCTCGTTGCTTGCCACTGAAGCTACCTGGGCTTGACTTGAGTTTTAGGAAGGACACTTAGATGGTTTAAGGTTAATTTTTCAGAGGTCAAACCTTTTTTTAGACCTCTTTGTAGCTCTTAAAAGAATGAAATTGTTATCTAATTTTTGTTTCATCCTAAGTTTAAGTAGTTGCCAAGTTTGTAATGTCTGGCTTGTTGAAAATATTGATATTTATAAATGAAAATATTAAGTCACTCTGAGATTTATGCAATGGAATATAAATAGGGTAGTGATTTAACATCCACCATCTTCATTTAAAATAAAACTCTTCAACAATGGGAAATTTTACTCATTTCTTTTCCTCTTTGAATTTGATTTTCATTTCACTTTTCCCACCGAATTACCCCATTGTTTTGCTTGAGGGTTTTTTTTTTTTTTTTGCTCACCCTATCATACTTTTCTGCAATATGTATATGTACATATATGCACATGTATGAATAAGTGTAATGCTTTTTCTTAATTTCCTTTGACAATAAGGCTCTCTTAGAAACAAATGCTGGTTCTTTGGTGCCAAAAAGAAGAACTAGCGCTCAAAGAATTTTCTCAGCAAGGCAATTTTACCTCTATAGAAGGGTGCGACTCGCGGATGAAGCAATGGCAACGGCACACCTGAACAGGGGAGGGGAAGGGGTTCTTATTCCTGATGCAGGTAGCCTCTACTGCTGTGTCTTTCCCCTACTGGCTAGGGTTGGACCGCACAGTCTAAGCTAATTCCGACTGGCTATTTTAAAGAGCAGGCGTACGAGCTCAAGTGGCGGGGTGAATAATTTGGCAGGAAGGGTGGTTACAGAACAGGTGACTCAGGATGATTCAGGTCAGAGCAGGTGACCAGGGGTGACTCAGGATGGAGCAGGTGACCAGAGGAATAGAGGTGAACTACTGATTAGAACTGGTGGAAAAGGTTGTTTACTGAAACTAGAGGCGAGGAGAACGAGGAAGCTAGACTTTAGAGCGCAAAGAACCGAGCATACTGACATACTGATTCTTTGAAGAGAAATTTAGAACTCATTGTATTCAACAGCTCCAAGTATTAAATTTTTTGTCTGGATGGAGTTATTATTGAAATTATTATTAGAACACTAGATGAAAATATAAAAAGTATGATAAACATTATTAAAATTTAAAGGTAAATTTGTGTTAGAAGTTTATTTTTTTAATTTTATTTTTTTAAGAGATGGAGTCTTGCTCTGTCACCCAGACTGGAGCAAGTGCAATGGCACAATCATAGCTCACTGCAGCCTGGAACTCCTGGGCTCAAGTGATCTTCTGCCTCAGCCTTCTAAGCAGCTGGGACTACAGGCTCATGCCACCATGCATGACTAATTTTTAAAATTTTTTTGTAGAGAAAGGGTCTCTGTTGCCCAGGCAAGTCTCGAAATCCTGGCTTCAAGGGATCCTCCTGCACTTCGCCTCCCAAAGTGATGGGATTACAGGCGTGAGCCACTGCACTCAGCCAGAAATTTATTAATGAGAAGACTGGGGGTGTTTATGGAACCTCGGTTGGTGGAAGAGTTGAATTATCCTTGTATTTGGTACTCTAGAGGTTTTTACACTTTGGTGCAGTGTACCAGGGTAAGATTAAGAATGGGTAAAAGTGTGCCTTTTGTAAAGAGATCTTTTTTTAATTTAATTTTATTTTTATTTCCTATAGGTCTTTGGAGAACAGGTGGTGTTTGATTACATGAATAAGTTCATTACTGGTGATTTCTGAGATTTTGGTGCATCCATCACCCAAGCAGTTTACACTGTACCCAATGTGTAGCCTTTTGTCCCTCACCCCGTCCTACCCTTTCCCCCCTGACTCCCCAGAATCCATTGTATCATTCTTTTATGCCTTTGCATCCTTATAGCTTAGCTCCCACTTAGAAGTGAGAACATAGAATGTTTAGTTTTCCATTCATGAGTTACTTCACTTAGGATAACAGGAGACCTTTCTTTCAAAGGATGATTGTGCAAAGGGAGGTAGGAAAGGAGTCTCAGGTCAGTTTTAGGAAGGAATATATGTGGAAGTTGAAGATCTGGAAATTGATTCCCTGAACATTATGCATGGATCTGTACTCTTTAGAAAGTCTTTGAGTGAACCCAGCGGTATGTTATCCTGCTTTGAAAACTGCCACAATAAGTCACCAAAACACGTAATGTAAAATACGAAAGTGGTGGCAAAGATCACCTGACAGAATGGTCCACTAGAGACAAATGGCAGTAGTGAAGGAGTCTGTGTGTGTGTGTGAATGTGTGACATTTATTATGGGTGTTCTTTGTGCTGAGCATTTCACTGTTGTTTACTTAATCATCACAATTTTGTGAGATGCATGTCTTATTCCTGTTTTAACAAGGACAAAACAGGTGCACAGAGATTCAGTAACTTGGACAAGCCCTTAGTTGACAAATGGGATTTGATTCTACATCTCTCTGACTTTAAAAGTTGTGCTTTCCCATTATAAGATGTTATCTGCTATTACATTATATATTTCTATTAACTATACAATTCCACTTTTGTGCACATAGTGGTAACACGGTATATAATCAATTTGGACCAGCAGTAAAAATATGGAAAAGAGAAACGTACTATACATAAATAGTGGGGTTTAAAAAGTCAACTTTAGGGCAATAATTCCTATAGTTTGCAGTATGCTAAATGGAAGAGAGTACATGCCCACTATTGATCAAGGCATAGTATGTAGTACAAACTCACCATCACATATTTACATACATCTACATTGACATTCCCTGACAATTTAGAATGTGCCAAGCTCTGTACTCAACATTTTACATATATTGTCTCATTTAATCCTCATCCCTGTAACTGCAATGGTTTTTCTCATTTAACAGATGGAGACATTGAGGCGTGGGGAAGTAACTTCTTTCCCAGTTATACACAAGTTAAGAAGTGGGATTTGAATCTTAGTAGTCTTTTTTTTTTTTTTTTTTTTTTTTTTTTTTTTAACAGGGTCTCATTATGTCACCCGGGCAAGATCATAGCTCACTGCAGCCTTGAGCTCCTGGGCTCATATGATCTTCCTGCCTCAGCCTCCTCTTGAGTAGTTGGGACTACAGGCATGAGTCACCATGCCCAGCTAACTTTTTAATTTTTCCTTGGTAGAGAGGGAGTCTCACTATGTTGACTAGGCTGGTTTTGAACTCCTGGCCTCAAGCAAGCCTCCCACCTCGGCCTCACAAAGTTCTGGCCTTATAAGCATGAGCCACTAGCCTGGGCAACAGAGTGAGACTGTCTCTAAAGAAACAATAAAATAAATAAAGTATGGAATAATAAAATTTTAGTGAAAACTGTCTTGTTAGAAATAATGGCTATGAAAGTAAATTCGCAATGGAAGAACCTATAATTGGGAACATTTATTATGGACAAAATACGGATTGATAAAGTCATCATTAAAATATTTGAGTGGAAACTATTCCCAGTGAAAATTGTTTCAATGACATGAAAGTGAACATGGAAAAAATGGAAAATGTTTTAACCCTCCTGTATGGAAAATTGATCAATGAATTAAATTGGCTTGCTTGAGTTTATTGCAGAAAACGTTTTCCAACCAAAAATGATGTGTTGTTAGTATAGGGACCGTACAACTGGTTTAAGCCAATATGGATACATTATTATGAACTAAAGTCCTTACTTTTTTCAAGGTTTCCTTAGTTTTTACCTAATGTCTTTTTTTTGGTTCCAGGATCCCATCCAGATACATTTAGCCCCCTTGCCTCCTCAGGCTCCTTGAGGCTGTGACATTCTGTTAGACTTACCTTGTTGTCGATGACGTTGGCAGTTTTAAGGAGTACTTTGAGGTCAAGTACTTTGTAGAATGCTCCCCAATTGGGATTTGTCTGATATTTTTGTTATGATAAGACTGGGATAATGGGGTATTGGAAGGAAGACCACAGAGGTGAAGTGCTGCTCTTGTCACACCTATCAAGGGTATATACTGTCAATCTGACTTATCACTGTTGATGTTAACCTTGATCACCTGGCTGTGATAGTGTTTGTCTGGTTTCTCCACTCTAAAGTTACTCTTTTTTTTCTCTCTCTCTTTTCATCCTGTACTTTAAAAAATCTTCACATTCTCAAGGAGCTCCACGTTTTTTCCCCATCAACTTCCCTTGCATCAAGGACTTTGGGAGAGGGTTAAGAGAGCTGGGGACTGAGCCCCTGTGCTTTTAGAGTGTTTGTAACTGTGGCCTGGTTTATAATGTTTCTATAGATGTTTAATTATATTTACATCTAGAATAATATAATCTGAAAATTTGAAAGGGAAATTGATTATGCTGTGTATAGATGCTTTGATGCTTTACCAGCTCTCAGGGGAATACTAATGACACTCCTAGAAATGCATTGTGACTATCTGTTGGTATACATGTGCTTAGAATTTTTTTTTGACTGAGTTTTTTTAGAATAAGAGTAGCTTATTTGACTACTGATGACACAGAATTCTTTCAGTGCCACTTTGCCAGCCAGAAATCTCCACGGCTAGTGGCACCTCTGCCCAGGCTTTGCTTGGGCCCACTGGGCTTACTCTGCCCACTTGGCCCAGCAGACTGCGCTCAGGCTGTGCTACTGGTCTGGATCCTGCGCTTGCCTTGGCTCTGTGGTCAGCCCGCAGCTGGTCCAGGGGTGCCGTGACCAACTTCTACCTTGGATGCTGGTGTCTGGATGAGGGGGATGTGGCAGTGCCCAATAACTTGGAGATGCCAGCAACCACAGAGCCCCAAGGTGTGTTACAGCTTTTGCTTGGGGAGTCCTGAGGCCTGAGCCTCCAGAAAGTGTTACACTGTCGTTCATTTCTGCTGTCTGCAGCTTCAGTGAATGGGAGCGTGTCACAACTCATTGGGTCCTGCTGCCTGCAGCTCAGCAAATGGGGGCATGTTGGCACACAATGGTTTTTTCACTCCTATAGCTCGGCGAGCATGAGCATATGTTACAGCTCTTTTTGCACCTGCCATTCGCTCTTGTCCCATGACCAAGAGGAATGAGGTACGCGGACACTGGAGAGTGAACAAGGCAGAGAAGAATTTTATTGACTGACAGAAAAGCTCTCGATAAAGAGAGGGGACCCGAAGTGGGTAGCCCTCTGTGTGAGAGGGGGCCTGAAAGTGGATAGCCATCTGTAAGGCTGAGTCTGGGGTTTTTATGGGCTCAGAATGGGGTGTATGCTAATTGTTCCATGGGTGGGCCTGGAAAAAGCACCATTCAGTTGGCTAAAAGGCATCGAGGAAGTTCTCACTCTGGTTGTGGACTCCACCTGGAACTGGCAACTCGGTTTCAGGTTTCACTTGAAGGTCTGGTTTCACCGGAGACCTGTCCCTGTCTACCGAGGAATTTGTCTGTTTCCTACTGCTATAACTGAGATGAATACCATATTTCTTAAATATTGCTTAAAATGAAAACTGGGATGAATTATTAAATGGCTTTGTCAGATAATGCATGATTTAGAAGTACACATTTTTCTTACATAGACAAGTAAATGGAAAAGCTGTGTTTTAGAGGTTGAAAATATTAAGTACCACCATTAAAGTCAAGAAACATAAATATGGTTAACTCTAATTCCCTCTCCTGTCTTTGTTCTTATAGTATTTTATTTATAGTAGTTATACTTTGTGTTTATCCTTTTAATCATTCTGCTTTCAGCTACAGTTATCTGTGTACACTTGTATGTGTCTCTCACTAGAAAATAATGACAGTATTTTGAAGGTCAGGCTGGTGGCTTGTTTTCATATCCCCTACACGGCTACGCCTCTAGTGGGTCCTTCAAAAGTGAACTGAATTAAATTGAAGTATTTGGGGATATCTGGCTTGGAGAAGAAATTGTAGTGTGATGGCTGTTTTAACTGTTTGAAAGATGCCGTGGTGTATGGCTCCAGGGAACAGAACCTGGACTGATGGTGAAAGGTTAAGTAAGGCAGAATTTTATTCCACATAAGGAAAGCTTTGTAACAATTAAAGATATTTACAGTCATTAAGGGCTGCTTTGTAAGGCAGCATATAGATCACTTCCTGCATTCAAAATTGACACATGCAGTCAGATCCCAGGATGAAATGGTAGGTTACAATATAAAAAATAGGATTTTACATGAAAAGGTGTTGACATTTAAAACTCATCACAGGTTTCTTTAAATATCAGTGTGTGTTTGTCAATTCAAAGTATGATTTACTTTGCAAACATTCCTCTCAGGGTTTCTCACTGACACCTCTTTCCACAAAGTGAGGTACAGTTGTAGTGGACTGGACCTTGACTGAGCAGCATATCGTGCTGGAGTCTTTTATCACCAAAAGGGCTGATGTCTGCCCCAGTTTCCAGAGCAGAGTGTCTGTAAAAAACCTGCATGTGTCATATCAGCTTTCCTTCTCTTCAGCAAGTGAGGTGGAAAAAGTATGGGGAGGCCACGAAAGCCCATAGATAAATCTCCTACAGAAGCCCTGTCCCAAGAGGGCTGTGTTCCAGCCAACACTGATAAAGTGCAGAAAAATGTCTCCACATCTACCTTTTCTTTCTATATAGATATCTATCTGTTGTGCAGTATGCTTCATACTAGGAATCAGGACTCTCAGAAAGATTCTGGGAAAATTCCTGGTGGCTTATGAAACTTTGAGCAGTTGATTCCTGCATGGTTCAGTGCCTTGCAGAGTTAATGGGCTAGAAGTCTTGAGACTCCTTGGCTCACCTTCCTCCCAAGGCTTTAAAATAAGAGTTGTAGTTTGAGGGGCCCAACAAATAACACCTATCTTCATTGTGTGAGTTACTGTCAAGACAAAGAGTAAAGCGGAGTTTTAGGAATGTGATGTCTATCTGCAGGTAAGTGGACTTTATAATGACCTGTACTACAGAATTAAACAGTGGCCACCCCAAACTTCAGGCACAGGGAGGCTACTCTAGGGTAGAGCCAGAAGTATGATCCCTGTGGGTAACTTGCTCCCAGCGGGAGGAAGAAGAGGACATGCCTGGGCTGTGCATGTTTCTCCTTCTAAATTTACCCAGTAGATGAGTCACTGCATGTCCCTGTGACAAGGGCAGGGTAGAAAGTAGCCAGGAATGACACACTAATGATACGCCTCCTCACAGAAGGAATTTCCGCTAGAGAGAAAGATGCTTTCTCCTGCAGAAATAAGTTATAAAATCTAGAGAGAGCTCAGTCATTTAGTTCTACTTGCCGTACTTCAAGAGGATCTTCACTGCAGTTGTTTTGGTATGGAGTGATAGGAAAAAGTCAGGGAGGTTGTACGGTAAGCAAAATTGGAGAATGACTGCCCTTGTTCTACAAATAGAGGTAGGAAGGACTACATCATAGTCCTGTTTTCTGCTTTCCTTTTTTTGTGTGTGTGGCATTAACAAAATTGAGATATAATTTACATAACACTAAATATACAGTAGTTTTTAGTATATTCACAATGTTTTGCAGCATTACCATTAATTCCAGAACATTTCCATCACCCCTCCTTCCCTTTACCAGCTGCTTCCCATTCCCCACCTCATTCCCCCATTCCCCACTTCTTCCTCCATCCCCTGGCATGTTAAAGTGCCTCAGGGAAGTCAGGGACAAAGTCTCTGATGTCCTTGGCCTCTCCCTCAAGATTTCAAGATTGCTGCTTAGCTCCAATCATAATATTCATACCATGATTAGGAGAAAAAAGGGTACCAGTGCAATACCCCGACATGGAGAAACCACTAACTCCCAGCCAAGTCAGCCCCTGTTGAAGAGCTGTCTTGAAAGTCCCAACCAGTGATACGGCTTACATTTCATTGGCCATCCCCACTATAAGGAAGTCTGGGAAACATCAACTGGCACATTGCTGCCCCAAGTAAAATCAGAGTTCTGTTAGAAGGGAAGAATGGGAGAATGGATTTGGGGTATGCAACTAGCTGTGCCTGTCACAGTCGTTCATATATTAAATACACTTCTAAACAATTATTACATTTGATGTTTTTTTCCCAAGTAGTGACACAAAAGGACACATTACAAAAAGATTGTGATCTTGTGTCCATAACCTCTCCTTCAAAACACTGGCTCCGTAACCAAAAACAACCTAAATTTCTATTAAGTTCATATTGAATCTTTTTTTTTTTTTTTGAGACAGAGTTTCATTCTTGTTGCCCAGGCTGGAGTGCAATGGCGCGATGTGGGCTCACCGCAACCTCCGCCTACCAGGTTCAAGTGATTATCCTGCCTCAGCCTCCTGTGTAGCTGGGATTATAGGCATGTGCCACCACGCCTGGCTAATTTTTTGTATTTTTAGTAGAGACGGGGTTTCTCCATGTTGGTCAGGCTGGTCTTGAACTCCCGATCTCAGGTGATCCACCCTCCTCGGCCTCCCAAAGTGCTGGGATTACAGGTGTGAGCCACCACGCCCAGCCCATATTGAATCTTTTCTATATGATTTATTTCAGCCTTGTTTATTTCCATCTATTACTGCCTTAAGCAATGGGTGACACTTTTATTATCCACCCAGTTTGTCAAGAAGTATGAATTTAACCAAAAATTGTGCCTCAAACTTACTGTTTTAAGATTTAATAAATGCATGTGTGTATTGTTACCATTCATAGTTAAAAATGCTTTTATTTGTTTTTTTATTTGTTTGAAACAGAGTCTTGCTCTGTCACCCAGGCTAGAGTGCAGCAGTGTGATCACAGCTCACTGCAATCTCGACCTCACAGGCTCAATTGATCCTCCCCCACTCTATCCTCCCTAATAGCTGGGACTAGAGGCAAGTGCTATCATGTGCTATCTAAGACGCATGTGCTAACTAGAGGCATGTACTGTCATGCCCAGCTACGTTTTGTATTCATATTTTTTGTAGAGATGGGGTTTCACCATGTTGCCCAGGCTGGTCTTGAACTCTGGACTCAAGCAATTCATCTGCCTTGTCTTCCCAAAGTGCTGGGATTACAGGCATGAGCCACCATGCCCTGCCCCAAATGCTTTTAAATTTAAAACTTTGAAAATTTAAACCAAATTAACATATGCACATGGATTTAAAAAAAAAAACTCAAAACAGTATAGAAAAGCTGGTGATAAAAAGCAACAGCTACCATATCCTGCTCCAGTTTCCAACCCCAAATCCTGTATATTCTATAAAACAACCAATTTGACCATTTATTTTTAAAGTCTTGTGGTTTTTATGTCTTTTGTTATGTATATACTATGTGTGTTTGGGCCATAATCCTGAAAGATACAATTCCAAACGCCATAATCTTGCATGTTGAAATTCCAAAACATCAAAATCCTTAAAGTCTAAAATCCCCCAAATCACAGTTCTGAAAGATCAAAAATCCCAAAAATATAATCTGGAAAAAATCATTCAAAGAGTATTTAAAATACTAATTTTTGGCCAGGCACGGTGGTTCATACCTGTAATCCCAGCACTTTGGGAGGCCGAGGCGAGCAGATAACCAGAGGTCAGGAGTTTGAGACCAGCCTGGCCAACATGGTGAAACCCTGTCTCTACTAAAAATACAAAACTTAGCTGGAGATGGTGGCAGGCGCCTGTAATCCCAGCTACTCAGGAGGCTGAGGCAGGAGAATTGCTTGAACCTGGGAGGTGGAGGTTGCAGTGAGCCGAGATCGTGCCATTGCACTCCAGCCTGGGGAACAAGAACGAGACTATGTCTCAAAAAACAAAAACAAAACTAGTTTTTAAACATATTAAAAAGGGGATTCAGGCTGGGCACAGTGGCTCACGCCTGTAATCCCAGCACTTTGGGGGGCCGAGGTGGGCAATCACTTGAGGTCAGGCATTCAAGACCAGCCTGACCAACATGGAGAAACCTGGTTTCTACTAAAAATACAAAAATTAGCTGGGCATGGTGGTGCACGCCTATAATCCCAGCTACTCGGGAGGTTGAGGCGGAAGAATTGCTTGAACCTGGGAGAAGGAGGTTGCAGTGAGCGGAGATTGCACCACTGCACTCCAGCCTGGGCGACAGAGAGAGACTCCGACTCAAAAAAAATAAATAAATAAAAATAAAAAGGAGATTTATTTGAGAAACATTTAAAAACACAACGGAAACTTCATAGGCCAGTTTGCAGAAGAAGATAGGTAATAATAACGTATGTATTTTTGTGACTGTACACACTGAGGTGTACTGATGACAGTCACATAGGTGTAACAGTTACGAGAAGATGAACTATATTCATAAGGAAGTAGGTCTAAAAGCAAAATATATAAATGCATATCACTATAGTTGGTAATTCTGTGCAACCAGTTTTGTAACTGGTCATCTGACATACCTTGATGGACAACCTAAGTCTTTTGATGAGATTGATCAAAAATTGTGACGGATCACCACTGTATATGCAGTCACTCAAAAAGCCAGGATGTCAAGAAATTTTATCTTTCACAAATGTACGTATACAAAAAGGACATCTCTTCATTCATTAAGGAAGTTTCAACATTTTTTACATACATACACAATACTAAGTCAGCGTTGTGGTGACACACTCATAGAGTCAAATTTGCAAAAAAAAAAAAAAAAAAAGCATAAAACAAATTAGAACTCTAAAACTCTTTACAAAGTTTATGCTTCTGGCCGGGTGCAGTGGCTCACGCCTGTAATCCCAGAACTTTGGGAGGCCTAGGCGGGCGGATCACCTGAGGTCAGGAGTTTGAGACCAGCCTGCCCAACATGGTAAAACCCTGTCTCTACTAAAAAATGCAAAAAATTAGCCAGGTGTGGTGGTGTGCATGTGCCTGTAATCCCAGCTACCCGGGAGGGTGAGGCAGGAGAATAAGTTGGACCCGGGAGGTGGAGGTTGCAGTGAGCCGAGATTGTGCAACTGCACTCCAGCCTGGGTGACAAGAGCGAAACTCCGTCTCAAAAAAAAAAAAAAAATTGACATGCAAAAAAGTATATTACAGTGAAAGATTATAGGCAGTTGCATGGAGGTAGTCCATAAGAATTGGCCAACTTTTCACAATCATTATCTATATTTTGAAGTCTTCCTTCATGATGAATAGCTGCTTTTTTTTTTTTTTTTTGGACATGGCTCTTTTTGGAAAATACATTTACATCCGTATTCTACATGGCACTGCTCTTTTTGAAATTCTTCTATGATTTGATATACACTGACATAATCATCCCCTATTAAGGTTTTCCATCTTCAGTGCTATGCTTCTATGTTTTGCATACATGGAAATTCATTCTGCATGCACTCATATACAGACTACAAATTTAGTGCAGACTATACTTGTGATCAAACAACAACACCGTTATATGTCTTGTAATCCTACCATGCACATAATTATTTTTAAACCAGTCAGTAACTTTGCTGGTTTCTTCAGGCAAATGCAGATTCAATCCATTAAAAGCTGGGCTGGGCGCAGTGACTCACACCTGTAATCCCAGCACTTTGGGAGGCCAAAGTGGGTGGATCATGAGGTCAGGAGATTGAGACCATCCTGGCTAACATAGTGAAACCCCATCTCTACTAAAAACACAAAAATTACAAAAATACAAAAAATTAGCCCGGTGTGGTGGCATGCACCTGTAGTCCCAGTTACTCTAGAGGCTGAGGCCGGAGAATCGCTTGAACCTGGGAGGCGGAGGTTGCAATGAGCCGAGATCACACCATGCCACTCCACTGCAGCCTGGGCAACAGAGCGAGACTGTCTCAAAAAAAAAAAAAAAAAAAAAGCTTCTGGAATTTCATCACCTGGAAGGAAAGCCAATGCAGACAAATGACACATTTTTAAATTGAAGTTTTCATCATTGCCATATCTCATGGCCAATCGACTCATCTAAGTTTTCCACTAAATGCATCAGACTGAATGGAAAAAATAAACTTTGTTAGTGACATCTTGAAATTCACTTTCAGAAGCTTTGTTGCACCTAATCTGTCATTATGATTTGGGGATTCAGTTGAATCCATTTTCTTTTGCAACATCCACCAAATCTTCAAATAAGTGTTTTATAAAGTGCTTCCCTTTTGTCCAGTCATTCATACATAAATGAGTGGATAAGTTCTAGAATTTTGAGATCCAACAGGGGGATGAATCATATGCAATTGGCAAAAAATGGTGGGGATGGTTTTGAAAGTGCCACACATTAGCCAAACTGAAGCATGCACTGGTTTTTCTTTGTTAGATTGGGTGGTTTAATAAATAGAAGTCTATCTTCTTTGATGGACAGATCCCTGATCAAGAATAGTTCATCATTTAACGTGTTTTGTATCACTGGAGGAACCTCTGTATCAGCAAGTGCCTTTCATTCAGAAGTTCACTGAGCTTTTCAAATTCCATTTTTTTTTTGGCTGGAGGTAGTGGCTCATGCTTGTAATCCCAGTGCTTTGGGAGGCTGAGGCAGTTGGATTGAGTGAAGCCAGAAGTTTGAGACTAGCCTGAGCAGCATAGTCAGACTCCATCTCTACAAAAATTTTAAAACTATCCAGACGTGGTGGTGTGCACCTGTAGTTCTAGCTACTTGGAATGTTGAGGTGAGAGAATTGGTTAAGGCCAAGAGTTTGAGACCATAGTGAGCTATGATCACACCACTGCACTCCAGCCTGGGCAACAGAGTGAGACCCCATCTCTTTAAAAAAATTCCTTTTATTCTCCGATGAAGGTTATTTTTTTTCCTTTTCCCCCCTTTTTTAAAAAAAATTCAGTTGGCACAAAGGAAGGATTTTTTTTTTAGGGCAAGCGTGGTACTATGTGTGAAGATGCGGAAGTCATACACAATTGAATAATTTGGCAGGGGAGATTTCTTGTATCTTTTGCCTGCATTTTCACTTCTCTGAAACACTCAAAACACTGAGGGCAGATCTTACCCACTTGGTCTACTCAGACTCACAGTAATCTCTGGAAACACCCTTACAGACACACCCAAAATAATGCTTTATCAGGTTTCTAGGTATTCCTTAATCCGGTCAAATTGACACCTAAAATTAAGTCCACAAATCCAGCCCTGGTCAATTTGGCACCCATATGTGTCTCCTTAAACCATAATTCACTTCCAAATAAAGACAATAACAAGGTAATAGTTCTGTTTAACATGATGCAGCTAACATGATGCAAATATTATGCACACAACCAAACAGGTACTAATCGTATCCCCAGAATTAGGCTTTCTAGATTTTATCATTCAGAATTTTAATCTTTCAGGATTGTGATTTTCAGGATTTTAATCATTAGGGATTTTAGACTTTAGAGATTTTTAATTAAAATTTTTATTTTTCTTTCAGAAATGAAGTCTTGCTTTGTTGCCCAGGCTGATCTCGAACTCCTGGGCTCAATCAATCCTCCTGCCTCAGCCTCCCAAAATGCTGGGCTTACAGGTGTAAGTCACCACACCTGGCTGACTTTAGGGATTTTGATCTTTCAGGATTTCAACATTTAGGATTATAGCATTCAAGATTATGATTGGCACTAATACTATGTATATGCCTAATGTTATGTATATGCATAATGTCAATTTAGGCATTATTAGTAACTTCTTGCTATCTATTATAGTATATATACTATCTATTATATATAATAGATATGTACTATGGAGATATATGTGAGCATTAAGCATGTATGTCTACATATATATGTGTATTATATATTCAGTCATTATATATTATCACTGTGTAAAGTTCTACTAGAATCAACATAGAATTCTTGAGATTCTT